>NC_000011.10:108990606-109293636 GCF_000001405.40 Homo sapiens
TGGAACTTAAACCATCAGCTCTCCTGGGGCTCCAGCCTGCTGATTGCAGATCTTGGGACTTTTCAGCCTCCAATTTTACATAATAAATCTCTTTCTCTCTCTCTCTCTCGACTTTTATATGTGTGTGTATAAAATATATACATAAAACATGCACACACACACACATACACATGGGAAACAAAGTCAATGTTTATCAGGAGGGGAGTGGTTTTGTCAATTATTATATTTTCATTCACACCGTAATATCTTATGCAGGCATTGAAAAAGCAAAATCAAAAGCAAGACCAAATGAAAACAAACCTGTAACTCCATTGCTTTACTTGGAGGGACTTCCATGAACTGGTTTATAGTGAGAAAAGCAAGATGCAAAGCGCTTAAAATATAATCCCATTTATGTAAAACATTGCCTTATCTCTTATATATGTATATTATATATATATATGTGTGTTTATATTATTATATGAGCACAAAGAAAAATAAGGAAGGACACATGCTAGGTTGTCACCAGAAGATTCCTCGCTGGGGAACGGGGCTGTCATGTGAGTGGAGCTTTAAGAATGAATGGGAGCAGGGGAGCAAAACAAAACAAAAAACCAAGATGTCTGATATGGTATATTTATAAATTTGATTACAAATGTTTATATATGTATAAGGAATTTTAAAAATAAAATTTTAAGAAAGGAAGAAGAAATAGAGGAGAAAAAACTGATGAATGGGGCTGCCATTGACTCTGCAGGTCTAGCCTCATTGGAAGACCAAATTGACTTTGGTTAAGATGGCAACTTCATGGCACCTCCTGACTAACATCATTGAGTCATTTTGTCCATCATACAAGATAAGCCACTTGACCAAAACCATATGCTGTTTTGGGGTCAGCTTTAAAACTAAAGATGGAGTTAGATATACCAGATGTGAGTAGGCCAGTTTGGCACACCAGAGGACTCTGTATTACATTTTGAAAATAATCAAGGCACTGATACAGTGGGTCTGACAATGTTGTTTATGAAAACTAAAAAGGCCTAGAAAGGTTCCCTCATTCTATGCCCTAGAGTAGAAGACACCGTCCTGAGTTGTTCCAGTGCGACTATTAACTTAAGAGTCTTTGCATTCTTCTAAGTGCCAAGTGATACTTATACGATGCCGTGGTTTTCTTGGTGAATTCAGGGGAACCCAGTGTCTCCACTGCACCTTTATAACTTTAGAGTACCAGAGCAGATTTCCATATTCACTTGTAGTAAAAGAATCCATCTCTTTGCCTCTTTTATTCTTGCCGTGAATTGTTGCTCAGCAGTGTGAAAATGTTGCCTGAATTAGTCAGGAGGGGAGGCGCATCTGCCCTTCCAGTAATGACCTGCTGCCTGCCCTGAGCAATTACAGGAAGGGCAAGTGTGGTGGGGTCTGCTGGGAAGGAGGGAAGTCCTGAAGAGAGGTCAGGTAGCTTCTTTTCCATTGTTAGTGAATTGGCCCAGCACTCGACTGCTTGCCAGGAGTCTGGGGTGGGAACATTTGCAGCTGCAAAATGGTCTTTCTGGCCTCTTAAGAGGAGGTAGTGGCATGAAGATGTCTGAATGGGCATCACTTAGACATCTTCCTGCAGGTATTCAGCAGACTCCATCTGTCTGAGGAGGGCACTGGGTTCCCTCAAGGTAGGATTTCTTGCTTGGCTTCTGCTGAGCATGATGTCAGCACAGACGGTGGCTGGATTTTCTCCCCACTTGGTCATCTTGTTCCAAGGATGATGCTTTATGAAAACTGAAAGAGTTAAACAAATTCCTTCTGTCCAAGATAAACTGTATCACGCTGTTCTCTCTGTTCCTTCTTTATCTTGCATCCTTGTGTTCCAGCCTCCCCACCCTGTCCTTCCACTGCAATGTTTCACGTCGTCAGCCAGAGTGTTTAAGTCTCCATATGTTTACATCTATACTAGTAATTGACATCTCAGATGGACCTCTGGAGACAAAATAAATTCTTATTTTTCTGAATGCTTTTGATTAGGATTTGAAAGAATCTTTTGACCAAAACCAACTTGGGGTTTGGGGTTTTAAAATTTTATTTGAAGAAATACCAAGACTATTTAATTGGTACCAGCCTGGAGAAAAGGAGTGAGAAAAGAAAGAGCCCGTGAATGTAGGGAGGGTAAATTATGGCAGGTCCAGTCGTCAGGATATCCAATTTTTCGGGCTACAGATTGGGACACATAGCCTGGCAAATATGTTTGTAAAAATGGAAGTATTATAATAAGGCAGACTGTTCTATATTTTGGCTGTCTCAGAACTTAAAGCAATAAGCATCTATTTAGGTTTACAGAACAAGGAAACAGAGTGAACCACGTGATTTGAATTCCAAGGGAAACAAAATATTCGTTTCATTGTTGCCTCTGAAATCCCATTGGTCCTAGAGGATTTCAGAGGCAGGAGCCCTATTCTGTTGAATAATGATTTAGCGGAGTCACATTATGGCATAACGTCTGCCTGCTTCTCAAGTCAATGATTAGGAAATTGATTTGGAGTGATTTCTGGCCAGTTTTATGGACCTGGCCTCCAGATTGCTAGTGTTTCAAGGAGGCTGGGAACAAAGTAATTAAGGACATTTGCTGTAGGTTTCTGTCCTGAGTGTTGCTTCTGGGCATATTCTGCGCTTGAAAATGAAATTAGAAATTTAAAACCACAATCAACATCTCCTCTGCCATTTTCTAGCTTATGCTGAAACCCCTGGTTTCTGTCTTTCATGCTCGAGGAAATGAAAATGGACCCCTTGATTACTTGTGTCCCCAAGTTGTTGCTCATGTGTCCATTGAGAGGCATGTTAATTGCTCATACAGGTCAGAAATATAAGCCACCAGGATTTTTCAGGGTAGAGCCAAATTGTTGTTCATGTAAGATTTCTCAAAATCCCTCATAATAGACTGAAAACAACTTATTCTGAATTTGGAATATGTAAAAAATCGCTTTAATTAATTGAATTTCCATCTTTTCTGACAAACTTTTAAAAAATTGAGTTTGTTTCTTTCAAAAATTGGGGGTAAATTGTGCCACATTTAGGTGTATAGTTCTTGCTTAAAAAATAACATCTTCTTATTACCTCTAATGAGGGAGCATTTTATGAACATCACAGGGTCCTAGAGCTGGAAGAGACCTAGCAGTCATGATATTCATCCCCTTCATTTTATAGGCAAGACATATACAAAATGTTCAGAGAGGTTGTATTGGCCCCACAGGTAGTTAAAAGTTCAGCAAGATCGACACCTGGCTTTCCTGACTGTCTGGTGCTCTTTCCACTTGACTATATTGCACTGAAGAACATATTGGCCAACTGTCTTCCTTACCTTGAAGACCACAGTTTTCAGTACAGCTAGAGGTTGCGATGGCTCTGCCCTGTTGGTACAGTCTTCTAGTGACTCCATGGCTTGACCTTATAAGCATCACCTCTTTCTCTTTAATTTTTAATTTTAATTTTTGTGGGTACATAATAGGTGTGTATATTTATGGGGGTATAAGAGATCTTTTTTTTTTTTTTGAGACGGAGTCTCACTCTGTCCCCCAGGCTCGAGTGCAGTGGCACGATCTCAGCTCACTGCAAGCTCCGTCTCCCAGGTTCACGCCATTCTCCTGCCTCAGCCTCCTGAGTAGCTGGGACTACAGGCGCCCACCATCACACCCAGCTAATTTTTTGTATTTTTAGTAGAGACGGGGTTTCACCGTGTTAGCCAGGATGATCTCGATCTTCTGACCTTGTGATCCACCCGCCTTGGCCTCCCAAAGTGCTGGGATTACAGGCGTGAGCCACCGCGCCCGGCTGAAATATTTTGATATAGGCATAGAGTGCATAATAATCACATCATGTAAAATGAGCTATCTATCCCTTCAAACATTTATCTTTTGTGTTACAGACAATCCAATTATGGTCTTTTAGTTATTTTAAAATGTACAATTAAATTATTATCGACTATAGTCACCCTTTGTGCTACCAAATACTAGGTCTTTTTCATTCTTTCTAATTATTTGTAACCATTAACCATCCCCATCTCCTCCCCACCCTCCCACTACCCTGCCCAGCCTCTGGTAATCATCCTTCTACTCTCTATCTCTATTAGTTCAATGGTTTTGATTTTTAGATCCCACAAAAAAGTGAGCATCTGCGATGTTTGTCCTTCTGTGCCTGGCTTATTTCACTTCACATAATGATATCCAGTTCCATCCATGTTGTGACAAATGACAGAATCTCATTTTTTTTATGGCTGAATAGTACCCCATTGTGTATATGTATCACATTTTCTTTATCCATTTATCTGTTGATGGACTTTTAGGTTGTTTCTAAATCTTGACTATTGTGAACACTGTTGCAACAAACATGAGAGTGCAGATATCTCTTTGATATACTGACTTTCTTTCTTTTGGGTGTATACCCTGCAGTAGGGTTGCTGAATCATTTGGTAGTTCTACTTTTAGTTTTTTGAGGAACCTCCAAACTGTTCTCCATAGTGGTTGTATTAATTTACATTTCCACCAACAGTGTTTGAGACTTCCCTTTTCTCCCTTGCCAGCATATGTTATTGCCTGTCTTTTGGATAAAAGCCATTTTAACTGGGGTAAGATGACATGTTATTGTAGTTTCGATTTGCATTTCTCTGATGTTCAGTGATGATGAGCACCTTTTCATATACCTGTTTAGTATTGTATGTCTTCTTTTGAGAACTGTCTATTCAAACATTTTGCCAAATTTTTAATTAGATTATTAGATTTTTTTCCTATAGAGTTGTTTGAGTACCTTTTATATTCTGGTTATTAATCCTTTGTCAAATAGGTAGTTTCCCAATATTTTCCTCCTATTCTGTGGGTTGTCTCTTCACTTTGTTGATTGCTTCCTTTGCTGTGCAGGAACTTTTTAACTTGGTGTGACCCTATTTTTCCATTTTTGCTATGGTTGCCTGTACTTTTGAAGTCTTACTCAAGAAATCTTCGCCTAGACCAATATCCTGAAGTGTTTCCCCAATATTTTCTTTAGTAGCTTCATCAGGTCTTATATTTAAAATTTTAAGCCACTTTGATTTGATTTTTATATATTGCAAGACACAGGGGTCTAGTTTCATTCTTCTGCATATTGATATCCAGTTTTCCCTGCACCATTTGAAGAAACTGTCCTTTCTTCAGTGCATGTTCTTGGCACGTTTGTCAAAAATGAGTTCACTCTAAATGCATAAATTTAGTTCAGGGTTCTCTATTTTGTTCCATTTGTCTATGTGTCTGTTTTTATGCCAGTACCATGCTATTTTGATTACTACAGCTCTATAGTATAATCTGAAATCAGGTAATATGATGCCTTCAGTTTTGCTCTTTTTGCTTAGGATAGGTTGTGTTTCCATACAAATTTTTGGATTGTTGTTTCTATTTTTGTAAAGAATATCGTTGGTATTTTGACAGATATCGCATTGAATCTGTAGTTTGCTTTGGGTGGTATGGACATTTTAACAATATTGATTCTTTCAATCCATGAACATGGAATATCTTTCCACTTTTTGGCATCTCTTCAATTTATTTCTTCAGTGTTTTATAGTTTTCATTGTAGAAATATTTCACTTCTTTGGTTAAGTCTGTTTCCGGGTATTTAATTTTATTTGTGGCTATTGTAAACGAGATTACTTTTTTGATTCCTTTTTCAGATTATTACTTTTTGGCACATAGAAATACTACTGATTTTTGTATGTTGATTTTTTTTTTTTTTCAGATGGAGTTTCACTCTTTTTGCCCAGGCTGGAGTGCAATGGCGTGATCTCAGCTCACTGCAACCTCCACCTCCTGGGTTCAAGTGGTTCTCTTCCCTCAGCCTCCTGAGTAGCTGGGATTACAGGTGCACGCCACCACATCCAGCTAATTTTGTATTTTTAGTAGAGACAGGATTTCACCATGTTGGTCAAGCTGGTCTTGAACTCCTGACCTCCAGTAATCCACCTGCCTTGGCTTACCAAAGTGCTGGGATTATAGGCATGAGCCATCATGCCCAACCAGTATGTTGATTTTTTAATCTTGCAACTTTATTGACCTTGTTTATCAGTTCTAATAGTTTTTTGGTGGAGTCTTCAGGTTTTTCCAAATATAAACTCATATCATCTGCAAACAAGGCTAATTTGACTTCTTCCTTTCCAATTTGGATGCTCTTATTTCTTTGTCTTGTTTGATTGTTCTAGCTAGAACTTCTAGCTATGTTGAATAACGGTGGTGACAGTGGGCATTCTTGTCCTGTTCTAGATCTTAGAGGAAAGGTTTTTAGATTTTCCCCATTCAGCATGATACTAGGTGTGGGTCTGTCATATATGGCTTTTATTATGTTGAGATATGTTCCTTCTATACTCAGTTTTTTTTTTAAATCATGAAGTGATGTTAAATTTTATCAAATGCTTTTTCAGCATCAATTTAAATGACCATATGGTTTTTTTCTTCATTTTGTTTTGTTCTTCAATCGTATCATGTTGATTGATTTGTATATGTTGAATCATCCTTGTATCCCAGGCATAAATCCTGCTTAGCCATGATAAATCATCTTTTTAATGTATTCTTGAAGTCAGTTTGCTAGTATTTTGTTGAGAATTTTGGTATCAATATTCATTGGCAATATTGGCCTGTAGTTTTCCTTTTTGGATTGTCTTTGGTTTTGGTATCAGGATAACACTGGCCCCATAAAAGAGTTTGGAAGTATTCCCTCTCCCTCACCTCTTCAATTTTTTTGGGAAAGTTTGAGTAGGATTTGAGTAGCTGGGGGCTAGGCTTTTCTTTGCTATGAGACTTTTTATTATGGCTTTGATCTTGTTACTTATTAGTCTGTTCAGGTTTTGGATTTCTTCCTGGTTCAATCTTGGTATGTTGTTATGTGTCTAGGAATTTGTCATTTTTTTCTAGATTTTCCAATTTACTGTCATATAGGTGCTCATAGTAACCACTAGTGATCCTTTGAACTTCTGTGGTATCAGTTGTAATGTCTCCTTTTTTTTTTTAATATCACTGATTTTATTTATTTGGATCTTTTCTCTCTCTCACTTTTTAGCTTGTCTGGCTAAATATTTGTCAATTTTATCTTTTCAAAAAAATTTTTTTGTTTCATTGATCTTTTGTATTGTTTTCTTCATTTCAATTTCATTTATTTCTGCTCTGATTGTTATTATTTATTTTCTCCTACTAATTTTGCATTTGGTTTGCTTTTGCTTTTCTAGTTCTTTAAAATGCATCATTAGGTTGTTTATTTGAAGTTTTTCTTCTTGTTACATGCAGGCACTTATAAACTTCCTCCTTAGTAGCACTTTTGCTGTGCCCCATAGCTTTTGGTATGTTGTGTTTCCATTATCATTTGTTTAAGAATTTTTTCATAATTTCTCCATTGACCCACTGGTCATTTAGGAGCATATTTCTTAAATGTTCATGTGTTTACATAGTTTCTAAAATTCCTCTTCTTACTGAGTAAGAGTTCTATTCCACTGTGGTCAGAGAAGACACTGGATATTATTTTAATTTTTCTGAATTTTTAAAAGACATGTTTTGTGACCTAATACATGGTCTATTCTTGATACTAATCTATGTTCTGAAGAAAAGAATGTGGTTCTGCAACCATTGGGTAAGCTGGTCTATAAACATCTATTAGGTTTATTTGGTCTGTAATGCAGAGTAAGTCTGATGTTTTTGTCATTTTCTTTCTGGAAGATCTGTCTAATGCTCAAAGTGGGGTGTTGAAGTCTCCAGCTATTATTGTATTGGGGTCTATCTCTTTAGCCCTAATAATATTTGCTTTTTATATCTAGGTGTTCCAGTGTTGGGTTCATATATATTTACAATTGTATATCCTCTTGGTGAGTTGACTCCTTTATTGTTATATGATGACCTTCTTTGTCTCTTCTTTTAGTTTTTGTCTTAAAATCTATTTTGTCTGATATAAATGTAGCTACTCCTGCTCTTTTTGGCTTTCATTTTCATTTTTTAATTTTCAGATTGTGTCTTTATAGGTTAAGTGTGTTTCTTGTAGGCAACAGATCATTCAGTCTGGTTTTTCCCCCTCCATTCAGCCATTCTACATCTTTTGATTGGAGAGTTTAGTCCATCTACATTCAATATTATTATTGATAAATAAGGACTTACTCCTGCCATTTTGTTACTTATTTTCTGGTTGTTGTGTGGTCTTGTTCTTTCTTTCTTTCTTTCTTTCTTTCTTTCTTTCTTTCTTTCTTTCTTTCTTTCTTTTCTCTCTCTTTCTTTCTTTCCTTCTCTCTCTCTCTCTTTCTTTCTTTCCTGTCTTCCTTTGAGCAAAGGAGATTTTCTTTGTGATATGATTTTGTTTCTCAGTTTAAATTTTTTGTGTATTTTTTGTATGTTTGTTGATTTGAGGTTACCAAGAGGCTTGTAAATATTATCTTATAACCCAATATTTAAGCTGATAACAACTTAGCACTGTTTGCATAAGCAAACAAACAAGCAAAAAGAAAACTAATAAAGCCTCTATGCCTTAACTCTGTCCCCCTGCTTTTTAACTTTTTGTTGTTTCTATTTATATTTTGTTGTACTGTCTATGTCTTAAAAAGTTGTTGTAGTTATTATGTTTGATTGGTTCATCATTTAGTCTTTCCACTTAAGATGAGAGTAGGTTACACATTAGTGTTACAGTGTTATAATATTCTGTGTATTTTTTTTGGTGAACTTAATATTACCAGTGAATTTTGTACTGTCAGATGATTTCATATTGCTCGTAAACATCCTTTTCTTTCTGATTAAGTACTCCCTTACCATTTCTTGTAGGACAGGTCTGGTGCTGATGAAATCCCTCAGCTTTAGTTTGTCTGGCAAAGTCTTTATTTCTCCTTCATGTTTGAAGGATACTTTTTCCAGATATACCATTCCAGAGTGGAATATTTTTTTCTGCAGCACTTTAAATATGTCATGCCACTCTCTCCTGGCTTGTAAGGTTTCCACTGAAAAGTCTACTGCCAGACATATTGGAACTCCATTGTATGTTATTTGTTTCTTTTCTGTTGCTGCTTTTAGAATCCTTTCTTTATCCTTGTTCTTTGGAAGTTTGATTATTAACTGCCTTGAGGTAGTCCTCTCTGGGTTAAATCTGCTTGGTGTTCTATAACCTTCTTGTACTTGGATATTGATATTTTTTCTAGGTTTGGGAAATTCTCTGTTACTGTCACTTTGAATAAACTTTCTACCCCTATCTCTTTCTCCATCTCCTCTTTAAGGCCAATAACTCTTAGATTTGCCCTTTTGAAACTATTTTTAGATCGTTTAGGTGTGCTTCATAATTTTTTATTCTTTTTTTTTTTGTCTCCTCTGACTGTGTATTTTTAAATAGCCTGTCTTGAGGCTCACCAGTTCTCTCTTTTGCGTGATCAGTTCTACTATTAAAAGACTCTGATGTATTCTTCAGAATGCCAATTGCATTTTTCAGCTCCAGAATTTCTTCTTGATTCTTTAAATTATTTGAATTTCTTTGTTAAATTTATCTGATAGAATTCTGAATTCCTTGTCTGTGATATCCTTAATGTCTTCAAGTTTCCTTGACACAACTATTTTGAATTATCTGCCTGAAAGATCACATATCTCTGTTTCTCCAGGATTGATCCCTTGTGCCTTATTTAGTTAATTTGGTGAGGTCATGTTTTTCTGGATGGTTTTGATGCTGGTAGATGTTCTTTATAGTGTCTGGACATTGAAGAATTAGGTATTTATGGTAGTCTTCATTGTCTGGGGTTGTTTGTACTTATCCTTCTTGAGAAGGCTTTCTAGATATTCAAAAGGACTTGCATGTTGTGATTTAAGCTGTATTTGCTTTAGGGGGGTACCCCAAGCCCAGTAATGCTGTGGTTCTTGTAGACTCATAGAGGTACTGCCTTGATGGTCTTGAACAAGATCTGCAAGAATTCTCTGGATTGCCAGGTAGAGATCCTTGTTTTCTTCCCATACTTTCTCCCAAATGAGTGGAGTCTTTTTCGTCTCTTCTGAGCCCCCTGGAGCTGGGGATAATGTGACAAAAGCACACCTGGGGCTACCACTCTTAGGACTGTGTTGAGTCAGACCTGAAGCCAGCACAGAATTGGGTCTCATCCAAGGTCTGCTGTAACCACTCCTTAGCTATGGCCTATGTTTGCTCAAGACCCTGGGGCTCTACTATCAGCAGGTGGCAGAGCCTGCCAGGCCTATGTCCTTCCCTTCAGGGTGTCAAGTTTCCCCAGGCCCTTTGCATGTCCAGAGGTGTCATCTGAGAGCCAGAGACTAGAGTCAAAAACCTTGGAACTCTACCTGATGTTCTATTGCATATCAGCTGAGCTGGCACTCAAACTACAAGATGCATCCCTTCCCACTCTTTCTATCTTTTTTCAAAGGCAGAGGAGCCTCATCCTGTGGCCATGGCCAACAAAGGCTCATAGAAAGTACTGCCAAACTACCACTGATGTTCCCTTACATGGGCTCTTCAGTCAGCTTGTGGTGGATGTTGCCTGGCCTGGGACTCACTGTTCAGGACAGTGGGCTCCCCTCTGGCCCAGGGCAAGTCCAGAAATACTGACCAAGAGCCAAACCCTGGAACTGGGGACCCTAAGAGGCCACTTGGTGCTCTATCCCCCAGTGGCTGAGCTGGTACCTAAGGTGAAAGACAAAGTCCCTTTTGCTTTTCCTTCCACTTTTCTCAAGAGGAGGGCATCTTACTCTTGTAGCCACCACAGCTGGGAACATTCTGAGTCTCACTTGAAGCCAGCAAGTTTCAGAGTCTCACCCAAGGCCCTTGACATGGTACCTGGGTATCACTGCTGATTATTCAGGGCCCAAGGGCTCTTCAGTTAGTAGACGATAAATTCTGCCAGAATTGGGTCCTTCCCTTCAAGGCAGCAGGTTCCCTTGTGGCCCAGGGTGTGTCTAGAAAAGTCATCTGGGAGCTAGGGCCTAGTAAGGGGGCCTCGTGACTCTGATTGGTACCCTATCTTGCTGTGGCTCAGCTGGTATCCAAGGTGCAAGACAAAGCCCTCCCCATTCTTCCCTCTCCTCTTCTCAAATGAAGGAATGGGGTCTCTTTGGAGCTGTGAGCTGCATAGCCTGGGGCTAGGGGAGGGGTGAGGCCAGCACTCAGCCACCTTGGCTGGTGTCTCAGTAGGTCACATGCCCCACCTGTCCATTGTCTCTGGGTCCAATTCAGCAGAAGGACTTGCCTAGGGGTTGCAATCCTTGTGGCCTAGACTGCCTTTAAAATTTATTTTGAGCCCCAGAGCACTGTAGCTCTCAGTGGCAAGGCTTGCAGGAACTCAAGTTTGGACTACTGTGATTGGTGATTCCCCTCTGCCTTGGGCTAATTTAAATGCTGCCTCTGTGAACAGGTGTCAGCTGAGTTTGGTTGTGTTTTCTTTTATACCAGGGCAGCACTGAGTTCACAAGCATCACTTCTGTTTGTGTTTTCCATTTAGTAAAATATCATTACTTACATATATAAATATCAATTAAATCAGGCACAGACTGAACTAGAACTAAAAGATTGATTGTTTTTGGTAGGGCCTCAGGGATCACCTTGTTCAACTACTGAGTGTAGTCTCACCATAATCAGGGTAGCTCCTCTCTTTCTATCTCAAGGTAGGCTTGCCTGGGGCAGGCATAAAGAGGTATTGTTCCTTCTGGAAAACTGACCCCTGAGCTCAAGTCCCTTGAGTATTTCTGTTGGAGGAAAGGACCAGGAATGAATCAAATGGGAACACAGGCATTTGTCTCCACATTTACTTAAATAGCTTCAAGGAAACAATGAGTCAAGATCTTAGGTGGCGGTTTCTTGTAGATGGCCTTCCTTCAGAAGCAGAGCTAAGTTTCTTGTGAGAAGATGAACTGAATCTTTTTTATTCTATGCTGATATGGGTTTAGGTACTTGGCTGGTGAGTTTGGAGGGAGAGTTGGTTCTTGGAACCTTCTCACTCACTCCTCTTCTCTGTGGTCTTCCTTTTGGGGGATCTACACATACAAAGAACAAGGACCATATATGATATGATTATATTTTTTCTTTCAATTAACCCGTCTCTGTAACCTTTTCATAAGAGTATTTTCAAGTAGGGGAAGGGGAGAATACATTGTCTTTAGTATAGCATATTTTTTCAGGTGTAATAGATAGGATAGATCTAATATCCTATTTTCAGTTCCAAAAGAGAGTAAGCAGTGAATGCTCTTGTAGCAGTATAACTTACAATGCATATAAGCAATTTTTTTTTTTTTTTTGAGACCGAGTCTCGCTCTTTCACCCAGGCTGGAGTGCAGTGGCGCAATCTCAGCTCACTGCAAGCTCTGCCTCCCGGCTTCACACCATTCTCCTGCATCAGCCTCCCGAGTAGCTGGGACTACAAGTGCCCGCCACCACGCCTGGCTAATTTTTTATATTTTTAGTAGAGATGGGGTTTCACCATGTTAGCCAGGATGGTCTCGATCTCCTGACCTCGTGATCCACCCGCCTCGGCCTCCCGAAGTGCTGGGATTACAAGCGTGAGCCACCACGCCCGGCCTGCATATAAGAAAATTTTAAGTCCTTGCTTTCAAAACACTCAAGACTCTTGGAGACAGCATTAAGAAGCTTTTTCTTGGTACAAGATAATTACTAATAATAAGTTATTAGAAAACTATGTTTTATGAATATAACAAAGATATATTTATAAAACCCCAAATTCCACATTAATAAAGTATGAATTCATGAGGTTTTACTCTACTCAATATTATCCATTAAACTTCATTTTATACCCAACTATGAGTTAAGTTTAAATTCGTTTGAAACTTGAAATCTATCACTGAAGTTTTCACATAAGAAACTTAAATTCTGGGAGGAAATTATGATTTGTCTGCATATAATTTCTAATTTGTATTGTGCTATTTCAGTGTAAGGATAATGACATGAAATAGAAATTGTCTTTTAATAGACAGATGAAGGTAATTATAGTGATTATAATAGATGCTGGCAAATATTGCAATAAATGGACTAATTTAGTTCACATTACAGGAACTGTTAAAACTAAAGCATTAAATTATGTGTGCAATATTTATTAAAAATCACAGAGCACAAATTCCTTTGAATTGGTAATTTTATAGAAACCACCTCTCATCTTTAGCAACCCAAATTCATGGTACTTGTTCACAGATCAATACCTTCTAAAAGTTAGAGCCCAGCAGTATACTCTTCTTTGCACTTTTTTCTGTTCACCTGCTTCCGTCCCTTTCACTTTCTTTCACCCTTCTGTCCTCCCTCCCTCTCTTTCTCCCTTCCCTTTTCTTTCCTTGACACCTGTAAGAGTTTGTCTCTTTCTCCATGGGTATTTACACCTGAGGAGTTATATGTCCAAGCCCTTTGTCTTGACAGGGGTAGAGGCATGAAGAAATGGCCACATGATCAGGGGTTAGAGACTGAGAAGGAAGAAAATCTTGACATCCTTAAAACATTGTGGTCCACAATTCTTTTCATGCTACTCTACTTCCTGGAGATGTAAGGCATTGGATAGTATCAATGGATAAAAAGACAATATCAGAGCTGAAATCATCCTTTCTACTTTGAAGATGACTTTTTACTTGTAGGATATCCTTCCTACTGGATCTTTCTGGGAAGTTCTCATTTGCAAGGTTGATTTAGTTGGCCCTGGATTCGTCTGGAGAGCTTGACCTGCTTGGCTTTTGTGTCTCTTCCTATTCCCTTCTCAGAATTGATGCTACTTTTCAGCAACCCTTGCAAATGCCTTTTCTAAAAATGTTCTCAGCAAAACAAGAATCCTAATAATTATTCCTTCTGAAGCAGATGGCCTAGTGCCACCTGCTCCCCCTCTCTTCTTCTTTTCCAAAATAAATTTTCCTCTTGACCAAACTCTCTTGATTTTGCACTGGCATTTTATAGCATTGTACAAATTATGCAAGACTTAAATCACACCTAATTTCCATCTCTGCCAGCAGGGATTGCTACCCAGAATGGAAATGGGAGAGACTCAAAAGAAACCAGAGGAGACTCAACCATTTGAAAGGAGAATCAAGTAATTGCAGTTGACCATTTTCTGTTAGGAAAGTCTAGGAACTCAGGCTATCAGTTCCTAACCCACCCACAGCCTAGTGAGTAATTTATAAAGCCTTCTTCTGATTGGGTTGTTGCAGTAATAATACTATGTGCCTCTATCTGACAGAAACAGCTCTCTAGTTCTTTGAAAGGATTCATAGAAATTGAGAATGGTTATGCCTATGGAGGTGGCTTGGGCAAGGAAGGCCACAGCAAAGATCTTGCAAAGCCACCTCTTTCAATGGAGGGAGTTGATGATTTGATTGCAGAGACTGTCCTAATGATCTGGGTTTTTGTATTCCTTTATTTAAACAATTTCCAACTTGTTTTTATTCTCCAATAATTCTGAGCCAGATTTTTCCTCCTTTACTTTAATTTGCAGAAAGCTCAAGAGATGTAAAATAATTTTAAATATTGATTTGAGTCAAATATAACTAGATGTTAAGTCTTGTAGAGCAAATTTTAAATAATCTGAAATATAACCTGTGCATCCCCAGTTCTAGCAATCCAAAGCCCATATTTAAGTGTTGGTGAGTACATTCATAAATTTCTCAAAATTCCTGGTGTGCCAATGGCACCCTTGTTTCCACGCTGACATAAATGTCATTTAAATGGGATTTAGGGGCTGTTTAAAAATTAAATGCACCTACTTCATATACCATTTAGTAATACTATATTCAGATCCTGTGTCTTCACCTATGTTGTCTCTTCTCTCTGGATTGGTTTTTTTCCTTCACCTTTAGAAGCTTTTTCTAATTCACCATCAACCCCCCTCCCCACAACTTATAGTAAACTTTTCCCATACCTGGGCTACTCATGTTTCTTTAACATTGTTGCACTTCAGTTTACTTGGCCTGTCCACATAAGACCGTGAGTTCTTTGCTTGCTTTGTTAGCACATACACTAAAATTGGAATGCTGCAGAGAAGATTACCATGGCCTCTGTGCAAGGATGCCACACAAATTTGTGAAACATTCCATATTTTTTAAAAAGAAGGGAAGTCCAATGGAAGAGAATAGAGAACTCTAAAATATGACAACACACCTACAACCATTTGATCTTTGACAAATCTGACAAAAACAAGCAACAAAGAAAGGATTCCCTACTTAACAAATGGTGCTGGGAGAACCGGGGAGCCATATGCAGAAAATTGAAACTGGACCCCTTCCTTACACCATATACAAAAATCAACTCAAGTTGGATTAAAGACTTAAATGTAAAATCCAAGACTATAAAAACCCTAGAAGAAAATCTAGGCAATACCATAAAGAACGTAGGCACAGGCAAAGATTTCATGACAAAGATGCCAAAGGCAATTGCAACAAAAGCAAAAATTGACAAATGGGATGTAATTAAATAAAGCTTCTGCACAGCAAAAGAAACTATCATCAGAGTGAACAGATAACCCACGGAATAGGAGAAAATTTTTGCAATCTATCCATCTGACAAATGTTTAATATCCAGCATCTACAATAAACTTAAACAAATTTACAAGAAAAAAACAACCCCCTTAAAAAGTGGGCAAAGGGGGCCAGGTGCAGTGGCTCACGCCTACAATCCCAGCACTTTGGAAGGCCGGGCAGGTGGATCATCTGAGGTCAGGAGTTCAAGACCAGCCTGGCTAACACGATGAAACCCTGTTTCTACTAAACATGCAAAAAATTAGCCGGGCGTGGTGGTGCATGCCTGTAATCCCAGGTACTTGGGAGGCTGAGGCAGGAGAATCTCTTGAACCCGGGAGGCAGAGGTTGCAGTGAGCCAAGATTGCACCATTGCACTCTGGCTTGGGCAACAAGAGCAAAACTCTGTTTCAAAAAATAAAAAGTAGACAAAGGACATGAACAGGCACTTCTAAAAAAAAAGACATACATGTGGCCAAGAAACATATGAAAAAAGCCTCAACATCACTGATAGTTGTTAGAGACATGCAAATCAAAACCACAATGAGATGGCATCTCACGCCAGTCAGAATGGCTATTATTAAAAAGTAAAAAAGCACCAGATGCTGGTGAGGTTGTGGAGAAAAAGGAACACTTTTACACTGGTGTGTAAATTACTGCAACCGTTGTGGAAGACAGTGTGGTGATTCCTTAAAGACCTAGAGGCAGAAATACTATTTGACTCAGCAATCCCATTACTGGGTATAGACCCAAAGGAATAGAAATCATTCTATTATAAAGATACATGTACATGTATGCAGGATGTATGAGGATGTAGGGATCACTAAAACAAAAACACACAGCCACTGATGGCAAGGGACTCACCTTCTTTTTTCTGTAAGTTTCACTTTTTCAAATTTCCAACTTTTATTTTAAGTTCAGGGGTACACGTACAGGATGTGCAGGTTTGTTACATAGGTAAATGTGTGTCATGGGGGTTTGCCGCACAGATCATGCAGCACTATTCACAATAGTAAAGACGTCAAATCAACCTAAATGCCCATCAATGATAGACTGGATAAAGAAAATGTGGTACGTATACCCCATGTAGTACTGTGCAGCCATAGAAAGAAATGAGATCATGTCTTTTGCAGGGATGTGAATGGAGCTGGAAGCCATTATCCTCAGCAAACTAATGCAGGAACAGAAAACCAAATACCATATATTCTCACTTATAAATAGGATCTGAATGATGAGAACACATGGACACAAGAGAACAACACATACTGGGGCCTATTGGAGAGTGGGGGGTGGGAGGAGGGAGAGCATCAGGAAGAATAGCTAATGGATGCTGGGCTTAATGCATAGGTGGTGGGATGATCTGTGCAGCAAACGCCCATGACACACATTTACCTATCTAACAAACCTGCACATCCTGTACATGTACCCCTGAACTTAAAATGAAAGTTGGAAATTTGAAAAAGTGAAACTTACAGAAAAAAGAAGGTGAGTCCCTTGCCATCAGTGGCTGTGTGTTTTTGTTTTAGTGATCACTACATCCTCAGTGCCCATGACAATGCTGGGCACACAGTAGGTACCAAGTAGATGCCACTGAGTTGAGGAGAATAGCAGTGTTGCTCCTTAGCTCACCCATGCTGCCTTTCATTGCTTTCTTGGAGAAAAGTATTACCTTGCAACAATATTGCCCTGTTAGGATTTGGGCTTTTAGGTACAAGGTGTTGCTATCTTTAGGGCCACCATGACCACCTGGGCTGGAATGCAAAAACAATCTTTTGAAGACGTCAAATGGATCTGACATAGAAACTGACATCCATTTTCTTATACCTGGGTAAAGGGATTGAGCACATTACCGTTATGCTTCAATAAAGCATTCTTTTTTCCCCATTTGAAAGAATAAAAGTGATTGTTGAGATACTTGTGAAATACAGCAAAAAGTAAAATTTTGTAAAAAGTTAAAAAATGAAATGGCTGAAATTAAGTTGTCACTAAAAACCATCAAAATCCTGTCTTAAAAATTATAATTATTTTATATTTTGTAATATTTGATATATAAAATATGCAACACATTTACTATAAAGCATAGTAATAAACACCGTAAACCCAACACTCAGCTTATAAAACTAGAACATTAAAAATATAGTTTCATCTTGGGAGGCTGAGGCGGGCGGATCATGAGGTCAGGAGATTGAGACCATTCTGGCTAACACGGTGAAACCCCGTCCCTACTAAAAATACAAAAACAAGAAATTAGCCAGGCGTGGTGGCGGGCGCCTGTCGTCCCAGCTACTCAGGAGGCTGAGGCAGGTGAATGATGTGAACCCGGGAGGCGGAGCTTGCAGTGAGCCGAGATTGCGCCACTGCACTCTAGCCTGGGCGACAGAGTGAGACTCTGTCTCAAAAAAAAAAAAAAAAAAAAAAAATATATATATATATATATATATATATATATATATATATATGTGTGTGTGTGTGTGTGTGTGTATATGTGTGTATATATATGTGTATATATGTATACATATGTATATATGTGTATATATGTGTATATATGTATACATATGTATATATGTGTATATATGTATACATATGTATATATGTGTGTATATATGTGTATGTGTGTGTATGTGTATATGTGTGTGTGTGTGTATATATATATATATATACACACACACACACACATATGTGCTTTTTCTTCACCCCAAGCCTCCATCTCTACCTTGAAGTAACTATTCTTTTGAAGTTTGGGTTTTTTTTGAGATGGAGTTTCACTCTTGTTGCCCAGGCTGGAGTGCAATGGCGCGATCTCGGCTTACCACAACCTCCGCCTCGTGGGTTCAAGTGATTCTCCTGCCTCAGTCTCCCGAGTAGCTGGGATTACAGGCATGCACCACCACACCCGGCTGATTTTTTTGTATTTTTAGTAGAGACAGGGTTTCTCCATGTTGGTCAGGCTAGCCTCCAACTCCCGACCTCAGGTGATCTGCCCGCCTTGGCCTCCCAAAGTGCTGGGATTACAGGCGTGAGCCACCGTGCCCGGCCTGAATTTTGGGTTTATCACTCCCATTTGTTTGGATTTTAAACGATAGGGAGATGCAGCTTAATTGTCACTTGCTGCTCACTGACAGGGTTTTGATATGAGTCTGCAAGCAACTGATTTATTATGGTCTCTGTGCAGTCAAACCTCTCCGCTAATGTTAAATCTGTACTTGCAGCCACTCCTCAGTCCTAGCATCCCTGCCTGGCTCTACCTCAGATCATCAGGCATTAGAATCACATAAGGAACCCACAACCTAGACCCCTCACATGCACAGTTGACAGTAGGGCTCGCACTCCTATGATAATATAATGTTACTGCTGATGTGACAGTAGGCAGAGCTCAGGTGGTAATGCAAGCAATGGACAGCAGCTGTAAATACAGATGAAGCTTCTTCACTCGCCCACCCACTGCTCACCTTCTGCTGTGCAGCCTGGTTCCTATCAGGCTACAGACCAGTACTGGTCCATGCCCCAGGGGTTAAGGACCCCTGGCCTAAAGAATGGGAAAAAATATCTGCAGACTATTTTACACACACACACACACACACACACACACACACACACACGCGCGCACTCTCTCTCTCTCTCTCTCTCTTTCTCTCTCTCTGTCTCTCTCTCTCTCTCTCTCAATCTGGGCATTGGAAGACAGTCCAGAAACTCAGGCAATGACTAATGAAACATCCTTACTTAGATCTTGAAGCAAGGAGATGTAAAAATTCAGTAAGAGAAAATATTATACTGATGGTTGAATATGATTTATCAAGAAGATTCTGATATATCACATACACATCATGGAATACTACTCAGCCATAAAAAAGAACAAAATTTCCTTTGCAGCAACAGGGATAGAACTGGAGGCCGTTATCCTCAGTGAAATAACTCAAAACCAGGAAGTCAAATGCCACATATTCACACTTAAAAGTGGGAGCTAAACAATGGGTACCCATGGATATACAGAGTAGAATAATAGACATTGGAAACTACAAAAGGTGGGAGGATTGGAGAGGGAGGAAGGTTGAAAAGTTATCTATTGGGTATAATGTTCACTATTCAGGTGACAGGTACACTCAAAGCTCAGACTTCACCGTGATGCAATATGTGCATGTAAGAAACCTGCACTTGTACCCCCTAAATAAATAAATAAAAATAAACTTTTAAAAGGTCTGTTGATGTTAGTGAGGGCACTCCACTTCTGAGGTGGAAGTGAGGGATTCCATTGACACTGGTGTAGTGCCTGTAAAGCTGAACACATGGCACCCTCAGATGACAAACACCCAGTACGTCAAAGTGAAAATGTCTGTAGGGTTTATACATTCCTCCTTGTCATGTTTTTGTAGCAGATCTGGGGCCTGCTTTGACAAACAAGCTGATTAGCTATAGGCAAGACTAAATAGACTAGGAAAAGAAGACTTCTATCTTCCCAGGATTAGTTTAAGCCTTTCTCTGTAGTCTTCAGTGAAAATTAAAACAAAACAAAACAAAACAAAACAAAATCAAACAAAAAACAAAAAACAAAGGGAGAAATTCATCAGCTATCTGTTCAACCTATACAAAGGGACTTACAAGTGGATGCATATTCATTCACTATAAGCAGAAGCCTTAAGTGCTCGAGGACTT
The DNA here is from genome assembly GCF_000001405.40 of Homo sapiens. Taxonomy (NCBI): domain Eukaryota; kingdom Metazoa; phylum Chordata; class Mammalia; order Primates; family Hominidae; genus Homo; species Homo sapiens. The sequence continues at coordinate 109,010,688 of NC_000011.10, forward strand.
AAGTTGAAAGAATACGCTGGCTGGGGCTTCTGGAAGGTGGATGGATATTTGCTCCCAAATTTGTGGCTAATAGGTTTTGGCTAGACTGACTACGGGTCATGGGTAGCCTCAGTTAGTGTTCACTGGGGGCACCTAAAACAGTGCTGTGGATGTAGATCCAGCAGATCTCTACCCTGGCTGGGCTAGTAATTAGCTAGGGTGCCTGGTGGCTCAACTGATAATAAAAGTCACCAATATTTATTAAGCATTTTCTTTGTGTCAGGTGCTGTTCTAAGCCCTTTATGTGTGGAACCAATTTCCTTGTCACTGCAATCCTATGTCATAGGACTTAGGCACTATTATAATCATCCTCATTTTGCATCTGAGAAACCATGGCCCGGAGAGGACAACTCACTTGCCTAAGGTCTCACAGCTTGTGTCTGGACATGTAGTATTGGTGTCTAGGCCATCTGTCTCGAGCTTGCACATGTAACAACAGTGCTGGTCTGGTTTCCCAGCAGGGTCAGAGAGGTTTGGAGGATGTATGCATACTCCCAGCTTGTTCCTCTGAATGGTTTCATGGACTGAATTGTTTGTTCGAACAAACTTATATGTTGAAGTCCTAACCTCCAGATTCTCAGAATGTGACAGTATTTGGAGATACAGTTTGTAAATAGGTAATTACATGAAATGAGCTCACAGGGCAGGTCCTAATGAGTCCTGTCAGCAAATTCAACTATAAGGGCAGGCCCCAACCTTACCCTGGTGTCCTTATAAGAAGAAGAAATTTGGACATGGACATGTACAGAGGAAAGACTATGTGAGGACGCAACAAGAAAGTGGCCATCTACAAGCCAAGGAGAGAGGCTTCCAGAGAAATCCACCCTGCCAACAACTTGACCTTGGTCTCAGCCTCCAGAACCGTGAGAAGACAAATTTCTGTTGTTTAAACTACTCAGTCTGGGCCAGGAGCGGTGGCTCATGCCTGTATTCCCAGCACTTTGGGAGGCTGAGGCAGGCGGATCACCTCACGTTGGGAGAGCAAGACCAGCCTGATCAACATGGAGAAACCCCATCTCTACTAAAAATACAAAATTAGCTGGACATGGTTGCGCGTGCCTGTAATCCCAGCTACTCGAGAGGCTAAGGCAGGAGAATCGCTTGAACCTGGGAGATGGAGGTTGCAGTGAGCCGAGAATGCGCCATTGCACTCCAGCCTGAGCAACAAGATCAAAACTCCATCTCAAAAACAAAACAAAACAAAACACAAAACAAAACAAAACAAAACAACTACTCAGTCTGTGGTGCTCTTATGGCAGCCCCAGCACTAACAGATAGTCAGAGGTGTTCATTGTTGTGTCCACTTCTGTTTTTCTAGATGGTATTGCTAATGAACTGGGCATCTCTGTCCATCTGGTCTGGGCTGAGGGGCCAGGCGTTTTGCCCTTTGTTGGGTGGCTATGGTCAACAGAGCCCTCTCCCCTTCTGATCTGTAGCCCACTGACCTCTGGCTGTGACTGGATTTAAAGATCCTTGTTAAACCATTATCAAATGCAACATATTAAACTACAGTAAGCTCTCTGAGAAAGACGTTTTGCTGAAGACTTTTGGGCCACTCTCTTGTAACTTATGGCTCCTTAGAGACAGAAATAAAAGGTGTGAACAGGCACCTCTTGAAGGCTGAAGGCTGGGAGATCACATAGGTGGTTGAGATTCACATTAAGTCCCTCTTCACCTTCACTCCCCAACACAGGGCAGCCCAAAGAGAAATCTCTTGGATCCTCTTGATAGAGGTTGTATCCTAAACACTGAAGATTTCCTTCCCCCAAGCTCATTAGAATATATGGAAGATTAGAAAATCCAATTAAAACAAGATCCCAAATGGCATTGTCTTAATGTGTCTGAGCTTGATATCAGGTAGGCCTGAGGAGATGGGATCTAAATTCTATTCTGTTTGCATTCTTATGTGAACATTGCTACTTTATTTCACAGACCAAAATATCTTTTATAGATTTCCAGCATGGAAAACAGTGTACTGTGAAAATGGATGCAGTTTCTAGTTTATCTTCTCTTCACTGTGGCCATAGAGGAGAAAATGTACACACACAGATATACACAGACACACACACACACACACACACACACACAGAGCGAGAGAGAGAGAGAGAGAGAGAGAGAATTAATTGATATCCATGTAAATATCTATTTTAAACCACACAGATTTCCAAACCCACCCCTCATCCTTGGTTCTGATTCTGGAGCAGAATTGTTAGTTTGGGGGTGTTTATGCCATGTGATTAGCTCATGCTGAAGGGTGACACATCCTGGCGGCAATCAGATAAGTATCCAAAGCCTCCAATGTGCTGTGCAGAGGAAGATACCAAAGAGGCCGGAGGTAAGGTTGGTCCCTGCCCTTATAGTTGAGTTTGCTGACAGGATTCACTGACTGGAAATAATGAGAGAGCTGCAGGATGCTACCTGTGTGATCCTAACTGCAACTGAAAGGTCAATGCAGCCAAGAGGGCTGGCAGGGCTGGCAGATGACACCTCTCAAAGAGCCTGCTGCTTGCAGCAACCCCTTGTTTCTAGGAACCACCATCCTCCTTCCACAGGGTCACAAGCTGACTCCACAGGTGTACCTTGGAAGCCATGTGCTGGCCGTAGCAGTGACAAAGATGAATGCCTGAGCAAAATTGAGCCAATTGGCTTTTTTGCAGCGAGTCTGTGGAACTGATCCTTAGGCTGTGGACTCAGGAGGTGTGCGGGCTATCTTCTACCATGGAGTAGAGGAACAGAGAGAGCCAATTTATGGAGACACAGGGGAATGAAGCTGGTGTTCAGGCAGAAGCTGCCCATGGCTATTCTAATCCTGTACTTGAGTTCTGTGAGATGACCCTTTATCTTCTTAATAAACTCATTTTGATATATACTGCTCCATTTGGTTTCTGTAACCTGCAAATCAAGATTTCTAACTAAGGCAACTGGCTCATCTGACAAGAAGGTCCATTAGGACTGGGGAAAGGGGTCTATGGGGAACCCCATCAAATGAAAACCCAGTATTTTAGGGTGAGAGAGAATTGTCTAGACTTCCCTGGTGAGAAGGGATCCAGAGTCTAGAGAATTTTCTAACTGGGTTTGTAAGGAAGGACTGATCTTTTATGTGACTGGCTTATGGGAAATATTAACAATTATTCTTGGCTTTTGTCTGTCTTAGCACAACAATCACTGACATTGTCTGTGAACTTTAGGTGGAAATATTACTTTTATAAGCTTCAAGACACCTTCTTTAGTTTATTCTGTGGAACCACATATGGAAATTGTCATTTTTCCCTTTGTCACAACTGGAAAAACAGAAAATTGAAAATATACAGAAAAATACAAAGAAGAAAAAAAATCATTGCAATTCTACTATATGGAGACAGCCAGTTTAAATATTTTCTTACTATTAAAAAACATTTAGCCTGTAGCTATCTATCTAGGTAGCTCTCTGTATCTAAATATCTAACTAGCTAGACATCTACCTATCTAGCTATCTAGTCAACTCTATTTATATTATGTGTTTTCTTAATAAAAATGCAATCATATGGTACTTGCTGTTTGATGATCTAACCTTTCTCCCTTTGCAACATATCATTAACTTTTTTTATATCATAAAGATATTCTACTACAGCATCATTTTAATGAATGTATTGTATTTCTTTATAAGAATATACTATTAGCTATTTCTCCAGTCTCAAATATAAATAATATTAATTAGGCATCTTTATCAGACAATCATCATACGTGGTGATTTCTAAAGGAAACAATATGCTTAAAAAACTACATGAGACAATGGTAAACTAAAAAAGCCAGTGATATTTGCCACATTACCTCTCAAAATGGTTATACTGTTTACCTTTTCCATCAACAGTTTATGAAAGTACCCATCTCCCCAAACCCTTGCCCACATCTTGTATAGACTTTTGTACAAACAAACCCATTTCTATTATTTACTATAATAGTTGTTAATTTGTCCAAATTTCTTAGTTTCTCTTAGCATTTCTTAGTCTGCTATGTGAAGAAAAAATAAATCCTTTCTAGGATTATTGTAAGGGTCAAATAAGATAATTTATTCACAACATTTAGCTCTGTACCTGGCACATAGAAAACATCCAATGAATATTTAGTCATCTAGAAGAGCTAGAAGAGTGAATGGCCAAGAACATGGTTTTGGAGTCCAAGTATCTGAATTAAAACTGAGTCTTCAGCACTGCCTAGTTGTGCGACCCTGGTAGGTCACTTAACCTCTCTGTACCTCATTCCCCGTAAAATTTAGAGAACAGTAATAGTAACTTCCTCACAGGCTTATTGGGAAGATTAATGAATGAATTCATGTCAAGTTCTTAGAAGGAATCTGGCTTGTTGCAAACACTCAATAAAAAGAAGCTATTGTTAGAAAAATATATAATATTTTAAAAATATGTTTAATGTTTAATTTACATTTATTTGGTTACTAGTAAGTTTACATAATTTTAGAAATTATGTGTATCAGTTACTTGCATTTCTTTTGCAAATGCCTATTCATGTTCATTGACCATTTTTTAATTGGCATGTTCATTTATTTTCTTTGAGATTTCTAAGAACACTTTATATATAATATACATAAGAACTGTTTTTGTCATATATGCTGCAAATATTTATCTTGATTTATCTCTTGCCTTTTATTTTTCTTGCCTACGAAGAAATTGAAACATGGCATGACTCAATGGAAAAAGATTCAGAACTCCTGCATCGGCAGGGTTTCCCTCATGGAAATTACAACTTAGTAAAGAAAATGAGTCATATACAAACGGAAATATAGCAAGTAATGAGAGGTAAGAGAGTAAATACGAAATAAGTAGTATCAATAGTAATGGCGAGAGTTGTCTACTTTGTAAAGCTTGTTCCATTGCTGTGCAGTTCAGGTGAGCTATTTTTGTATCATGGAGGTAGTGGGTAATATTCACCATTGAAGTGTCTGTTATGAAGTGATGTTTACCCTTGAAGCAGTGTGAAGTTTGGATTGGAAGATGATTTGAAGCTATGAGACTATCCAAGAGAATGTTGCCATAATCTGGGAATGAGGAGATGAGGAGCTTGATTAGGATACAACCTCAGAACCTTAATGGCAAGTGAATCTTGAAAATGTAGTTTCCAGTCTTCCAGTCCTTTCATACAGATAGAGAGCATACTCCCTGTCTCAAGGAGACCTCTTTAAACTGTTGTCCTAATAATCCTGTACTTACTACTCACCTAGAATTGATCCCACTCTTCATGCATCTGTTTCTCCCCTGGAGTGTGAACTTCTTGGGAGTGGAAATTACCCCATTTCTCTTTGTCTCTTCAGCACCAAACAGAGAGCCTGATTCATAGTGTTCAGTAATGACTCCTGAATACACAGATGGCCCTGCCAGAATCACTGATTTAGTATGGGGAGATCACATTGTTTATGAACTTAGAGCAAGGAGCCAGAGGAAGGAAAGACAGCAGGATAGATCGGAGATAGAGGAAACAGATGGGAGATAGGAGAGATGGGAATTAGAAGGGGAGAAGGGATGTAGAGGGGAGAGATGGGAGATGGTGGGGAGAGTGGGAGATAGAGGGAGAGATACGAGATAGAGGGGGAGGTGGGAGATAGAGGGATAGGTGGGAAATAGATGGGGAGGTGGGAGATAGGGGTAGAGACAGGAGATAGAGGGGGAGGTGGAAGATAGGGGTAGAGATAGGAGATAGAGGGGAGAGATGGGAGATGGGGGAAGGTGGGAGATAGAGGGAGAGGTGGGAGATAGGGGTAGAAATAGGAGATAGAGGGGGAGGTGGGAAATAGAGGAGGACGTGGGAGATAGGGGTAAAGATAGGAGATAGAGGGGAGAGATGGGAGATGGGAGGAGGTGGGAGATAGAGGGAGAGGTTGGAGATAGGGGTAGAAATATGAGATAGACGGGGAGGTGGGAGATAGAGGGGAGAGGAGATGGGACTGGGCATAAAAATGAGATGCTGGAGGAGATAAGAGTGAATGGGATCAAGAGCAGTTAGAAGTATTAGTCTTGGCAGAAAAGCAGGACACTTCTCAGATATGACAGTGAAAGAAGTTCTGGAGATATTTTAATGAGAGCTAGGAAAGCTGAGGGAATTTGCATTAAATTGTGTAAGCTTCATAGTGAAAGTAAAATTACCTATAGAAAGTGAGGTGGCACATTGGAATTAAGTGATAAGGAAACAGGAGTGGCTGCTATGGGCAGTGCCATTCACAGACACTGCCAAGAGAGCTGAATGAAAGAGTTCTAGCGAGAGGGAGGGCCCTGCTAGGATTAGTATTTGATCTTAATAGTTTGTGTTTGATCTTACATTGAAAGGAGCTCAGGGTTATTTTATCATTCTATTTCCATATTTTAGGATACTTAGATTTTCTGGAGAAAGTCTTGGGAAAGAGATAGCATTGCTTAGCTGTGGAAGGGTCACATTTGGGTGGCAAATGAGGTTCTAGGATGGCAATGAGTGCATTATTAAAGTGAGATGTGGGCAAATGGTCCCTGAGAGGGGGTGATGGACTGGGAAGTTAACTCAGATGAGGAAATGGAGATCACAAGAGGCTAGAGAGGTGGAGTAAAAGTCCGGGAATGGAGACACTGACAGTTTATAGACATGGTGTGATGCTTTGCAGCTATTTGGATCCATGAAGACACCTGTGGAATTCCTGTTACTCTGCAGTTACCTGTGGTTGAGTAGAGATTGGGGTCACCAGCTTTGCAGAGAAACTCAGAGGCTAAGGAATGAAAAGCATTTTAAGGAGGGATGTTGGAAACCTTGGGTATGATGATAGAGGGCACCATAGAGAAAGGGCCATGATGAAGACCAGAGGGAAGCTGTGGCCCGATGCCCTGCACATCATCTGTTGAGGGAAAGTGATTGAAGATTGGCTCAGAATGAAGAATGGGCATGAGGAGAAGTCACTTTCACTGATCAGGGTTAGGAGGAACGTTGAGTCAGAAGATCAACGTGTCATTTAAGAGAGTTCTGAGGATGGGGTGTCAGAGTCAGTGTAACGTGGACTCTGACGTCAGACTGACCTGGTTTGAATTCGACTCCTCTAACTACAAACTGGAGATTCAATCTTCTGAGCCTCAGTTTGGGGGTACTGGTTATTACCTAGGCAACATCAAAAGGCTAAGTGAGAATTCTATGTGAAAATGTGTATAAGTGCATAGTATGTAATAAATATTTAATAATGATGCTACTATTAGTTTTCCCATAGGGAAATTTATAACAGGATGATGGTTCTGAAGAGCTGAAGGCAGAAACCCATGGGTTGATATGAGTGGGGTGGAGTCTGACCCATTTGGACACATTTGTGAGCATAGGTCAGGGGAAATAGGAGGGAGGAGTATATGGTCTTTGTGGCAAGTTGTAGGGCCTAGGAGGCAGGAAAGGGTGACATGTTAACAAAGGAAGGGCCAGCGCATCCTGGCAGCTCTGGAAGACATTGGGGAGGGAGGCATGGTGGTGGGCACCAGGCTGGGTATAGATATAATCCATCTCTGAGAAATCTGTAAACACAACATGGTAGAAGGAGCAGGGGCCTGAGTTCATAAGACCTGGGATTGACTGAGGCCTTCTTCTTCCACCTAAATCAGCTAAGGGCTGTGTGACCTCGGGTAAGGTATGAGAGGAGGAATGTGAAAATGGTCTGTAGCCTGTTAGGTGCTGTGTAGTGTCGGGATGGGGGCCAGTGGGGATAGCCCTGGGACTATCAGACAAGAATGCATGCATATAGAGAGCATTACACACTAACAGGTGAATGAGTCTGATGACACTGACTTTGACGTAATTTTTTAAAAAATAGGCTTAATTGTAAAAAATTAGTGAAGTTAACTTTTTTTTAGAGCTGGTTTAGATTCACAGCAAAATTGAGCTAGAAATACAGAGATTTCCCATATACCGTCTTATACTCCCTACTCCACGTGTGCACAGCCTCCCCTAATACCAGTATCCCCTACCACATTTGTTATAATCAGTGAACCTCCATTGACACATCATTATCACCCAGAATCCATAGTTTACATTAGGGCCCAGTATTGGCATTGTACATTCTATGGGTTTTGATAAATGTACAACGGTAGGTGTCTACCATTGTATTTAAGAATAGTTTCACTTCTCTAAAAATCCTCTGTTCTTCACCTCTTCATCCTTTCTCCCTGCTAACCCTTGGCAAGTACTGATCTTTTCACTTTCTCCATAGTGTGGCCTTTTCTAGGATGTCACAGGGTTGGAATAATATTAATAGTACGTGGCAGCCTTTTTTAGAATTTGCAGATGACTCTCATAACTATAGCAACCCTATGAGGCAGGTCTTATTATCCCCATTCAATAGAGTAGGGTGCTGAGGCTCTGAAATTGGAAGTACTTGGCTGGAGATCCCATAGCAGGTGAAGTATGAGAGCATGGTCTTATCTTAGGTTATCAGATCCCCTTCCAGCAATCGTGGCCTTCCTTGGGGGGAAGAGGAGAAGGCTATGGTGACTTTTTGTTGTCCTGTTTTTTCAAAGCCTTTTTCTGTGGCCCTGTATTTTTTCTTCTTTAAGGAGAAAATGTATTCTGAATACAATTTTTCTTCTGTTCCTGTTTCAGTCAGAGATCTGATTTTCTATTTGCTCTAAAACTCCAGTTGAAATACTGCTGTCTCCTTTTCTGTCAAATCAGTCCTGAAAGACACTCCTGCCTCATTGATTCCTCATGCTTACCCCTGGCCAGTCACTCTCTGTTTCTCCCCATCTCATCTCTGTCAGAGATGGATTCTCATTTCAGCCATGGCACCTTCCTCGGAGAGTGATGTTCTTTGTCCTGTCATTGCTTACGTTTCCTTCTGAATAGCCAGCACTCAACCCCCAGCGTTCTCCTTTTAGATGTGTTATCTTGTGATTCGTTATGTTTAGCCAGGCTGTTTCATAAATGAATTCTACAGAGGGACAGACAGATTCTATAAAAACCTCAGTTCTGTTTTGTAACCACGTGTGGCTGACAGTGAGGGACACGGAGGTAGCACCCTCTGAGCTGGGCTTCAGGGCAGAGAGCATGCGTGTAGCAAGCCTGCCTGTATGCAAGAGGGAAGTGAGCATGGACTTGGGAGCTGAGCTACTTTTTTGGCTCCATTAGCCCTGGGTGGTTAAGGGTCTGGGTCTGCCTTGAGCAAAAAAGAGAGTAGAGGTTTATCTTCTTCTCCTGCTCTCTTTCTCTAAGGCTGCCTGCCTGCTTCAGAGGCAAATAACTGCTCAGTGTCCTGGGGAAGGCTTGACCAGACCACAGATGGTCGCAGACTTGGCAAAGGCTCCTGTGCCCTTTACACAGCACAGATACAATGGTGACAGGGGCAAACACTGGATGTGTTAGTGGTTTCCTGTGTGGACTAATGACCAGAGTTCAAGTGAGCTTCCTTGATGCATTGGTTGTGCAGAAAACCCTGGGATCTTTGCACAATCTCAAGGGATAAGCTCTTCCCACCACCTGTAATAATTGAGATGGAATTTTCTGCCACTGTGTTAAAGGGTGCCTCTGCATTGGATTTAAATTGATTTAAAGTACATGCAGAAATATGGTACTAATGTATATCTCAGTTTATAGACTGAAATTCAAGCCTGCTACATCTTAAACCTGAATACAAAACCCTCCAGGGCCGCGGTCAGTCTCATCCCTAGACATGCCCTGTTCCAGCTTTACTTTTCAACATGGCCAAGCAGCTTGCAGTTCCAAGCAGAACTTCTTTTCTACCTTGGTACCTTTGCTTGGGGTGCTGGAGAAGGTGCTTCTAAAACAAAACCACTTATATACAGGTTAGTGTGTTTCAAACTGTGTGATGCCGCTGCTCTGAGTGTTGATAACTCAACCAGGAAGAATCAAGTGACACAGACACCACTGACCAGCAGCCTTGAGGTAGCCTGGCATGAGAGCTCTCTGCTCAGCAGGGCCCCTCTATACAGAATGGGCCTTACCAGTGGATTCCCTCTGTTGGTGAGTTCAAATGCAATGAACAGAATCAGCAGACAGTAGGACGGGAAGAAGCCAAGACATACAAGGAAAAGATGGTAGGCAGAAGCTCAGTGGCAATAAATGCCACGAATAAACAGAAATTAGAGGGAATGAGACCCAAAAACAAAGAAAGCATCTTTTACTGGTAACATGGGAATAGCAAAGCAGAGGAGAGAGAGTGGATGAGAGAGACAGACACACAGAGAGAGAAAGATGCTAATCACCAGTGTGATGGATCACTAGAATCAGGGGCAATGGACCTACTTCTTGGAGGATCCAGAATAACTGAATGCTAAGAATTGTGTTGATTCCTGAATATCCCAAAGGAGATCTGACTATTCTGATATAGAGATGGCTTCCTGTCTCTTATTTCCTTATGTATCTTTATATTAAATTCCTATTAACTGAACCAACTTTTTAGTCTTTCAATCTGGAAAAATCTTAGACAGTCCCCTCTGCTGAGATTGCTCTTCTGCCCCTTCTCCCCGTGGCTAATTTAGAATCTTACTTTAAAACTCAGTTCAGGTGTCCCCTCCTCCTCATTTCTTCTTGTGTTGCTCTGCTTGGGCTGCTATAACAAAATACCATAAACTGGGTTGCTTATAAAAAATAGAAATTTATTTCTCATGGTTCTGGAGGCTGGGAAGTCCAAGATCAAGGTGCAAACAGATTCAATGTCTGATGACAGCCCACTTTCTCACAGATGGCACCTTCTTGCTGTTGTCCTCACATGGTAGAAGGGGCAAGCTAGCTCTCTGGGGTCTCTTTGTGTATGGGCACTAACCCTTGAACAGTGGCTTCATGACCAAATCATCTCCCAAAGGCCCCACCTCCTAATGCTATAACTTGGGGGTTAGAATTCAACACATGAATTTGGGAGAGACGTAAACATTCAGACCATAGCACTTCCCTTTTCTCTCTTCCCCTCAGTCTCCCATCCTCTGTGCTCCCTAAGCCTGTGAATATCTCCATCACTGCACTTATCTCACTGTGTGTAATCATCTGTTTATCATCCCTGTTAGATGTCTGCCTATTGATGACAGGGATTATATTTTATTCACTTTTAAATCCAACTAGCACATGTTAAAACTTGAAATTGAACTCAGGTCTTGACTACTAGTCTCTTTACTACTGCTTTATCCTGTCTTTCAGTAGGTTTTTTCAGCAAGAGACTTTTTTTCCTAGTACCTTTAAAATCACACAAGTTTAGGCCTTGGTATTTTCTGAAACCTGCCTATTCTCAGAGTAAGACACAATTATTTGTTATTCTTAGGTTTGCTTGCTAATTTTTTAGCTGAAAAATAAAATGCTCAGTGATTTCTTTCTCACTGAAGAGTAGTAAGGCTGAAACATTTGTGGTTAAACAAATCTTTAAGATCTATTCCCAGGTGCAAACCATGTCAAAATATACCAGACACCTATGTGGCAAAAAAGGCCCAGAGATTTATAGTGGGCTATGAATGAATTGAAGAAACAAGATTCTGGAAGCTTGGCTACAGAAAAGCTAAACATAGAAGGAGGAATGAGGAATCTACTGACAGGTAGGGGACTAGGGCACAAAATTAAAGGATACATCACTCTCTGGTTTCTGCATGGAACTCGTAGGCAAAGACTCCATAAATTTTGCACCCTAGTCTACGGATTGGTTGTTTTATAACCTGAAACACTTTCTTTTTTAAAAATGCTTTTGTGACTAGGACATTTAAGAAATGGGATGGTGTCTGTTTTGTTCCCTGCCCTATCCCCAGCACCTAGCACAGCTCCTGGCACACTGTCAGCACCCGATGGGTATTGGTAAGTATTTGTTAAATGAGTAACAGGAAGATTTGGAGGAACCAAGGTAGGTTCAGCAATAAGCAGTGTTATGTCTTTTGGAGCAGACAAGAAATAAACTTACTTTTAGAACAGATGACTTAGATTAGGTAAGAGGATGAGAAACAGATCCTTATATTTCCAAAGCAAGGATGAGTTACTTAACTAGTTTCTTCCCTAGTGGGCTTTTACAAAGAAAACACTAACATAAAAAAAAAACCCCACAAAAAACTAGTTTAGGCTAGTGATATGGGATTAGTTGGGATGGACTTTGGAAGAAGCTCCAAATCTTTATTCTGTTATTATTCATTAATTTATTTTTCTAGCAATCATTTATTGAACATCTGCTTGATGTCATAATTGACAAAGCTTAATTGCTGTGGCATAATCAAAGGCCTGGATCTAAATATGAGAGCCCTCTTAACCTAGCTGAAGGAATTTGGAGAAAGGTGGTGGTGTTATCTGAGGGAGGCCTTCTGCGGCTGGGCAGAATCCAGTACCATACTATACTAAAAGCCCTTTGGTTCTATGTGATCAGCACCAGCAGTTGATTGGTTAATTGAAAAAGCTGAGTAAAATGAAGAAGCATAAAACATGATTCATAGGTTCCCTAGAGATCTTATTTTAACTCAATCTGGATAAATGTGCATTTATTTGCTGATCTTTTGACACAAAATCATGGCCTTTGAGTATGGGTACGTCATTGCGGAGTTCAGCCCTGTATTTCTTGCATAACCATACCCACAGTACACCATCTGTGACTTCCAGTTTCAGTTTCTGTAAAATGGAATTAGAATTTAACACTAGGAAGCAATCTGAGTGTAGAACACTTCAAGATTTGTATAACACTCTCCTCCCCCAATCTTTTTAAAATTTTTAATGTTTTTGGATATATTGTTGAGTACACAAATTTGGGGGCACATGAGCTATTTTGATACAGGCATGCAACACATAATAAATTACATTAGGGTAAATGGGGTGTCCATCACCTCAAGCATTATCCTTTGTGTTACAAACAATTCAATTATACTTTTAGTTCTAATATATAAATGTACAATTAGATTACTGTTGACTATAGTCAACCTGTTGTGCTATCAAATACTAGGTCTTATTCATTCTTTCTAACTATATTTTTGTACCTATTAACTATTCTGACTCCCCCATAACAGCCACTACCCTTTGCAGTCACTGGTAATCATTCTTTGGCTCTCTGTCTCCATGAGTTAAATTGTTTTAGTTTTTAGATCCCACAAATAAGTGAGAACATGAGATGCTTGTCTTTCTGTGCCTGGCTTATTTCACTTAACATAATGTCCTCCAGTTCCATCTGTGTTGTGGCAAATGACAGAATGCCATTCTTTTTTAAGGCTGAATAATACTCCATTGTGTATAAGTACCACATTTTCTTTATCTACTCATCTGCTGATGGACACTTAGGTTGCTTCCAAATCTTGGCAATTGTGAATAGTGCTGCAATAAATATGAGAGGGCAGATATTTGTTTGATATACTAATTTCCTTTCTTTTGGGTATATAACTAAAAGTTGAATTTCTGGGTTGTATGATAGCTCTATTTTTAGTTTTATTGAGGAACCTCCATACTGTTCTCTATAGCGATTGTACTAATATACATTCCCACCAACAGTGTACTAGGTTTCCTTTTCTCCACATCCTTGCCAGCATTTGTTATTGCCTGTTGTTTGGATATAACCCGTTTTAACTGGAGTGAGATGATATCTCATTGTAGTTTTAATTTGCATTTCTCTGATGATCAGTGATGTTGAGAAACTTTTCATATGCCTGTTTGCCATTTGTATGACTTCTTTTGAGAAATGTCTATTTAGATCTTTTGATCATTTAACAATCAGATTATCAGATTTTTTTTTCCTTTAAGAGTTGTTTGAGCTCCTTATATATTCTGGTTATTGATTCCTTGTCAGATGGATAGTTTGCCAATATTTTCTCCCATTCTGTGGGTTGTCTCTTCACTTTGTTGATTGTTTCTTTTGCTGTGCAGAAGCTTTTTCACTTGATGTGATTCCATTTGTCCATTTTTGCTTTGGTTACCTTGTGGGGTATTACTCAAGAAATCTTTGCCCACTCCAATGTCCTGGAGAGCTTTCCCAAAGTTTTCTTTTAGTAGATTAATAGTTTGAGGTCTTAGATTTAAGTTTTTAGTCCACTTTGATTTGATTTTTGTATATGGCAAGAGATAGGGTTCTAGTTTAATTCTTCCACATATGGATATCTAGTTTTCCTAACACCATTTATTGAAGAGACTGTTCTTTCCCCAGTGTATGTTCCTGGCACCTTTGTTGAAAATGAATTCACTGTAGATGGATGGATTTGTTTCTGGGTTCTCTATTCTGTTCCATTGGTCTATATGTCTGTTTTTATGACAGTACCATGCTGTTTTGTTTACTATAGCTCTGTAGTATAATTTGAAGTCAGGTAATGTAATTCCTCCTGTTTTGTTCTTTTTACTCAGAATGGCCGTGTCTCTTCTGGATCTTTTGCAGTTCCATATAAATATTAGGACTGTTTTTTCTATTTCTGTGAAGAATGTCTTCTGTATTTTTTCTTTTTTTTGAGACGGTGTCTTGCTTTGTCACTCAGACTGGAGTGCAACCTCTGCAACCTCACTGCACCCTCCACCTCCCAGGTTCAAGTGATTCTCCTGCCTCAGCCTCCCTAGTAGCTGGGACTACAGGCACACACCACCAAGCCTGGCTAATTTTTTTTGTATTTTTAGTAGAGATGGGTTTTCACCATGTTGGCCAGGCTGGTCTCAAACTCCTGACCTCTAGTGATCTGCCTGCCTCAGTCTCCTAAAGTGCTAGGATTATAGGCATGAGCCACTGCGCCTGGCTTGTTATTGGTATTTTGATAGGGATTGCACTGTAGATTGCTTTGAGTGGTATGGGCATTTTAACAATATTGATTTTTCCAACCTATGAATATGGAATATATTTACTTTTTTTGATGTCCTCTTCAATTTCTTGCATCATTGTTTTATAGTTTTCATTGTAGATATGTTTTACTTCTTTGGTTTAGTTAATTCCCAGATATTTAATTTTTTATTTGTGGCTATTGTAAATGGGGTTAATTTTTAAATTTCTTTTTCAGATTATTCCCTGTTGGCATATAGAAATGCTACTAATTTTGTATGTTGATTTTTTAATCCTGTAACTACTAAATTTGTTTATCAGTTCAAAGAGTTTTTTGGTAGAGTCTTTAGGCTTTTCCAAATATAAGATCATATTATCTGCTAAAAAGGATGATTTGACTTCTTCCTTTCTGATTTGGATGCCCTTTATTTTGTTGTCTTGTCTGATGGCTCTAGCTAGGATTTTGGGTACTATATTGGATAACAGTGGAGAAAGTGTACATCCTTATTGTGTTCCAGATCTTAGAGGAAAAGCTTTCAGTTTTTCCCTATTTAGTATGATACTAGCTGTGGGTCTGTCTTCTATGGCTTTTATTATGTTGAGGTATGTTTTTTGCATACCCAGTTTCTTTAGGGTTTTTATGATGAAGAGATGTTAAATTTTACCAAGAGGTTTTTCAGCATCAAATGAAATGATCATATGGTTTTTTTGTCCTTCATTCTGTTGATTTGATGTATTACGTTGATTAATTTGCGTATGTTGAACCATCCTTGCATCCCAGGGATAAATTACACTTGGTCATGTAAATAATCTTTTTAAGGTGTTGTTGAATTCAGTTTGCTAGCATTTAGTTGAGGATATTTGCATCAATAGTCATCAGAGATATTTGCCTGTAGTTTTCTTTTTTTCATTTGTCTTTGTCTGGTTTTGGTATCACGTTAATACTGGCTCCATAGAATAAGTTTGGAAGTATTCTCCTCTATTTGTCAGAATAGTTTGAGTAGGATTGCTATTAGTTCTTATTTAAATATTTGGTATGTTTCAACTGTGAAGCCATTGAGTCCCAGGCATTTCTTTGCCAGGAGACTTTTTATTACAACTTCAATCCTATTACTTATTATAGGTCTCTTCAGTCTTTGGGTTTCCTCCTGATTCAATCTTGCCAGGTTGTGCATGTTTAGAAATTTATTCATTTCTTCTAGATTTTCCAATTTATTTCCATATAGTTGCTCATAGTAGCCACTAATAATCCTTTGAATTTCTTTTTCATTTCTCATTTTATTTATTTGTCTTTTCTCTCTTTTGTTCTTAGTCTGGCTAAATTTTTGTCAATTTTGTTTATCTTTTCAAAAAACCAAGTTTTGTTCCATTAATCTTTTGTATTCTTTTCTTTGTTTCAATTTCATTTATTTCTGCTCTAATATTTATTATTTCTTTTCTTCTACTAATTTTGGGTTTGGTTTATTTTTGCTTTTCTAGTTATTTAAGGAGCTTTCCAAATAATAATGATGGGCACATCTGGTTATTTATGTGAAGTTTTTCTTCTTTTTTTTATGTAGGCACTTACAGCTATAAACTTCTCCCTTACTACTGCATTTGCTGTGTCTCACAGGTTTGGTATGTTATGTTTCCATTATGATTTGTTTCAATTTTTTTTCATAATTTCTCCATTAACCCACTGGGCATTCCAGAGCATATTTTTTACTTTCCATGTATTTGCATACTTTCTAAAATTTCTCTTGTTATTGATTTCTAGTTTTATTTCCTTGTGGTCAGAGAAAATGCTTGGTATTATTTCAACGTTTTTGAATGTTTCAAGACATGTTTTGTGACCTAACATATGGTCTATCCTTGAGAATGATCTATGTCCTAAGAAGAAGAATGTGTATTCTGCAGCTGTTGGATGAAATGTTTTGTAAATATCTCATAGGTCCATTTTGTCTACAGTGCAGATTAAGTCCAATGTTTCTTTGTCATTTTCTGTCTGAAAGATCTGTCCAATGCTGAAAATGGGATATTGAAGTCTCCAGCTATTATTTTATTGGGGCCTATTTCTCTAGCTCTAATAATTTTGCTTTATATGTCTGGGTGCTCCAGTGTTGGGTGCATATATATTTACAGTTGTTATATCCTCTTGCTGAATTGACCACTTTATCATTATATGATGGCCTTCTTTGTCTTTTCTCATAGTTTTTTTCTTAAAATCTATTTTGTCTGATATCAGTATACCTACTCCTGCTCTTTTTTGGTTTCCATTGGCATGGAATATCTTTATTCATCTCTTTATTTTCAGTCTATGTTTGTCTTTACAGGTGAAGTGTGTTTGTTTTAGGCAACAAATAATATTTTGTAAGCAATAAAAATAATATTTTCTTATAGGTAACAAATTATATTGATAACGAATCAAATCTCTTCATATTTGTATTTAATCAGTTTATAATATACAAGTATACCTACATATTATATAAAGTAATACATAATATATGAGTATATAAATATTAAATTAAATTACATAATTATAATAGGTAAAGAGTTTTTTAAACTGTTTATATGGCTGGGCACAGTGACTCATGCCTGTAATCCTAGCACTTCAGAAGGTGGGAGGATTACTTGAGACCAGGAGTTCGTGACCAGCCTTGGCAACATAGAGAGATGCTGTCTCTAAAGAAAATTAAAAATTAACCCAAGAAGTTGACGGTGCAGTGAGCTATGATCACACTACTGCAATCTAACCTGGGATACAGAGTGAGCCCCTGTCTCAATAAAATGAAATAAACTGTTTAGATTATAATCATATAGTTCAGCTGGGAGAAATGTGTGTTAATAGAGACTATGATACCAGCTTAAGCACAACACTCAGTGTGCTGTGGCCATCAGTCGTATGTTTTACGGAGGGCTGGAGCACTGTCAACTCAGTAAATACAGCTTAGTTAGGAGAATATCTATTAAATCCAGATTATATGACCATTTCCCAAATTTGGTCTTATGTTTTGGATGTCCAGAAACTCACTCTTGGGTGAGACAAAAGATAATCAGACTTATGATATTGGCTCAGATTAATGAATACAAATGGCCTAAGATCCATGTCTGTATATCAGCAGCTCATTTATAATGAAAGATAACTGTCAGAGGGCCCTGGCTATTGGAAGGCTGAATGATGAGCATGTTTTGTGCATGCCTTCTTATTTATTATTCTTTTATAGTGTAACCTGTAATATTTTGTACTTATTTTAATGCCAACTTATCTGGTAATTGGACCTGAGGGTTGAATGAGGATTATATGTGTGGGGTATGTGTGTGTGTGTGTGTGTGTGTGGTGTGCTTAGCTTTAAAAGGCTTTTAACTTTTTTTTAGTTTTAGGTTCACAGAAAAATGGAGTGGAAAGTACAAAGAGTTCCCATATACTCCCAGCCCCTACATATGCACAGCCTCTCCTGTTATCAACATCTCCCACCAGAGTAGTACATTTATTACAATTGATGACCCTACATTGACACATCCTGTGACCCAAAATCCATAGTTTATATTAGGGCTCACATTTGGTGTACATTCTGTAGCTTTGGACATAAGTATAATGACACATATCCACCATTATAGTGTCATATGAAATAGTTTTCACTGCTCTAAAAATCCTTTGCTTTCTGCCTATTCATCCCTCATGTCCCTCTACTCCTGACAATCGCTGATCTTTTTACTTTCTCCATAGTTTTGCCTTTTCCATAATTTTATGTAGTTGCAATCATACAGCATGTAGCCTTTTCAGATTGGCTTCTTTCACTTAGTAATATGCGTTTAGGGTTTCTCTGTGTCTTTTCATGACTTGATAGCTTACTTGTTTTTGGCACTGAGTAATATTCCATTGTCTGGATGCATAACAGTTTATTTAATCATTCACAAGGGACATCCTGGATGCTTCCAAGTTTTGGCAATTACGAATAGAGCTACTACTATAAACATCCATGTGTAGGTTTTGTGTGAATATAAGTTGATTGTCAACAAAGAAACAAAGACAAAACAACAAGTTTGTTGTTGTTGTTTGTACTTTGTACTCAATTTTACTGTGAACCTCATTCACCTTGGTATATTACCCAAATAGGAATATTTGGGTAATATACCAAGGTGAATAAGGATATTTTTGTTGGTTTGTCTTTGTTGTTATTTATGTTTCGTTAATTATAAAAGAGACTTGAGGAGGTTGCATGCCACAGGGAAGGATCCATCAGAAAAGAAGAAACTGAGGTTTCAAAGATAGATTACAGATAATTAGAAATACTTATGTTTGGATGGGAGAAAGGATTCTTTATCTGTTGTAATTTGAGAGAAGGAAAAAAGAAAATGTGTCTGTATAAGAAGGAATGTTGGTATGTTGGCATGAAGTTGAGAGAGTGCTCATCAGTGGCTTTTATTTTCTTGGTGAAATAAGAGGTAATGTCTTGAGGGTTTTAGAAGGGTAGGGAAGGCTTGGAAGAGTGGTCCTGGAGTAGAGCTTTCTCTCACTAGGGAAGTAATCAAGGCTGGCTGTGCTATTTGAGGAGCTGGTTGTGACTAGAGGCCATGACTGGTGATGGCCCGGATTTCCAATAGCCCCAGAGCTCAGAGGCGGACATGAGAAGGTGGAATTTGAGTTGTTCTTGGGTAGCTTTGCCAGTTGTGAGCAGGGAGCTTGTAATACGATAGAAGGGATAGTTGCTCTGAGGACTTCTTTGTTTACATTTTTGCTCTTTTACTCTGTTTCTCTGTGATGGGGCCTCTGGTGAGGTGAGTGAAGTGTGCCTAGTGATAGGCTAACACATGTCTGAAAATGCTTGGGGGCGGTTTGTTGGACTCTCCTTATATTGACATGCCCCCAAAACGTGCTCATGCATTTTAGCATTTGGCAGTTCAACAGTTTAGGTAAATTAAAGCTAACTGAGAGTTTTTTTTTTCTTTAAGTTTTAGGGTACATGTGCACAACTTGCAGGTTTGTTACGTATGTATACATGTGCCGTGTTGGTGTGCTGCACCCATTAACTCGTCATTTACATTAGGTATTTCTCCTAATGCTATCCCTCTCCCCTCCCCCCCACTCCACAAAAGGCCCCGGTGTATGGTGTTCCCCTTCCTGTGTCCATGTGTTCTCATCGTTCAGTTCCCGCCTATGAGTGAGAACATGCGGTGTTTGGTTTTCTGTCCTTGCGATAGTTTGCTGAGAATGATGGTTTCCAGCTTCATCCATGTCCCTACAAAGGACATGAACTCATCCTTTTTTATGGCTGCATAGTATTCCATGGTGTATATGTGCCACATTTTCTTAATCCAGTCTATCATTGTTGGACATTTGGGTTGGTTCCAAATCTTTGCTATTGTGAATAGTGCCGCAATAAACATACGTGTGCATGTGTCTTTATAGCAGCATGAGAGTTTTTGTGGTCAGTGTCAGTGCCTAGAAATAGAAAAATAAATATGAAGGGGCTCTTGTGTTCCAGGAGTTCACAATCTAGTGGAAGAGACAGACAAGTAAATTACATGAAAAAAATACAATGTGATAAGTCTAAAGATAAGGACATTTACCTGGGGTTGCAGGTGCCCAAGGAAGGCTTGGCCCCAACTCAGTTGTTGGCTCACCACATTGGAATGGCAATGGGTGGAAGAAAGCTCAGCTTCTGACTCTCACTTAAGAAGGGGTGCTGTGTAGGACACAAGTCTGGATGTGGCTGGAGTGCTGGCTTCCTGCACGGAGGAAAGGACTGAGGTTTCAAAAAGGACAAGCCAGGCTCCCTGTGGGGGCTGTGGAACCAGAGGGGGTGAAGCTTAGCTTGGATGGGCTTTGCCAGGTGCTTCTGCCAGGCTGTGTCAGCATTGCAGTGTGGATTCTCCATGGCAGGGAGCCTAGCAAGAAAGATGTTGAGCTTTGTCTGGTTGCATTCTGCATCAGAGCACAGACATTTGTTGTAAAACCTCACTCAGCAAAGGATCGGACAGGACAGTGGTGGTGAAGAATGGGCTCTGAGATGCGGGTCTTATCAAGTGTAAAGCTTTGGACTTATCTTCATATCTGTGAGTCTCAATAGAGGCTTCAGTGCCTGTGTGACATTTTAGAACAAACACTGAGGTAAAGTTGAGAGGCGGCATAGGCAGAGGCTGTCTCTGGGTTTCAATCTTGTGATCTGACAAGGGAATGGGGTTAATAGTAATAACAACTACAACAAATACTACTACTACTGACATTGATTAAGCATTTGCTTAATGAGTGACAGGAATTTATTGTTCTATTTAACCACTAATTCAGGTTATATGGTAACTATTAGGAATATTATTTTAAAGGCAATAAATCAAGGTTTGAAGAGACTGAGTAACTTGCTCAAAATCATACAGCTAGGGTGACCAACTAGGGCACGAGCTGACTGTGTCTGACTTCAAAGCTCAGCCTCTTACCAACAACTGCACACTGCCCCAGAAACATTTATATCTGTTTGCTTTCCAGTATTCAAGCCATCTTTCCTCCATTAGTTCACTTTAACTTCACAGTGTTCCTGGGAGGCCAGCAGAACAGGTAATAATTGGTCCTATTATGAGGGCAGATGTGGAAATCGAGGCCCTGAGCCAATAGGTGGCGAGCCTAGTGGTGCACGCTGGGTTTGTAGCTGAATTGAGCCTCTAACCAGTGTTCAATGTCTACCCACTCATACCCTGGTCCTCTTTCTCTGTTCCATCTAGCTGCACAGTTCAGTCTCCCTTATAGGACTACAAGAAAGATTAGAGCATCCAACGTCCTTAGAGGAGCTTAAATGCCTCTGGAAACAGCCCAAACCAGGTAGGAGGAGGAAGCAGCTCTGATATTTCCAATACCTGCAGCTGTTAAGGCAACTACTAGGTGGTCAGATACTGAGTTTGAAGAAAGGCACTGCTTAGGCCAGGAACTGGGGTTAACCCCTGTATAGGGTAGTTGGCTAGATACTGAGAAAAATCAACCCAGGAAAGGCCTGCCTCAGATTGACTCAGAGTCGTGGCTGTTTGCCTTCCATTGTGCCCCTCTGCCCCCAAGGTTCTTGTGCCTGCTGACCATCCCTTTGAACTTTGCCTATTCCTTATAATTAAGAATTATGTCTCTCACACCTAGCTGTCACTCTACTTTTCAAAGGCTTTCTCCTTATATGCTCTTATTGGCCTTCTGTAACAGCCATGGAGAAAAGAAAGTCAGGGCAAAACATTTTATAAATGATTTTTAGAGGGCTCAAATGACTTTTTCAAGATATACAGGTATTAGGTGGTAGAACAAGGACTCAAGCATAACCCCATAGCTCTAAAGCCTATGGTCTTTTTGCTACCCTAAATAATTTCCCCAAATCCATCTGGCTGCCTTCCATTTCCTTAAGGCTTAAATGTTCTCTGGCTTATGGGTTACCTCTCTCAATTTGTTTCAAGAAGATTCTGGCAACAGAAATCCTGAAAATCGAGTGGAAATTCCTGGGGATGAGTGAGCTACATGGCATTGAAAACCTTTTTATCAATGGTCCTCAGATCACATTCCAATAGGCATTTACCCACTTTCCTATTGCCATGGGCCAATCTCCCAAGTATTTCCATTGTTTTCTTTTTTAACTTTTATTTTAAGTTCAGGGGTGCATGTGCAGGTTTATTATATAGGTAAACTTGTGTCATGGGTGTTTGTTGTACAGATTATTTTATCACCAGGTATTAAGTTGAGTACCCATTAGTTATTTTTCCTGATCCTCTCCCTCCTCCCACTCTCCATCCTCCAGCAGGCCCCGTTGTGTATTATTCCCCTATATGCGTCCATGTGTTCTCATCGTTTAGCTCTCACTTATAAGGGAGAACATGTAGTATTTGGTTTTCTGTTCCTGTGTTAGTTTGCTGAGGATAATGGCCTCCAGCTCCATGCATGTCCATGCAAAGAACATGATCTTGTTCTTTTTTATGGCTGCACAGTATTCTGTGGTGTATATGTACCACATTTTCTTTATCTAGTCTATCACTGATGGACAGTTAGGTTGATTCCATGTTTTTGCTCTTGCAAATAGTGCTGCGATGAACATACAGGAACTTTCCTTATAATAGAATAGGAACTGTTCTTTCTTTATAAAGACAGGAACTGTCTTTATAATAGAATGATTTCTATTCCTTTGGGTATATACCCAGTAATGGGATTGCTGGATTGAATGGTATTTCTGTCTTCAGGTCTTTGAGGAGTCACCACACTATCTTCCACAATGGCTGAACTAATTTACACTACATTATCTGTGTATAAGTGTTCCTTTTTCTCCACAACCTCACCAGCATCCACTATTTTTTGACTTTTTAATAATAGTCATTCTGACTGGTGTGAGATGGTATCTCATTGTGGTTTTGATTTGCATTTTCTAAAGATCAGTGACATTGTCTTAACAATGCACTTGATCATGTGCCAGGTTGGAGATGCTTAGTGTGCATGCTCACTGCTCTGCCAAAGTCATGCTCTGCCAAAATCATACTCTACCACTGGTGAGTCAGAGGCTCCATTTTCTTATAGGGGAAGCAATACAATTGCTATTAATTTATAATTTTGAAGAACAACCTTTGGGAACTGCATGGTTTTACTTGTTCTTCTTGAGCAAGCCAGCCAAGGGAAGAGACTTTGATGGTGCTAAGAAGGGACATACAAATTACCTAAGAAATTTTACAGCTAGAAAGAACCCTAGAGACTCCAGTCTGACCCTCGTATTTTACAGATGTATGTGTCAGTTGAAATACTTTGGCTATGAATAACAGAAAACCCACCAACCTTGTTTTCCATCCTAAGGACATGAGTTATTTACTTAACAAGAAGTCTGGAGGATGTTATAGTCTAGTTCATTGGCTCAGTGATACCCCCTCAACGATGCAGGTTCTTCCAATCTTTCTTCTCTGTTATGTGTGTGTGGCAACATCCAAGCCTCACATCTTCCATGAAAAGGTGTAAAGGAGAAATCAAGAGAGTATCTGGGGGTGGTGAGAGAGTAGTTTCCTCTTATGTCTGTTTTCCAAGGATGATATGCATCTAGAATCCCCCCACATGACTTGTCCACACATCTCACAGGAACCTGACCCCAAAGATGGCTAGGAAAGTGTGAATCAGCATTTGTAGCCTCTGTAGTGGGATATGATCAGAGGGGAAGGAAATGCCTGATGGGTGACAAACCATTGATATCTGGCTGATGGAGAAACTGAGCTCCAAGGAACAACAGGATTTTTCTGAGACCACGTAGCCTGTTGGAGCTAGGGCTAACATCTAGATTTTCAGTTGAGTATTCAAAATGGGCAACTGAGTATGTGGAATTTCTGCACCACAGTATCTCTTTGTCCCATTAGATCCATGGAGATCATATGGCCTGATTTTTGGCTGATCAAGGTCCCAGAGCTATAATTCAGAGTCTGATTCTTGACAGAGCAAAATGGCCTTGGTGGCCAAGAGACTGAATTTTTCCTTTTGTATCTTAACTTCCAGGCTAAGTTACCAGGGCAGTTACTTTGGCCATCAAAAGCAAATGCTAATGTTTCTCTGTCAGAATTCATCTTTTGCAAGTCGTTGGTGATTTTATATTGGTCAAAGAACAAAAGAAAAATATTTGAGTCTTTAATTCTCTTAAGACAAGCTATTTTAGAAATCCCCAGGAAAGTCAGGTAGGGAAAGATCAATAACTGTTTCCTGGACTCAGAGCAGAAGATGGTTTATTTATGCGCCTGGGATGTTGTTGAGTGCATGCTCGATACCCAAGCCTGTGGTCACATGGACATAGATAACATCAAGCAGTGAATTATTAAAACCAAAAGGGACTGACTTCATTCACGTCTCCTCTTGTGTTGATGCAGCAAAAAGCAACTTCTACTCTTGACTTCCTTGAAAAACTTTCCAGAGCTGTGATTTGGAATTACTTTTGTGAAAGATCTTAAGTTTAATATAGGTCAAACCCATCACATAACAATAATAGAATTCCTGGGAGAGTGTGCGTAAATGCTGTTTGGAAAAAAATCACATGATATTTTAATTGCACTGGAGAAGCAGGCAAGTTAAAGTAACCTTGAAAACCAATCTTTTGAAAGAGAAAACTCATGTTGCAATGCCATTTGTAATGCTAATAAGCTCTACCCTACATATCTGTTTAATATGTGATATGCTAAGTTGGGGTTTCTGGAAGTCCTTTGGTAGTCCTTGGCCCACACTGTGTTTCTATAATATGAATGGGTAGAAGGACATTAGGATACTTATTTTCCTATACCTTGGTGCATGGGATTCTGCCTAACAGCAGATGAAAGGCTGAAAATGTATCAGGAGCTATTGTAATGACTTCCAACATGATTCAGGAGGTACAGAAGAGCATGATGGAAAATTAACATTTGTGTGGAGAATGGAGAGTGCATATAGGTAAATTCTAATTAGTATTCACAGGGACTTTGTGATCCTATGGTCAGATAGTATGGAATGTCTCACACAGGTAGACTTCAAGTATTCATGGGCCTGTGATCATTGCATCTCTCTGTAAGTGAGCAAACTTTGTCCTATTTTAAGTGTATGAGTCTCTCCTCAGGTCTGATATCTATTCTCTGATCCTGCTGACCCTTTCCAAATTTTAGAACTTCATTAGTCTCCGAAGCCTATGCAGTGCAGGCCCTTGTAAGATTTTTATTTGTACTCATTTGCTGATAGAACTTGAACACCCTTCTCAGACTTTTTGACTATGATTCCTAAGCACATTCCAAATGTAGGAATTTTCAGAGAAAGGTGGATGTTTCTAGCATGACTTGTGCCTTTTTATTTGGGATTTTCTGGCATCCCAGGACCCTATTCCTTTGTTTTGGTTAATGGAGAACCAAATTCCTCCCTATTCTTCAAACAACCAAGCCCTTTCAGACCTCAGGGCATTTGTTCATGTTAAGCCTCTGCCTAGAATCCTCTCTACCCCAAACTTCACTGTCAACGGATAAAATGCTTTTGGTTCCAAATATCAGAAAACAAGTAAAGCTGGCTTACATAAAAAAGAGAAAATTTACTAAGAAAATGAGGAGACTCATAAATAACCTAAAAACAGGAATGTATCAGGAACAAGGATCTGGGAGGCAGGAGAGATTAGTTTGTATTTCCTATCTCTCATTTCTCCTTGGTTCTCATCTCTGCACATCCACTTCATTCTTTGCTCTTTGTAAATTGGCTTCTTTGCTCCCTGCTCACATGGTAGAAGACATGGACTCCCCACAGCTCCCGGGTTTATCAGCTATAGATTCAATTATCCAGAGGCTAAGCCTCTTTTTTGGGTTCTAATGTCAAATTCTCAAGGCACTCTGGTTTACTTCATGTCGACAGCCCGTTTCTGGACTGGTCAACCATGTTCAGGGGCCAGGTTCAAGCAGAAGAGATGAAACATATTGTTAATACAATGCCTATGGGCAAGACAGGCAGATTCCAGAGAACAGGGGTGGGGCAAGTCAAAGGATGTCTGCTATACCCCTTTTCCATGCCTGTGAAATGAAAATCTTTCCCTTCTTCCCTACCTCCCTCCCTCCTTCCTTCCTTCCCTCCCTCTTTCCCTCCCTCCTTCCCTCCCTCCTTCCCTCCTTCTCTCCTTCCTGCCTGTCTCAAGAAAAGTCCTAGTTGCTAGTAATACAGCTTAAAATAAATGAATAAACAAACAAACAAACAAACAAACAGAGATGGGGAGGCCAGGCGTGGTGGCTCATGCCTTGTAATCCCAGCACTTTGGGAGGCCAAGGCGGGTGTATCACCTGTGGTGAGGCGTTCAGGACCAGCCTGGCCAACATGGTGAAACCCTGTCTCTAGTAAAAATACAAAAAATTAGCCAGCTTGGTGGCAGATGCCTGTAATCCCAGCTACTTGGGAGGCTGAGGCAGGAGAATAGCTTGAACTCTAGAGGTGGAGGATGCAGTGAGATGAGATTGTGCCACTGCACTCCAGCCTGGCAACAAGAGTGAAACTCTGTCTCAAATAAGTAAATAAATAAATAAATAAATAAATAAATAAATAAAAATAGAGATAGTGTTTTGCTATGTTGGCCAGGTTGGTCTTGAACTCTTGGCCTTAAACAATTCTCCTGCCTCAGCTTCCCAAAGTGCTAGGATTAGAAGCTTGGGCCACTGTGCTCAGCCTAGAAATACAGCTCTGAACAAAACCTGATCCTACCACAGAGATCTTACAGATGAGCAGGAAACATAAGTATATGGAAAACTCTTACTTACCCTTTACTGCCTAGTTCAAATGTCACTCATTTGATAACTCTTCCCTGACCCTCTTTCTGTCCCCAGTTCTTACAAGTTGTTTGGTATTACCTTTTTTTTTCTTTATTTCCTGTGGTTCCATGTACTTACCTCTATTACAGTAATCATATTTCATTCCAGTTTTGTTTCCATGGTTCTGTCTCGGTAGCCTGTACATTCCCAGAGAGAAGAGATGGACTCTGAATTCAGAATAGTTGGTGCAAGGTAGGTGTTCCAGTGAAAGTCTGTTGATTGAAAGAGCTGCTCTTTAGGAAAGAGTGAGGTCAGAGGCCTCTGTTTCTTCCAGGGTGTAAGGCAGATGAGGGGGACCCTACACAGCTACATGTATCAACATAGATGGTTTGACAAGAAGACAGGGTTACCGTGGACACATGACCTATTCAGTATGATCCAAGTTGGAAGGATTAGCCTGCTGCCCACAAGAATGGTAATTGATGTATCTCTCAATAGTTCCAGTGGGAAATGCTTCATAGCTTATTTTTATTACACAAAAGACAGGTCAGACCATTCACCTGGTGGCTTTGTTGAATCTTCAGTTTTCCTCCCTAAAAAGGAGGATTAGGACTGAGGTATCTCCTTTCTGACTACTCCATTATTCATAATTTTCCTTCCCCATCAAGCCCCTCTCTCTGACAAGCTCCAACTGATAGAATCAAGGTTCTTAGCTTATTGAAGGGGAAAATAAGTAAAGTAAAATTCACACAAAGCACTCTTTGAGTGAGTCACAGAACAATTAACAGTACCCAAGTTTGATTTAAATGATAATTTTGTTTTAAATCAGAAGGTTTCTTAAAGTATTTAGCTAGGACTTGTTATGCTTGTCAGAAATGACTCACGGGCCTTTTGGATTTTTGAGTGAATGCCATTGTTAGTTTTCAGTGTTCAACAATGCATAATTGGCACCCCAAAGCCCCATGTTTTTCCTTTTTCCCCTGAGCCAGTTGTGAGCAGTGGGAGGCAGGCCTGTGCTTCTGTTCTCCTGACGTGTCTGCTGTGATGCTGGGTAATTGCCATTATTGCTGGATTGCTCTCTGAGGTACTGGTTGCCAAGGATGTTTGGTGGGGAAGCTTCCACTACATCTGCTTTGGGCATTCTTCTCTGGGTTTTCTTCTTATTCCACATTTTGAGGAGAAAATCAGTGGAAATTTTGCTCTGAATAATTCCCTCCTGCCCTCCCTTTTTGCGGGAAGGTTGATTAAAACAATGACCATGTTAGTTAGCACAAGATTTTCTCTAATCAAGATGTTGTTAGAGGCTGGGCGCGGTGGCTCACACCTGTAATTCCAGCACTTTTGGAGGCCATGGCAGGCAGATCACTTGAGGCCAGGAGTTAGTAACTAGCCTGGCCAACATGGCAAAACCCCATCTGTACTAAAAATACAAAAAAAATTAGCCAGGCGTGGTGGTGCATGCCTGAAATCCCAGCTACTCAGGAGGCTGAGGTGCGAGAATTGCTTGAACCTGGTTTGAAACTGGGATGCAGAGGTTGCAGTGAGCTGAGCGACACTGTACTCCAACCTAGGCTACAGAGCAAGTCTCTGTTTCCAAAAAAAAAAATGCCGTTAGTTCCCTTCTCTGTAAAATGAGGATAATAATGGAACATACTTCACTGGGTTGTTGTAAGGAATAAATGACAAAACACATTGTGTAAAGCATGCATGCTCCACTATCTTGATGTAGAGAAAGACAGAGGAGTCAGGATTCATCCTTCTCCACCTGCCAACTCTCCTGCCACATCCTCCATGGGACTCATAGTCCTGTAAGAAGCCACCTGCCATGGCTGGGGCCACCACTGCTGACCAGTCTCCCATGCTCCAGACTCAAGGTGATCTTATCCCAAATTCAATATCCAAAAAGAAATGGATGACCTTCATATGTATGTGTTTTTAGTCTATTCCCAATGAGCTTTTGCTTCCATTTATCTCTTACTTGAAGTGATCTTTCGTGTTAAACAGTGAGCAATTGCTGAAAAATAAGAGTTAAGAAATCTGGATTCTAATTAACTTTATCACTAATTGTTATGTAAGGTGAGTCACTATTTTTTGGGTAATTGTTATGTAACTGTGAGTCACTTTTTTTTTGGGTAAACAAGGGTGAGAAGATTAATGAAGGCTGTCAAGACCAGTGGAAGAACAAAAGTGAGTTTCCATAACGATACCTTACACATCCAATGTTTTCCTTCCTTTGATTGCATTAAGCCTCGCAAAGGTAGAACAGTTATTTCTCTCTTGCTGTGTGAGATAACTAAGGCACAGAAGAATAGAGTCATTTTCCCATGGCTTGGCTTTGACCTTCCTTCCCCATGCTCCAGTCTTCTGACAGAGTCCTCCTTGCTGTTTAATGTAATAATTGTTTTCTTATGTCTTTCTCCAACCAGAATGAGATCTTCTTGGAGGTAAAATCCCATCTTGTTCATTTTTGTGTTTCTAGTGCCCATTTCAAGGGCACATATTACATGGCCAATAATGTTTGTAGAATGAATGAATGAATGAATGGAAAGAGAGCGAAGACCAAAGACTTGATCCTTAAAAGTTCTCAGGCAACTTTTCTTTATTCCTTTTACACTGTTTCCCACCTCACAGTGACCATAACGTTATTAGCTGAAAAGGAGAAATGGCAAGCTTCAAGGATATACATGGGAAGTGCTAAACCAAGAATATAAATTTTTTTCATTCAGTTTTTTGAAAATGAGAAACATCCAATCTGACATTAATCAGTCACCATAGATGTGCTGTGTGTTGGGCAGTGAGCTTAGTGTTGCAGGCTTGCTGTCTGGCTTGGGAGATCGGAAGAATGTGTGTGAACACATCGCTCAGGGTCAACAGTGAGCACTGACGGTTGTAAGAGCTAGGGGTGGCCACAGGAGGGAGTCTAGTTGGGGATGACCTCATGGAAGAGGCTGAATTGGGCTTGGGCCTCAAAGGGTCAGAGGGAAGTTGCTAGAAAGTGATAATGCAGGCCAGGTGGTGGCTCACACCTGTAAACCCAGCACTTTGGGAGGCCAAGGAAGGTGGATCACTTGAGGTCAGGAGTTTGAGACAGGCCTGGCCAACATGGTGAAATCCCGGCTTTACTAAAAATACAAAAATTAGCTGGGTGTGGACACCTGCACCTGTACTACCGGCTACTGGGAGGCTGAGGCTGGAGAATTGTTTGAATCCGGCAGGCGGAGATTGCAGTGAGCCGATATAGCGCCACTGCACTCCAGCCTGGGTGACAGAGTGAGACTCTGTCTAAAAAAAAAAAATAATACAGAGAGGATTCTAAGACAAGGGAGGCATCAGAGAGGACAGTATAGGGCATGTTTGGGGACTGCTGGGGATGTACACTCTATTGGACTCTCATGGGAAACCCCAGGATCCTTAAGGGGGTGAGAAATTCCCCCAGGTCTTCCACGCCAAGCCAGTCCACTCTCACTCTGTCTAGCGGTCTTAAGATGTGCTTTTTTAACGACTCAAATTACATAATACAGTGGTTCTTTTGTTAGGAGAGTCCCTATTAAAGATTCCATGGGCAAGAAAGAAGAAAGTTGTTTCACCAAAGAAAATGAAAATGATAAATCGGACTGTGCCAAATTTCTCTCTGGATATCCCTTGCTCACCCACTTCCCAGCATGGACATTAGAGTCAGACAAGAAAGACTTGACTTTTTTTTTTGTATCTGTCACTTTCTAGATAAACTTAGTAGTTATTCAACGTCTCTAAGCCTTAGTTTGCTCAGCTATACCACAGAGTAAAGAAAGCTGCCTTGCAAAATTGCTATGAGGATAAAATGCAATGGTATGGGAAAAGTGCTTAGTACACAGTGAGTGTGCAGTAGGTGTGCCCAGCACCATGCTAGATACATTAGGTGCAAACTCAATGCCCAGAGGGACTAGGCAAATGATGTGAATAAATAACAGAGACTATGTGTGTTAGATGGGTATCAGGGCCTAATGGGGACTACCGGAAAAGAGAGAGAAAAAAAAAAGAAACGTTGCATGTAATCTTTAAAATGTGCAACTGTTCTTCAGAGTCACCTACTTGCTGTTTCACTGGAATATGAGCCCTGTGCTATCAGATCTTTCTATTTTTTTGGAAAGGAGCCAGTAATCTAGGATTTCATATGAAATGCTCTGATTTCAAATATGGCTACTGTAGGAGGGATTGCTCTTGCCCAGGACCCACTCTTCCCTTCTTTCTCTGTATAATGGATCCCTCAAGTTTTAGAGAGACACGTGCCCTCCTCTTCTCTCTACCCTCCACAGCTAAATATTCGATTTTTCCACTTCCCTTGCAGTTAGGTGTGGCCATTGGCCAAATATTGTTCAATGGAGGATGAAGATGAGAGCTATGCGCAAGTTCACTGTCATGTCCTTAAAAAGCAGCTCCTTGGGTTTCCTTTCTCTTTCTCCCCTTCTTACTGTGATGAGCCATCAACCACATGGATAGGCTCATCACTTTCAGGGACAGCTGGTAGCAACAAGATAAGAGCAGAGTTGCTCACACTCTTGGATTGCCTACCAGTCCAGATCTTTATGGAAAAAGAATTAAATGTCTATCTCATTTAAGCCACTGTTATTTGGTCCGTAATAAAGCAGAAAGACCAATACCTTAAATAATCAGCAACAAATTTCTCATAAAAAACAAAGGAACACCTTATATAAAAAATGTATATTTATGGGTTGAATTTGCTGATAGGATGTTAGTTTTCTTAAGGAATTAAACAGTGTAAGATGCAATCCATGCTTGTTAGAAACATGAGTACCATTGGAAAAAATTAGACTTGTGTACAAATGATGAACCCATAATATAAAACAGAGTGTACAGACTTTGAGTGGTACAGATTTTGAGTGCTATAAGAATTCTATGAATTAGGTACCAAAGAAAGATTTCCTGCATGTTTTGCTGGGCCACTGGCCATGCATTTGCTATGCCAGACTTCTAGTGTGGTAGCTGTCAAGGGGGTACAGGTGGGTCTAGGGACAGGTCCATTCTATGTTTGCTGCTCCTAGTTACCTTTCAGGAGACACAGCGGTAAGACGATTTGGGCTGGTGGTGCTCCTATTACTAAGCATCCACACTTTGCATCCATTGTATCATTTAAACCACACTACACCATTTGCAGGTGAGAAAGCTGTGGCTGATAGACATTAAATAACTTGCCAGGAATAATGGATAGAATAGAGA
The DNA here is from genome assembly GCF_000001405.40 of Homo sapiens. Classification (NCBI taxonomy): domain Eukaryota; kingdom Metazoa; phylum Chordata; class Mammalia; order Primates; family Hominidae; genus Homo; species Homo sapiens. The sequence goes on from NC_000011.10 coordinate 109,042,822, forward strand.
TTCAAACCCACGATTGTTCGGCACAAAGTTCTTGTTTCTTTCTACTGCTGAGTGGTACCATCTGCTTCCTCGGTGTGCCATGGCAGGCTGAATGGTCTTGTTCATCATATCAAAAAAGATGAGGAGGAAAAATAACTCTGCAATCTGTATTTGGCATTATTGAAGTTGCTTGAAATAAATTCATGAGTGAGAACTTCAAAGGGAGAGAGGAAAAGGATGAAGTAGAAGAGGTGCCTTATTATGTTTCTTTTAAAGTTTAATCACATTGAATAAACCTAGAAGTAACAAATGGTGTTTGGAGCATCATTTGCTTGAGATTCCCACAATGCATTTTGATCTCTAAGAAGAAAGACTCATTAAACAGGAAGATTATCTGCTTATTTGGAAAGACAAATCTATCCTTATAATCATGGCTACAAATACTTGGAAGCCTGATCATAAACACGTTTTCATAATCCTTGTAAAGATTAATGAATGATAATTACTTCATTCAATGGCAAAAGCCTTGGTTTGGAGCATGCGTCATAGTAACAATCTCTGCTATTCATATTCTAAAATGAATCTACATAATGTATTACTTATAAACCCTACTCTTTTATTCCTCCCCTCAGATTCACTAGTAGACTCTCTTCATGTTATAGTATAAAGTAATTCAACTCTTTCATGACTGTCAGTTACTGCTTTCAAAATCACACTTTGGGTTTCAGTTCTCTGGTGAGCTAGGGCCATTACTTATTTGTTGACACTGTGGTTGCAGGAGCCTTTGTTTTCTTCAAGTTAAATGAAGTACCATTTCAATATTGACGTTTTGGGAACACCGAAGAACAGTTCTGATATTACACAGTTGATGCTTTTAATTGCAATGTAGGGCCTGGAGACCATCACTGAGTTGCAAATTAATAAAATCTTTCTGAAGTGAAAAGGTCATATTCAAAGAGACTGCAGATTTAAGCTGTAAAAACCTGAGAAGGCATCTACATTTGCATGGGAAAAAATTTACCCTGATGCAGCTCTGATTATTACTGAGGAATAAAAATAAGGTGTTCTGAGCACCCAGAACAAGGTTAGCCACAGGAAAGGCAGGAGGTGGAAGGTGTCCAGCAGAAATGTGGGGAAGGGACCACATGCCACATTTGTCCCATTTCTTTCCTCTTTGCTCCAAAGTGAGTGAGACAGGAGAGCTTCTTTTAGGGAAAACTGTACAAATTCCTCTAACCTCATTTCTCAGCATAAATGCCACAAAAAAGTTTCTACTTCTAGGAAAGCAGAGGCCAGGGGTTTCCTGGTCAACTCTCAATCCTTTTAAAATTCTCTTTTCTCTTAGCCACAAAGTCACATCCTTTCCTGGAAGTAAAACTCACTCCTACAGATTTTTACAAAAAATATTATTCAAGCTATTCATGCAGAACAGGTTCTTACAATTCCTTTTCTACTGCTCAATAACCTTGTTTCCCAGCCTGAATTTCAGCTCTCATTTCAGGTTCTTGGCCCACAGTACCTTTACTTTTTCATTTTTTTTTTCCTCTTCTTGTTTCTTTTCACTTTTCCATGGTGATTTGATTCATCACTTCTGCTCCAGAGAGACTCAGCGGTGGGCTCATGAATCTTCATTCTTTCTTTTTTTCTTTTTACAAGGCCCCAGAAATACTTCCTTTCTAACAATGTTTTGCTCATATGGTCTGTTTCTATGATCCTTAGACTTCTGACTCCCAAATCTTTCATTTTTTGGAAAGTGAGGACTTTTGGATCTCCACGTAGCCTTTGGCAAGGGTGGTTGTTTCAGCTCTCCACCAGAGACTGTGTCTTCATCTCTCAACATCCCTAAGAAGCAGACAGAATTCTCCGGCCTCTCGACAGACATTTTTGTACCTCAAAAAGCAACAGAGCCTAGGCTTTTAGCATAATCTCTTTTCATCTCGGTTCCCCCATTTTTATTCTAAAACAGACACCAGGCCTTGGCCTCATCAGCGTATTCAGACTCTGTTCCAGCACTTTGTCAACTTTGAGCCAAAATGCACCTTCTTCACTGTCTTCCACAAGAAATTCAAGTATATTTGCTGAATATCTGTAAGGTCACAGGGCCAGGTCCCCTCACACAGTACACAGGATTTCTTTTGGAAAATCTTTTTCTTTTTTTAATCTTTTTTTTCTAATTATTATTATACTTTAAGTTTTAGGATACATGTGCACAACGTGCAGGTTTGTTACATGTGTATACATGTGCCATGTTGGTGTGCTGCACCCATTAACTCGTCATTTAGCATTAGGTATATCTCCTAATGCTATCCCTCCCCCCTCCCCCCACCCCACAACAGTCCCCGGTGTGTGATGTTCCCCTTCCTGTGTCCATGTGTTCTCATTGTTCAATTCCCATCTATGAGTGAGAACATGCGGTGTTTGGTTTTTTGTCCTTGCGATAGTTTGCTGAGAATGATGGTTTCCAGCTTCATCCATGTCCCTACAAAGGACATGAACTCATCATTTTTTATGGCTGCATAGTATTCCATGGTGTATATGTGCCACATTTTCTTAATCTAGTCTATCATTGTTGGACATTTGGGTTGGTTCCAAGTCTTTGCTATTGTGAATAGTGCTGCAACAAACATACGTGTGCATGTGTCTTTATAGCAGCATGATTTATAATCCTTTGGGTATATACCCAGTAATGGGATGGCTGGGTCAAATGGTATTTCTAGTTCTAGATCCCCGAGGAATCGCCACACCAACTTCCACAATGGTTGAACTAGTTTACAGTCCCACCAACAGTGTAAAAGGGTTCCTATTTCTCCACATCCTCTCCAGCACCTGTTGTTTCCTGACTTTTTAATGATCACCATTCTAACTGATGTGAGATGATATCTCATTGTGGTTTTGATTTGCGTTTCTCTGATGGCCAGTGATGATAAGCATTTTTTCATGTGTTTTTTGGCTGCATAAATGTCTTCTTTTGAGAAGTGTCTGTTCATATCCTTTGCCCACTTTTTGATGGGGTTGTTTTGTTTTTTCTTGTAAATTTGTTTGAGTTCCTTGTAGATTCTGGATATTAGCCCTTTGTCAGATGAGTAGGTTGCAAAAATTTTCTCCCATTCTGTAGGTTGCCTGTTCACTCTGATGGTGGTTTCTTTTGCTGTGCAGAAGCTCTTTAGTTTAATTAGATCCCATTTGTCAATTTTGGCTTTTGTTGCCATTGCTTTTGGTGTTTTAGACATGAAGTCCTTGAAAATCTTTTTTTTTTGAGACGGAGTTTTGCTCTTGTTGCCCAGGCTGAAGTCCAGTGGTGTGATCTCGGCTCACTGCAATCTCCGTCTCCCAGGTTCAAACCATTCTCCTACCTCAGCCTCCTGAGTAGCTGGGATTACAGGCATGTGCCACCACGCCCAGCTAATTTTGTATTTTTAGTAGAGAAGGGGTTTCTCCGTGTTGGTCAGGCTGGTCTCGAACTCCTGACCCCAGGTGATTTGCCTGCCTCGGCCTCCCAAAGTGCCGGGATTACAGGCATGAGGAAAATCTTTATTAGTCTTGCCTTTTTTTCTGTTTCCTCCTTCCCCCCTACACCTTAGCCAGGGGTTCTGTTTTTCTGCTGACACGTCTCCCAGTCTCCCATGCAGAGCTCTGCTGCTTTTACTCCATTCTTCCCAATTTTCTTGACAGCCACTGTTTCCTCTTTATTATGTAAAGTAGCTTCTTTGCTCCTCTGAAGGAAATCTAGTGCCCAGCCCAGTACCCTGTCATGGAGGCCGATTCTTCTCGATTTGGATGAGTGGGCTTATCCAACAGCTTTCTCTTCACAGAAGAATCCTCTGACCAGCTGCTGTGAACAAAAAGATAAACATTTCTCCATATCATTACTCATAAAATGGGTTTATTAATACTTCATAGGGTTGCTGAGAGGATAAAAGGAAATAATGAATGTAGAGGATTTAGCACAGCGTCGTTTATCGTCATCATCACTGAATGCAATTAGATTGTGCAGTTTTTATCTTTGCTCTCTCTGGACCTCTGTGGTTACCTCCATTACAACGCTTATGGCTCAGTTATCGGAGGATGCTCCTGGCTTTGAGCTCCCCATGGGCAAGCGCTTTGTCTCATTCATCCTATCTCCAGCACCTGCTACCATATCCAGTGCAGAGTGATGCATGATAAATGTATGAATCATTTGGCCTGGAGAGCTTCTGGTATATTCCAAAAAAGCATTTTATATAGAGGAACAGGCAGATCTTGGGAGAAATTAAAACTAAGGTCCAGGACCACTGCTGACACCTATTCATATTCAGTTTTTTTCTTACTGAGGAGCAGCCAATGCACTGAAAGTGCTTTGCAGGGAGGGTCAGGGAGGGCCTGTGCTCTCTCATTTTTTTGCATCTCCAGTATCCAACACTGTGAAGGGCACAACCCTGTGATGGGAGGAGGAAGAGTCTCCCTGGCTTCCTGGGATGAGATTTTGTAGGATTCCTTCTCTGTGTACTCTGCTTCTCTCAAGCCCAAGAAGAGTGTGTGTGTGTGTGTGTGTGTGTGTGTGTGTGTGTGTGTGTGTGTGTGTGTGTGAAGAGCTGGGCTATAACATGGAAGCATCCCAGGAATACACTCATAATTTTATATCCCATCAATCTTATGTTCATTAAACATTTGTTCATCAGAGGCTGAAAACCTATCTCATGGGGAAAGGATGCTGAGTGAAGAGCTCAGGTCTACTTACTGCTCTAAGTAATTCATATTTGCAACCCCTTCCCCGCCCCCGCCAAAGTTGTGTACCTAACTTAGAAGAAAGAAATCTCTGTATTAACACAATCACCTTTCTTAGAAGGCAGCTCATTAATGTACCATCTCATGTTACTTGAATGTGTTTCTGGGGCAGGTGAGGGGTTTATTCCAACCCTAAGTGGTGTTTAAAAATATTTTTTCCAACCACACAGAAAAGAACCCTGAAAAGAGTTCTTATGAATACATGTTTTTCCATTGCATTACATTTCTAATGATGTTTTTTGCAAAGGCATAAGAATGATACAATGGAATTTAGGGAAGGGTAGGAGGGGTCAAGGGATAAAAGGCTACCAATAGGGTGCAGTGAATAATGCTCAGGTAATGGGTGCACCAAAATCTCACAAATCACCACTAAAGAACTTACTCATGTAACAAAACACCACCTGTGCTCCAATAACCTATGGAAAAAAATAAATTTCTAATGATGTCTTAGCATCCATGATTGATTGACACCCCAGCTGGTATCACCTTAATATTGCTCTGCATTTAGCTCTACCATATCACCAATTAATAAACACAAAATTCACTCCTCCTTTCATTCTATCCTCCTGGTATTTCCACAGGGTGTTGATTGCAAAATAAACTGGCCTTATATCAGATCCTCTAGCTTGGGAGATTCTTGAATTCTGGCCTAAAAAAGTATTTTATAAATGTATGATTCCACTTATTGCATAGGAAGATGTAATATGAATCTTGATATGATTTATTTTTAATTTTGATGACTACAAGTTATTGGTATGTAGTATTTGTTTTATGATTCTAGCAACTGGTATCTGTTAACTATGAGATTCTGAAATGTTTCTCCAGGTTTTATGTCTCTAGTCAGGAGTTTCTAGAATTACATTCTGCACCATTCCCCACTAAAGTAGCCCTGGTAACTATGGTCTGACTGACTGAATAGATACATGAATACAGCACTATCTGGTTTATAAAAAAAAATCTTTCTTTTATTTGGGCTGTCATGCCTTGAGCTGCTGCTGAAATGTACATAACTATAAAATGTATAAAATGGGAATAATGGTTTCTACCATGTTTCTTTCTTTTCTTTTCTTGTTTTTTTGAGACAGAGTTTTGTTCTTGTCACCCAGGCTGGAGTACAATGGAGTTATCTCAGTTCACTGCGACCTCTGCCTCCCAGGTTCAAGTGATTCTTCTACCTCAGCCTCTCCAGTAGCTGGGACTATAGGCATGCGCCACTATGCCCAGCTAATTTTTTGTATTTTTGGTAGAGACGGGGTTTTACCATGTTGTCCAGGGTGGTCTCAAACTCCTGACGTCAGGCGATCCACCTGCCTCGGCCTCCCAAAGTGCTGGGATAACAAGAGTGAGCCACCACGCCTGGCACCATGTTTTTTTATAGAGTGAAATCACTTAATAACCAATCTCATTCTGGGATGTAGAGCACAAAACTTTGGTCCTGAAAAAGACCTCAGACATCTATTCCAATCACTTCCTTTTACAGATGAAAAACCCGAGGACAGACATTAAAAGATTTGCCTGGGGTTATTGTTCATAAAGTAAGAATCTATTTTTATTTGCCTGTATGGGTGGCTGTTGCTATTGCCACTATCAGCATTTTGTCAGGTTTCCTCCAGTTGTAGCACATCTAAAGACTCCACCCATTTGGTGTAGTTTATGTTACCCCAAGCCTCACACCAATCTCTGTGTGATTAAGCTTGCCATGGAGGGCAAGAAAAGTTAATAAAATCCAATCCCTTGTAGAAAATTACCAAACCGATGAACTCACCGGCCGTAGGGGTATTCTGATATCCAGATGGACACCTGACAGAATCACATCAAATTTTCATGGAGGCAATTAGTTCCCCGCCCTTAGAACCATTAAATTTTATACTAACAATTAAACTCCAGTCTACAACATTAAAATGCGATTAGCCCTTCACTAATAATGCATAAGAAACTTCAAGGTGATCATGAGACAGGAGTGAGGAGATCTGAAGTGCAAGAAGATTCATTTTCAGACTGTTTATTCTGCATTACACTCCACTGGATGAGATGGCAAAATGTCATTGGTGAGACACATTGGCCATTTCTTTTGTTGATATGAGTGGGGAGTTACATATCTCATATCTTTGACTTACATCAAGAAATTTTTAAAAATATGATGTGCTGTTCTGGTTTAGATAGCAGCCAAAAAGGACTTTTCAAGCAATGTTTCAAAAGGTTGAAACAACTAGGACTACTGATATTGAAGAAGAGATAGTTGAAGGGTATTTGAGAGCTTTCTGCGACATGCCTGGTTTTTCTAGTTAAGGCAGTGATAAGCTATGCCCTACCTCTACTGAAGCCAGAACAGATTGAAACTAAAATTTTAATGGGTCTTGGATTTTAAATTAATTATCATTAATTTGAGGGCAATATTATCCATAATTCTTGGTTGAAAAGGGGAGAAACCCAACTTAAAATTCATCAAGTGAAAAAAGAATTTATTCTTTTTTTTTGAGATGGAGTTTCACTCCTGTCACCCAGGCTGGAGTGCAATGGCACAATCTTGGCTCACTGCAACCTCCACCTCCTGGGTTCAAGTGATTCTCCTGCCTCAGTCTCCCGAGTAGCTGGGATTACAGGCATGCACCACCATGCCTGGCTAATTTTTGTATTTTTAGTAGAGATGGGGTTTCGCCATGTTGGCCAGGCTGGTCACGAACTCCTGACCTCAGGTGATCCACCCGCCTCGGCCTCTCAAAGTGCTGGGATTACAGGCATAAGCCACCATGCCCAGCATTTTTTTTTTTTTCCACTGAGAAGATCACCGGTTATCAGCTTCAAAGACGGCTTGATCCAGGTGCTCATAAATATATTCACCACAAGCATCTATATGCACCAGCCAGTGTGCTAGATGCTTACACATAGATTACTTTAGTCCCTATGATAACTTAAGGGTAGGTATTATACCCCAGATTTAGAGATGATGAAATTGAGCCTTAGAAAAGTTATCATGCTCTGAGTTAAATAATAAGTAAATACTGGGGACAGAATAGGTTAATTTTTAATATGACACAGTATAAAAAAGAATTTTCAGACAACAAGGAGAATGAAACTTCAGAAAAAGGTTAAAGAAGCTTCCTCCAGGGAACTTTGTATCAGTCAGGCCCATTCAGGAAAATAAACCACACCAGTTATTTTAAGAGAGAATTTAATAAAAGAAAAATGTTAAACAGATATTTAAATAGTTAAAGGCAAAGGGGACACAGAAGTCACATAGGTGACTCTGGAGCTGGGAGGACAGAGGCAAGAGGATGAGGTTATTAGAATAAAGAAAATGTGGCACATATACACCATAGTATACTATGCAGCCATAAGAAAGGATGAGTTCATGTCCTTTGGAGGGACATGGATGATGCTGGAAACCATCATTCTCAGCAAACTAACAGAAGAACAGAAAACCAAACACCACATGTTCTCATTCATAAGTGGGAGTTGAACAATGAGAATACATGGACACAGCAATGGGAACATCACACACCGGGGCTTGTCAGGGGTTGGGGGGGTTAGGGGAGGGATAGTATTAGGAGAAATACCTAATGTAGATGACGGGTTGATGGGTGCAGCAAACCACCATAGCATGCATTTGCCTAGGTAACAAACCTGCACGTTCTGCACTTGGACCCCAGAACTTAAATTATATTTGTATATATATAAGGCTGGTTCTGGGAGTGTGGGAAACATTTGAAATTGGAACCAAGTACTGCTGCAGGAACAGAAAGTAGGCAGGAAGGAGGCAGAAGGCCCCCTGCAGCCTCCCAGTTTCCTCCTAGCACCTCTTGTTGGCAGAGCCTAATAGGGTGCTGGCTGGCAAAGCAGAGATGTCCTTTGCAGGCTCCCAGCCGCATCGCAAAGCAGAGTATAGCAGGTTGGATGGGGAGCTGGAAGACAATAGCTTAATTACCAATGCTGCCTTTGAAAGTGGGAAGCTCTTATCTTTCAGAGTTCGTAGTAAGACTGCTCACATATAAAATTAGCAAGATGGTTAAATGCTTTAATTTAAACAATCCTAGGAGCTTTTTATTTTCTGAATTTAACCTTGCTTTTCTAGGTTTGAGGAATTTGCATAATTAAAGTCGGCCTTCTTATGGGCAGATGATTACCAGGCCTCTCCTCAGTCCTATCCCAGATAATATCAAGCTTGAAATTTTCAGACCATCTCCAATTCATTTCCATTCTGTAATTTATCTAAGTATTGCTGGGAGTTGATGTGAAAAGATCAAAGGCTATGCAGTCAGAAAGGTGTGGATTCAATCTTACCTCTGCCACTTTGTTGCTTAACCTTGGGTGAGTTCGTCTTAATTTCCTCATTGTTTAAATGGACATGACTATTCACATCTGTATCATGGGGTTTTTATAACGCTTACAAGAAATAATCTATAGAAAGCAACTGGAATATTGTCTGGCAGTCACTGATATTTAAAAACAAATTCTATCTCCCTTTCATTCAGCCCTTCTACTTGAGATTAAACCATGAGTTTCAGATAGATCATCCTCCTGAATACAGAATCTCACTTTTGCAATGGCAGCAAAGATTAGACAGGCATTAATGTCCCCTAATTATTTCTATCAGCTTTCCCTTAAAGCTCCTCTAAGTAATCAAATGATCTAAGCAGCTGTAATCACAGCTTCAAAACAGGTTTTATATTGTCTTCTTTCAATTAGCTTGCCATCCCTGGACTCCCTCCCATGGAGAAAGTCTGGACCCAAAGACTGGATGTTGTCTTCTTCTTACTCTCCTGAACTAATCTAAGGTTTATTTATTGAAAATTGGGGTGGGGGCCAAAGACCCATCATCAAATATGCAGGGTAGGCTTTGGTGAGTTGTGTATTCCAAGCATGCACTTCCAACATTTGGGAGATGCTATTTCTGAATTAACAGAAGCATTCTCTCCTTGGGAAGTATGGGTTAGGGGTAATGCTGGTAAAGTATCTTCGGGCCATTTTATAATGAAATTATAACTGGATAAATAGTCACAGATGTAGACAAATTGTAGTGCTTGCCTCAAAATATACTCTCCAGGGTGAGAGAAAGAGAGAGAGAGAGAGAATTGGTTTATTTTTAGGAACTAATTGGATCATAATTTATGTTTTCCTCATCAGAGAGTATAAACTTACTGAGCAGCTCCTGTGCCCTACTGTACTAGTCAGGGTTCTCCAGGGAACAGAAGCAACAAGGTATATATAGATATTTAAGAGGGGATTTATCATAGGAGTTGGCTCATGCTACTACGGAGGCTGAGAAGTCCCACCATATGCTGTCTGCAAGCTGGAGAACCAGGGAAGCTGGTGGAGTAATTCTTTCTGGGTCAAAAAGCCTGAGAATCAGGGAGCTGATAGATAGTATAACTAGTATAACTCTCAGTCCAAAGCCAGAAGTTTGAGAACAGTGTGGGGAGGGTAAAGGGAGTGAGCCTGGAGCTCTGATGTCCAAGGGCAGAAGATGGATACCCCAGCCTCAGAAAAGAGAGTGAATTCACCTTTCCTCTGCCTTTTCATTCTATCTGGCTTCTCATCACCTCAATAGATGGAACCTATCCATACTGGTGAGGGTGGACCTTCTTTACCCAGTCTACCAACTTAAATGCTAATATCTTCCAGAAACACCCTCATAGACACACTTAGAAATAATGTTTTACTGGCTCTCTGGGTATCCCTTAGTCCAGTCAAATTGGCATCAATGAAACCATCACATCTGGCTTTTACTAAAACAGCAAAGATTCAACGTGTGTCCTTCGAGGATTTTCGTGAAGCCTGGGATGGGAGGGCACTGTTCCCTGCAGGACCCCCTGTGGAACAAGGTTTTACCTATGCTACTATCATGCCTTTCCCAACTAGAAAACATCATGGTGCTAAATGCATTTGGCTTTAGTGTCCATATAGGCCTCTTCCCACATAGGAGTTAATAACCTGTGAAAACTCAAATCTAAAAGCAAAAACATCTTTAATTCACATGAGGGCACAAGAGCAGGGCAACTCTCTAGCTTTCCTCTTTTTTAGACAACATGTTTCCTTTTTCTCTTTTCTGTTTGTTTATTTCTTCCCAATTTTTTATCTTTTTTTGAATCAAACTGTTTCTTGCACTGCAAACTCAGTATGTTGCTTCTCAGCTTCAAATGAATTTTTATAGCAAGTCATAAACCCTTGAAAATAGGATTTATAATGGAAACACTGATGCAGCGCTAGCTAGCATAGCCAGATAGCTGTTCTAATAATACTAGATAGTAATATTCTCCAAATCTAATACTCTATAGATTTTTTCCTTGCTGTGATTTATACTGACCCAATTCTTTCTCTAACCTCTTCAGTGCCAAAGCCTGTGGTCCATGTTCATAATTGGCAAAGTCAAATGCCCTTTGGGCATGTCTGGATCACATTCATCTCTGGCAAAACATGACACAGTTAACTCCTATAGGCACAGACCCTGGGTGGGGGAGTCCTGGTTGGAGACAAGTTCCCTGGGGTAAGACAGGCTTGGGTTAGTTGGGAGATGGGGGGCATAGCTGCCTGTGGATTCTGGGGCAAGACTAGTCCAGTAGACAGAACCTAGTGGAAGGGAGAGTTTTCAGGTAAGCAGACAGGCTGCCCTGACAGTGTGCAGAACACACTGATGGGGGCCAGGAAGCATTCACAGACACTAGGCAGGTAGTTCTCTTCAGAGGAGTCTGATGGCAGGTAACAGAGTTTCAGTCCTTAGCTGTGGTTCCTGAAGGGTTATGGTACAACTAAAGATATATAAATTTGGTCTTTGCCTTCAGTTCCTGGCATAGAGATTTAGAAACTGGAATTTCCTAACTGATTGGACTGTCTTTTGTCATTATTATTACTTTTTTTGAAATGGAGTCTTGTTCTGTTGCCCAAGCTGGAGTGCAGTGGCATGATCTCAGCTCAGTGCAACCTCTGCCTCCCTGGTTTAAGTGATTCTCTTGCCTCAGCCTCCTGAGTAGCTGGGATTACAGGTGTGTGCCATCATGCCTAGCTAATTTTTGTATTTTTAGTAGAGACGGGGTTTCACCATGTTGGCCAGGCTGGTCTCGAACTCCTGACCTCAGGTGATCCACCTGCCTTGGCCTCCCAAAGTGCTGGGATTACAAATGTGAGCCACAGTGCCCGGCCAGTCTTTTGTTATTCTTAAGGAGCCCCTTTTTTGCCATATCTGAGTTTATGCTAATGAGAAGACTCACGGTGGTACCTCAGATAATTTTAAGGGAGGGGCTGGCCACACACTGTAATTAGAGGATTGGAATTTTCAGCCTCACTCCTCAACCTCTAGGGAGGAAAGTGGGGGTGGAGATTGAGTTTAATCATCAGTGGCCAATGGTTCAATCAATTACATCAACATAATGAAGCCTTTATAAAAAAACTTTCGAACAACAAGGCTGGGGGGATCTTCTGGGTTTATGAACACACTGATATGCTGGGGGAGTGGTGCAGCTGCAGAGGGCATGGAAGCTCTGCACGTTCCCTTCATACCTTTCCTTATGTGTCTCTTCCATTTGGTCGTTTCTGAGTTGTAGCTTTTATAGGAAAACTGAAATAATAAGTATAGAGTTTTCCTGAGTTCTCTGAGTTGTTTTAGCAAATTATTGGACCTGAGGACAGGTCATGGGAACCCTGAAACTTGTAATTGACTGGTCCGAGGCAGGTATCCTGGGGACTCCTTTTGCAGCTGACATCTCGTGGAATTGAGACTTGTGGAGTTTGCACCAACTCCAGATGGTCAGTGTCAGAAATGACTTGGACACTCATTTGCTGTCAGAAAATTAGATAATTGGTTGCTTGGAAAACAATATAAGGGTCAAGGAGAAGAGTGGCAAGAATAAGGCAGGGTCCAAATTTCTTAAACAGGAAGACCTGGAATTAAATGCTAGATCTGCTGTTTACTAGATGTGGGGTGGCAGGAAATTTATGTTTTCCTATCTGTAAAATGGATATAACGTATTTGTTAATGGGTTGTATTTTTTCTTTTTCATGATTGGCATGTAATACATAATCAAAAATATTTGTGCAATGAATGAGTTAAGGACTATGTAAGTAATAAATAATTTACAACAGGGACTCTGACCCAGGGAATAAGTAAGGAACTTAGCTATGCATTTAGGGCACGTAATCAAGGCTGGAGCCACAAGGAAATGTATCTTGGTCCTACGTATATATATAAATATACACAAAGCCATACAAATAATTCCTTCACTACCTACCCCTGAGATCAAGGTTGGGTCTAGATTCTTTGAAGCCTGTAGGCAAACATTAAGAGACCGCAATTATGGGGAAAGTTGTCGAAGCTGGGACACAGGAAAGGTCTGACTTACACAGTGTAGCAGAGAAGTAGAGCATGCAGGCCGTGTCCTCAGACTTCCTGGGTTCTAATCCTGCTATGGTTTGCATGTGTTCCTTCCAAAACTCAGATGTTGAAACTTAATGGCTAATTTGATGATTTTAACAGGTGGGGCCTTTAAGAGGTAATTAAGAGACACGAGGGCTCCTTCCAGGTGAATGAGATTAAGGCCCCTATAAAGAGCATTCATGGGTTGTTCAGTTCACTTACCCTTTGCCTTCTGTGAGGATGCAGAGTTCCTTCCCTCCAGAGGACGCAGCAACAAAGCGCTGTGATTCAAGCAGACAGCAGCCCTCACCAAACACCAAACTTGCTGGTGCCTTGATTTTGAACTTTCCAGCCTCCAAAACTGTAAGAAACAAATTTCTGTTCTTTATGCATCACCCAGCTTCAGGTATTTTGTTATAGCAGCAAAAATAGACTAAGACAAATCCCAATTCTGCTTATTAGCTGTGTGAAAGGGGGCAAATCAATTTCTCTGGCTTCTGGTGTTATCGTCTGTAAAGTGGAGTTAAGGCAGTACTGACCTCATAGGGTTATTGTGAGGATAACTTGAGAAGGTACCAGGCATACACCTGAGATACACAGGAATTGATCAATACGAGTTATCTATTTTTTGCTATCTATTATTCTTTATGGCAGAGCTTATTCAATGGATTAGAGTGATGCTGTCACAAAAAAAAGCAGGGATGGGGTGGGAATTTCATGAGCATCCTTAGCAACTCCCAGGAAAACAAGAGCCCAGGAAGGAAGATGGAAAGAGCAGACATCTCCCTGGAGCAGCTCTAATTCATCCCAGGCTGAATGGAAACTTAAAAGGTAGGGCCCAAGACGCTCAAAAGGGCTTCTCATTGTTTATCATGTCTTCTCAGAACCTGAAAGCACAATGTCTTTCTGCTCTGGCTCGGTCCATATTCCACTTGGCAAGCTGCAGTGGGCCCTGCCCCTAGGTTGAAGTGCTGGTGAAGAAGCCTTGACAGAGCCTTGCTAACTCCTGCTTGAAGGGGATGGGTGGAGGGTTTACCACAATGCCTGGTGGGCTGAGGTGAGGTGAGACGAGACTTCTGCCTTTTGATTGCCTGTCTTTTGGGAGAGGCTCAGAGAGGTCTCACTGTGCACAGAAAAGGGGAACAGCAAATTGCTTCCGCTCATAAGATGCTCACAGATTGGTGGACAATAGATTGGTTTAACTTTATACATGCAGTTTTGTGCCTGAAGTTTAACGAAAGACATTGAGGGTGAACTTCATAAAGAAATTCTATAGGAGACTATGTCAGAAGTGGTTGATTTCCTTCCTATGTTTGCCTTTGCAAAGACTCTTGCCTTCATCAAATAAGAGCAATGGTAAGTTTTGTATAGGCATGGGAAAGATGTGGAAAGAATGATAGAGAATCTTACATAGGATGCAGTATTAGAGCTGGACTAATCTTACATAGAATGCAGTGTTAGAGCTGGACTGTCACTTGGATAGCACCAAGTCTGATTCCCAATTCTTTAGGTAAACAGACTGAGGCCAGAGAGAAGTGACTTGCCTAAGGTCACCTGGCTAATTAGTGCTAGTTTACAGCACAGTTGGGAAAGTTCACCTTTTGACACAGTTGTCTTTCTATAAGCTGCTAATGAGACAATTTTGTTGCATTATTTTTGAACAAAAAAGATCACAGATGTTCTTCCATGGACAGAGCATAGCCAATTGGAGGAGTGCAGTAGGACACCCAGGTTCCAGATGGGAGCTCAGTGGCCTCCTGGAGAAGAGGGAGGTGCTGTAGAACTCTCTGGAGGGAGGCTGTCTAGGGTACATATTAGGGTGGGTCAGTTACCTCTACTTGAGGTCTTTTCCTACTGTGGCCCTTTCTAGGATTCAGTGGAAAAACACTTTTTTTTTTCCCCTGCTGGTCTTTGGCTCTTATTATTTGATTTTCTTTAAAAGCTTTAGATAAGCAAGACCAGCAGTTGAAGGCTGGATGTTTTTGTCCTTGTTCAGCCTGAAGGCTGTGTGCAGTTCTGACAGTTAACCTCATAAATTAAGGCTCTTCAAGAAAACCATGCCAATTTTTGTCCAACTTGGCAATTCTTGCGATTTAATATTTTCTCAGGGAGGCTTCATTTTGTACAGAATGAGAGAGATTGAGACCCAGGAGTACTCTATTTCTCCTCCTTTTAGTGATTTATTTTGGCCTTCAAAGGACAGGGGCAGTTGCATGTGGCTGCCCAGGTTGTGCACTGCACAACTCCAGGGTTATGACCCTCAGATGTGAATGGAGTCTGAGATGCTGCCATTTTAGCAGCCTCTGAGCCTCACCAGTGTCTAGGATACCACACCTGCCTCTGCTCTTTTTGGAGTTTTAGCTCTAGCTCTTCCATGCTCTCCCACAGTCTCATGCTGTTTTCTGGCTTCCAGGGGGCCCCAAACCTGGGGTCATCTATTCTGGGTAGCACTCATGAACCACGCTCACCTTTACTCCTTTGTCCTGTCCAAATGCTCTTATTCTGGATGTGGCATAACTACTAGGAGCATAGGCTTTTATAAGGACACATCTGGAGATCAATGACAACCTGAAAAAAAAAATTATTCACGGTGTTGGGGAGAGGAGCACTTTGGGAACAGAGGGACTTTTGGAGGAAACCCTCAAGCTATCCAAATTAGGATCACTGTCCCTGCTCCCTCTACTTGGTGAGCTTTAGTGAGAAGGATAGTTGCCCAATTAGTCCCCAAACACCCCTTTCTGTTTTCGCATCCTTCCACTTGAGGACAGGGCTTCTCCTTTAGCTATCCTGGACCCCACCTAATTCTGAGTTAGGGCCCTGCTTCTTTCTCATGAAAATGAACTTGGATACAGACCTTTCCCCTTTCTTCCCTCCAGGACAGCTGAGAAAGGATGACTTTTTCAAAAGAAACTTTTGTGGTGCTTGTGTTGGTAGGTAATGAAAGACACAGGCACCTTCCTATTGTTTGTTTTTTTCTTAAAAATTGTATAAGCATGGAAAAGAACAAGAATCCAGGAATAAAGAGGACTAAAAAGTTGGTTAAGAGAAACAGTTGTCTAGAAAATATCAGCTAAAGGAAACCACTAAAAAGGAACCTACAGTTAAGCATTCAGTTTCTGTGTCCAGAGAGGAGGCATCATGAGTATGTAGCTATAATTGAAGGAAGAAAATTTGTTTGGAAAGAAAGGGTTTTTCTACAATTCCAATGGCAAAAAATACATCTAAGGGGTAGATTTTTGAAAATACTTTAATGTGATTTTTTTTTTCTTTCTGAGTTTGACTTTCTCCTCACTCAGCTAAGGATATCCATCCACCTGTAGGTATGTTAGGAATGTTATAAAGGAATGCAAAGAGAATGTACAGAGTAATGTTCAGCTTCTGATATATGAAATATTTAATAGAATGCAGTAAAACTGTAGGCTTGAAAACCAGGCATTTTTGTTTCAGAAAAGATTTACTACATTAATCTAGGTTCTATTTAACAAATCAAGGGCTAAGCCTGTAAGATTCATAGCTTAGAGTTCTCCTAATATGTAAGAGAAAGAGAGCACACTTATTCGAGAGGATTTAGAGCATAGGTTTTTTCAAGGTGTAGAAAATATCCCTTTGTTTGCAATGAGATTTAGCCACAGGTTGGAAGGGAAGAATGACCTGTGGCACTGCTTCTCAGTGTCGTCCCCAGACCAGTAGTATCAGTATCGCTTGGGAATTTGCTAGACATGCAAATGCCCCGGTTTCACATCGGACTTATTGAAGCAGAAACCCTGGAGATAGGGCTCAGCAATCTATTTTTTTCTTTTTAACAAGTCCTTTGGGTGATTGTGATGCACACTGAAATTTGAAAAGCACTAGTGAAAACCTCACCCCTTCCAGTGCAGGGCATATGGGAGGATGGGGGAGAGGTAGAGTAGGAAAGAGGTATGATTGCTATATGTCCCTCTTTTTCTCTTCTCTGAGCTTAAGCCAAGAAGGGGATGAGTTTTAGAGGAGTGAGGGCAACCCAGAGGCGGCTCTTCCACCCATGTTCCTTAGTTGGAACTCATCCATTCAGCTGGCCTATACCAGCTGAGGATGACACCAGACCCAAAAAGAATTTGGTGTTGCTGTATGGTCAGGCTGAGAAGCTTTGAATTTTCCATTTTTCTAAGTCTTTCTTAAGTCCCTTGTGGTATAGACAGGTCTCAGACTTAGCTGAGGGTCCAGCTAGGGAATTTATCCATAGGAGTGACTTTATCAAAGGGTATAGTGGTTTTGAGAAAAGGTTGCAGAGCATATTTTTCCAGGTCAAGGCAGATGGGAGGAGCAGTCAGAATTTCAAGGGTTCTCTAGCCTCAGGGAGGGCTGAGGGGTTCTCTAATTAACCAGGTTGGTACAGGGCTCTTGCCAAGCAGAAAGAAGATGACACCAGCCATAGGGTGGACAAGTGACATTGGCTGGGGGTCCAGTAGAGCCAGAGGACACTATCCTCCCCTTAATCAAACAGTACTATGAACCACATACTTTATTCCATGCAATAAAGTGACATTTTAGAGGGGAGGAAGAGCTAGTGAACACTTTAATTTTCCCCACAGAGACTACCTAAAATAACTATTTAAATTATCTGTGTGGGCTAAGTTTTAACCAAATAGGACCTGTACTTCTCTCCTCATTCATTCCACACTCAGCACCCTGAAAAATGAGGAGGTACTAGCAAGACTAGACCTGTACCTCAGAGTTATGATGTGCATTAAATTTGTAGCCACACTACACATGAAATTTAATATCCAAAGATTCAGACTTCAAAATACTGGCTCCACAAGTCACTTAACCTCTCTGTGTCTTATCTCCATCTCACCTGTAAAATGGGGTTGGTAATACCTCTTTCATGCATTGTTTTGATGGTTACAGGGAGGGAGAGAGAAAGGGCTTTGTAAATGTCAAGGAACTCTCCTAATATCAAAATTTTTATAATAAAAGAATATAGAACCATACATCAGAGTGTTTGATAATAGTATTTTGATAAACAGCCTTCAAAAAGTTAACTTTAAATATTAACTTATGATTCAACTGCTTATTATATAGTGTCATTTGGGTGATGTATATGTATCCTATAGTGAATGCCCTCCTCTTTCCCTAAATTCATTTCTCCTTCTACTGGATATAGAACCAGTTCTTTGAGAAAACTGCTTCTTTCCCATGCCAATCACAGCCCTTGGCCATGCAGGGTAGGGAATGTTAACCCATGCCAGGCAATCTAAGACCTTACCCATGATATTCTACTAACAGGTTGGTGGAAAAGAGTTATTTTTTCTCTGATTGTTCAGCTTTAAATCAGAGCTGCTATAGCCCATCCCCAGTAGGAGAGAATGAAACCAACGCACAGGCAGATACAAGCGAATAGGCAGAGAAGAGTGGCCCTGAGAGAAGCTCATGTCCCCAGTGCCAGTTATTCCCAAGATCAAATCACCCCTCTCTTTCCCAGCTATAGTTAATATATCCCCTTTTAAATTTGAATGAGGTTTCTGTAACTTGCAATGAAAAATATGTGTAATATATGCATCTCAAACTCATTAGTGCAAAATGAAACTCATCTGTCCCCAGTCTGGCCCTGCTCTTTTATTTCATTTGCATTGATGACACCATCACTGATCGCATTTTCCAGGCCAGATGCCTGGGTTTCATTGTGGACTCTGTCATATACCTTGCCCTCTCCCCCCCTGCCTTTTGAATTTGATCAGTTTTCTTTACTCCACCCTGGTTCAGGCCACCATTATCTCTCCCCTGGATTACTGCAATGGCTTTGTAACTAGTGTCCCTGCCATTAGTCCTGTCTGCTCTATTCCATTCTCCCCTCTCCAGCAAGAGGGATCTAAGATGAAATTTATCATGTGACTAATGGGCCTCTGCCCCAGACATTGGGCCTTTATTATGCATTGTGAATTTCTAGGAGGCTTTACTAGATTTAACATCTTGCTAATAGATTTGACCACAGGCTTTATATTCGTGAAATATTTCATGGGGATAATTTTCTGCTGAACACAACCAGGGAAATATTCTAGAAGATTTCAAGGGCAACAGTTTACACTGTCACCTCTACTTTAAAAAAGTTCTGCATTAGAATTCTTAAAGTTCTTTAGAATGTGTCATCTTAATAATAATGTCTGACATTTATTGAATTCTTATTATAGACCAGGCAATGCTAAATATTTCACATGCATTATGTTATATAACCTCCAAAACAGCCCTCGAGGTGCTATTACTACCTGCATTTCATAGATGAGGAATAGGAGCTTAGGTTAATTTGCACAAATTCATGCAGGTGATAAATGAGACAGTTGGGATATGGAACTAGGATTTCTTGATTCTAAAGCCTGTACATTTAACTAGCCAGTATTTTTCAAGTCATATTTTTTATAGTCCTCGGGTTCTGCAGATATACCTCAGAAGCAGCTACTACAGAATAAACCATGGGGAGAAGGTGATGAAGGGAGACAGACTCTGAAGTTAAGAGTTCCTCAGGGTTGCTTCAACTGGAGCATCCAAACCTTTATCTCTTTTATAATTGAGGGTTATGCAGAAAGTTTTTCTTGGACAAATGGTTGTAACATGTTGGGAACTACTGCCTGACTCAATACTGATATTTAAGGGAAATTTTCTCTGTCAGGAATCCTTTCTTTCCCATTTTTCTAATTCCTGAGTCTCATTTCCATAAAGACACAGAAGGAGCATTTGACTGACCTCTAGAGTGAGCTCATTCAGCTTGCGTCATTTGTAGTCCCTATTTATGAAACCAAAGGCTGCACAAAGTTTACTTAGCTGTCTTTTGAAGTACATGAAATACCGAGGGGTGGGTGTAATGGAACACTCCATCTAAGCCCACCTGTTTCTTATTTCAGATGTTAGATTTAGGAAATTGAATGTCAGGATGGGATATTGAGTGATTTCAGGAGACTGGATCTTAAAAACATAAAGTGAAATGAAAGGAAATACAAACTGAGTAGAAGAGTTTTCAAAGGGCAGGTTCCTTAAGCATCTCAATAAATTAGTTGAGAATGTGATTCAGCATGAAATCCGTTTCATCTCAGACATCTATCCTCGAGCTGCAGACTGGCTGGCATAGATTTCTGCCATCTGGCCTGGTTCCTTTTCTTCCTATCCTTGTTCTCCCAACTTAGACACCATCTTGTTTCCTGCCACTCAGGAGCAATCTGCCTAAACATGTATTTATGCACCAGCCCCAGTACTTTCCCATCCATGATATAAGCCTCCTGTACTGCTTGCTGAGGATTTCTACTTTATTTCTGCATCCTACCTGGGGGCTAGGTCTAAGCCAGGACTCTTTTTTTCTAATCCTGGTGGTTAATACTGTTGGATTTCAGTGAAGACTCAGCTGTTCCTCATTCAGGTCATCTTAGTGATTACATGAATTCTAAGGGATCTACTCTTAAGCTTTTAAACTATGGCCTTGAGGAAGCTGTTCTGATTTATTATTGTTTAAGTGATTGTTAAATTAATTAATGCTACTAAGGAATTAATTATCTTTGATTGGGGGAGTTTTGTGCATAAGACCCCTTAATGTGGGGGAATTAGACCATGGATTTGAAACTTAGGAAGAAGATTATATTAGGTGACCTCCGGGATTGCAACTATTTCGATATATGCATTTGAAAACCAAGTAGGAGGCCACTATTTGGTACCCTTCAATTCACAGATGGCAGGGTAAGGCAGACTTAAACCCAGAATTTCACCTGGTCATAGCTATACAGTATGGATGCAAGTAAGAGACTGAGCCAGGTAAGGAGAGGGTAAGGAGAGGTGATAGGTGGGAGAAATGTTACCAGCTCCCCCCTCCCCACCCCCACCATGTGTTTGTGCATGGAGTTACTTATATTATTGCGAAGTGTTAGCTATTTTAATGTGATACAGTGATGAAAAGTACTCTCGGTGGAAATTGCTTGTTATTGTTTAGATTATTTTATAAAGAAAAGTTTCTCGAAAGACCTGAAGAGACCCCAGGACCAAGAGTATCTGATGAGTGGTGGTAGTACCTCTAACTTTGGTGTCTTTCTTGGTTGAAATAAAATTGAAAAATGTCATACACCCAAAAACGTGACTTAAAATTAATTCAACTTAGCACCCTTTTTCCTTAGGGATTCCTAAATCCTAGATTTCAGCCTTTTAAAAGTTACTGCAAAGATCATCAGGGATAAAAATAGTCATATTTAAACCCATAAGAGAACATTAATTTAAATTATGATAATATGACCTATTAAAGAGATGCACTTTGGTCTCCCACCAGACCAGGCTAAAATAAATCAATTTTTGTTAATCTTTTGGTGGAGAAAATAGAAGTTATTTTCACTAGTGGTCAGAAATTAAAAATAAGTGAAACTGGCTACAATATATTGCCTTCCTCTTTAATGGTGTTTACACAGAGAGTGGATCATCTCTGCCATTTTTTCAGGCTTGCTACATTTCTTTAAGCTCAGCGTTTGAATGAAAATTGATCAAAAGCATCACAAATTTCGAGAAATATCAAGCAGATTCCTGCTCACATCAGGAGGAGCATAGAGAACATGACACAGGTGTTCATGGCTGTAGAGGGAAGAATACATAATAGTAGGTAGCATCTGTTCCTATTGGAGCTGATAATAGAGCAAGACAAATACTTTACTTGAAAACTCAGACCTGGCAGGGCGTGGTAGCTCATACCTGTAATCCCAGCACTTTGGGAGGCCGAGGCGGGTGAATCACAAGGTCAGGAGTTCAAGACCAGCCTGGCCAACATGGTGGAATCCCATCTCTACTAAAAATACAAAAATTAGCTGGGCCTGATGGCAGGCACCTGTAATTCCAGCTACTCAGGAGGCTGAGGTAGGAGAATCACTTGAACTGTGAGGGGTGGAGGTTGCAATGAGCTGAGATCATGACACTGCACTCCAGCCTGGGGACAGAGTGAGACTCCATCTCAAAAAAAAAGCCAGGCGTGGTGGTGTGTGCCTATAACCCCAGCTATTTGGGAGGCTGAGGCAGGAGAAGAGCTTGAACCCACGAGGCAGAGGTTGTAGTGAGCTGAGATCACGCCACTACACTCCAGCCTGGGCAACAGAAAAAGACTGTCTCAAAAAAAAAAAAAAAAAAAAAGAAAGAAAAAGAAAACTCAGACCTGACCAACACCTAAACCACCCTCTTATCTGTAACAGCATCTTCACAGGAAATTGGCCTCCATCCAAACCCCTCCTATCTTGCCTTTGAGTTCAACAAATTCATGGTGTTCTAAGTAGGGAACTGAAGATCAGGGTTGGACTACCTCTATCATGGTTAACAAAATTTCAAGATGTCAAACAATTTGAGGAGAATTCAAAGCAAAAAACAAAACAAAAAACTTTAAGATTGGGGTGGGGGTAGACACTAGAGAATGAATAAATGAATGCATTATCCCCAGGTGCTAAGATCACAGAAATGTCTTAGAAATAACAGATGACAACACATGAACATAACCAGTATATCCAACAGTTTTGGCTAATTGGAATGCAAATGCAAAAATGTTGTGTTTCCAATCATTATAGCTGAATTCTATTGAACTTAGTTTTTATTCATTCATTCTATATTTAGTGAGAACTCACTGTGATTTAGGTGCTGGGTATACAGCGATAAATAAAATCCTTGTTCTCATGGAGCTTGCACTGTTGTAGATAAGAGTTTTCCTTACAGTCTGATTCTATACTTTTCCAGATACTTTTATTTTGAAGCAATATGATCTAAGGATCTCTTTGTTTTGGGTTATTCTGTATGCTGTACTTAATGCTAGGTAGAGTGGCAAAGTGTTAGTTATACAACACTAGTGCAAACAGATATGGAGGCACATTTTTGGCTTTGGAATATAGACAGCAGGGCAAGCAACTGGGACAAAGAGCATGGATGTAAAATAAGTAGGACAAGAGGACGAGATTAAAAGCACAGGACAACAGGACAGTAGTAGATCTGAGGCTCCTGAGCACCAGGAACTAGTAGCTGAAACCAAGTGAGACACCTAGAGTTGGTTGGGTTGTGGGAGAAGGCAGAGGCTTGATACTCAAGGCTTATTAAGAAGTTACTGAGGCAGAATCTGTCAGGGAACTTGGAGGAAGGCATAAATAATGAATACAATTCAGGTGTGTGGGTCAGCAGCAAGCACCAGTGAACACCAGGGTCAAGAGCTAGCTCAGGTGTCTTGAGAAAATATAGCCAGAGATAAGTGGAAACAGAAAGACAAGAATAAATCCAGTGAGAGGCCCAGAGGTAGCTGATTGAATGGACCACTAGGAGGTGGGAACCAGTGGGTGGGGCAAGTGAGATGAGGCTTATAGGAGTCAGCAGTAATCACAGGAGAAGGTTGCAGGTGTCAAGGTGGGAAAACCTAAGTTGGAACTGGCAGGTGCTTCTGCAAACAGGATGAGCATTGAGACTGAGAAATCTGAAGCAAAGAGGGAAAATTGTGAGATGGGAAGGAAGGTGGGAATCTGGGTGGGGGCCTGATCTGGAAGTTCAAAGGCCTTTTAACAGGAGGAGTAGGGTAGTTTGAGGAGAGTTGGCAGCTGGCTCTTTTGGGGTTGGAAAACCTTGGTTGAAAATGGCAGTTGACTTTGAAACAAAAAAGAAATTTTTGGGGGCTATCTCAGAACACCTAGGTTCCCCTCACTGGGGGACAGTCCTTCTCTTGAAGGACCCCATTGCATGGAAAAGGAAGCTGACATTTGTGAGCACGACTGTGCTTCAGACTGCATTAAAGACATTGTATAGACAAATAATAGTGATGGGTATTTTAATACATAGCTTTACTGCTTCCACTCTACCTTTTCTTCAGAAAACAGAGAAAATTATTGTTTTAACACATGAGTCAGGATTGGGACTACCAGGGTGGTGGTATGGAGGAGCTTACTGGACCCTTTCTCCAACCAAAGCAGCATGTAACTGATAAAAATTACATATATGAAAAAGCCATTTGAAGTCTCTGGAAATTGTTCTTAGAGCATACAATGAATAAAGAAATGTTCAAGAAAATCTACCAAATCTCAACAGGAACAGTGAGTCTGTGATGTTTGAACTAGAACTTATGCCCATCCTCCCCTTCCCCAGCCCCACGTGACAGAAACTCCACTATGGGTGCTTTCCTTTGGGCAGATGCAGCCAAGAAGATGTGCGCTTTCTTCCTGCAGCTCCCAGTTTAGGGCTATTGGTGCATTCTTGGGGACAGGCTGCCAGTGTCTCTTACATGCTCTCCACCCTCCCAGTCCATGTCATATAAGCACTACTTTAGACAGGTGCTGCTGAGAGGATTGGTGCTACCATCTCTCACCCAGCTGCCACGTATAGGGCAGGAGCTATGTTCTAGGCATTGCAGGCCAAGAATACTGGGGGCCCAAGTGCTCTCACCCCAGCCTGCTTGTGGGAGGAAGGCTTCATCCCAGCAGGGGAAAGCCTATAAAATGAGGGACTACTACCCTCCACCCCTCCTCCCCTATGCACCACTCCTAGAGCAATGGTGTCACTCCAGGAGAAGTGAGCTACCGTCCTCTCCCCAGCTCCACTAAAGTGGTACAGATGTTCTGCCTAGGAAAAGAGGCAGGATTTAAGGACAGCTAACCCACAACTCTGCTTGAGGGGACTCACTTTATTCGGAGCAAAGTATGGAGAAGTTCACCCATAACAGTTTTGTGGAAGACAGTATCTTGGTAGCGAGTAATTAAGAACGGTTGGTAGTTCTGTGATACTACTAGCAGAGAAGGAGATAACCAAGGAGAACCCTCCTCCTAGGTCACATCCCCGGAGGTCCAAAATACTGTGCACATGTGCCTGGTACCCACTCAGGAGCAATCAAAGTGGAATGTGGAGTAGACTCGAAAGCATTACCCAAGCCATACGCAGATCCTTCAGCAAAATGTGGAGCCTGACTGGGTTAAGGGATTTAGACATAACCCATGACCAGCAGTGATTATGGAATAGGCTACTCTGAACCAGGGGTGACTCCTAGGAATCTACACTTCAAAATAAAATTATAGTCTTCCCTGGTGGTCTGAAAGACTGTATGCATACCCAAAGCTGTGACTGTTCAGGAGGAAATGGTGAAGGAACCTTTGAGCTGCTAGCCCCTGGTTGAACATGGGACAAAACTGGAAACTTCCTGAACTGTGAAAACAATCTCGCAGCCACATATGCTTTTAATAGTAAAGAGCACATATCTCACTTACTAGCGGGGCTTAAGTTCAACTTCTGACTAAAAAGTAGTTTATACGGATCCAAGGGTGACCCCTAAAAACAGGGGAGAAAGTTAAAAGCAAGGAAAATAATCTGAACAGGAAGCTCAGAGGCTGCAAACTATGTGTGTTGTGGGGAATGAGCTTCAAGAATTAGTCTGGCCAAGTCAAAAAAAAAAGAAAAAATGACCAAACAATAGCATACCCCAAGGTAGGGGTGGGGATCAGTATCTAGTTACTACAGTATATTATCTAAAAGTACAATCTTCAACAAAAAATTAGAGATATGCAAAAAACCCCCAAGAACAACATGAAAGTGTGATACATACACAGGAAAAAAAAAGTTAATAATAGAAACTGCCTTTGAGGGGGCCAGGTGATGAACTTAGTCAACAAAGACTTCAAGGCAACCACTATAAAAATGATCAAAGAAGTAAAAGAAACTATGTTTAAAGATTTAGAGGAAGGTATGATAACAATGACTTATCAAATAAAGGCTATAAAAAACAAATTTTCAAGAACCAAATATAAATTCTGGAGTTGAAATGTACCACAATTGAAATAAAATATTTCAATAAATAACAAAAATAAATAAATGTTTACTAAAGGGACTCAACACAATATTTGAGTGGATGAAGGAACCACCAGAGAACTCAGATTATGCAATCTGAGAAACAAAGTAAAAATAATAAAGAAAAACAGTTTCAGAGAAATACAAAATACCATTTAGTGCAGCAATATACATGTAATACCAGGAGAGGAGAGAAAGGAGTAGAAAAATATTCAAAGAAATCATGGTTGAAAACTTTCCAAATTTGATTAACACTAATATACACAACCAAGAAACTGAATGAACTCCAAGCAGGACAAAGGCAAAGAAATCCACACCCAGAAACATCATAGTCAAAAAGTTGAAAATGAAAAATCCAGACAGAAAAATTTTGAAAGCAGCATGAAAATCTCATGTACAAGAAAACCATAATAAGCTTAACAGTGAACATCACATCAGAAACAATGAAAGCCAAAAGGCAGTGTGACAATGTTTTCAAAGTGCTGAAAGAAAATAACATGAAAAACTATCAAGAATCCTGTGTCCAGCAAAACTATTTTTTAAAAATGAAGATGAAATCAAGTCTTGGATAAACAGAAATTGAGAAAATTTATTGCTGTCAGAGCTGCCTTATAAGAAATACTAAAGGAAGTTCTTCAGGATGAAAGGAAGTGACACCTGTCATTTGAATCTCCATGAAAAAACAAAGAGCTCTGATAAAAGTAATTCTGTAGGTGATGATAAAAGACAGCGTTATTGCAAATTAGCTCTTCTTCTGACTTAAAACAGTATCTAAAATTGTATTGTTGGAACTATAACATACAGAAACAATATATTTGATAACACCACAAAGGAAGGAGTGAGAAGGAAACTAATTGGCATTAGGAAATGACATCAGATGATAATTAAAATCCACAAGAAGTGAAGATAACCACAATTGGCAAATAAGAAGTTTCACATATATTTTTAAAAAACAATAAATATGTTTGTGTTCTCATTTCTTCTCTTAGATTTCATAAAAGACGTACTGTGTAAAAAGCAGTAATTACAATGTATTGTTAGGTTTGTAACATCTGTAGGCCTTAATATATTAAGAATAATAGCACAAAAAAGGGAGAGGGAATGAAGCAATATAGGAAAAGTTTTAATATCTTACTGGAATTAAGTTAGTTTTAATTTGAAGTAGATACTGATAAGATGTGTATTATAATGCCCTAGGGCACCACTAAGAAAATAACTGAAAATATATAGCTAAGAATCATTAAAGGAATTTAAATTGTATACTAGGAAATAATCACTTGAGACAAAGGAGATGGTAGAAGAGAAACGTATAAACAATAGAAACATATAAACAATGTAGCCATGAGACATGTAGAAAGCACAAGCCAAAGTGGTAATTGGCACTCCAAACATATCAATAATATTAAATGTAAATATATTAAACAATCTAATCAAAAGAAAGAGATTATCAGATTTGATAAAAACAAAACATGACCCAGGAGTTACTTTAGATTCAAAGATATAAACAGGTTGAAAGTAAAAGAATGGAAAAAGATATACCATGCAAATATTAACCATAAGAGCTATGGAGTGACTATACTACTATCAGATAAATAGACTATAAGATCAACTATGAGTCAGATCACATCATTTCTCTGGTCAGAATCCTCTAGTAGCTTCCCTTTCCTGAGAAGAAAATCCAAACATTTAACCAGCAACTACTCCCCACTCCCTAATCTCATGTCATCATTCTCTGAAAATGCCTTTACTCTGTCCTACATTTTGATCTTAGGTTGCATAGGTATAGAATTCTTGGTTGGAAATTAGTTTTCCTCACTTGAAGACACTGCTCCATTTTTCCCTTCGGAAGCTTTAAGGATGGTTAGAGTATGCTCTTCAGCCCTAGTACTCTGAAATGTCATGAAAATGTACCAAAGTTTAGATTACTTTTCTTTCATTGTGCTGAACACTCAATGGAATGGGCCCTTTTGATTTGTAAATGTGTGTGTGTGTGTGTGTGTGTGTGTGTGTGTGTGTGTGTGATCTCTCTTCTTCCTGTTTGCTCTGTTCTCCCTGTCTGGGATAACTTATTTACTAACTGTTTACTAGAGTGGGTTGCTTCTGTAAATGACGACTACCACCCATTGTGTGTTGAGTTTTATTAGTTTTTGCATTAGGCTATTTTCCTGTCTTATCCCAAAGTCTGGAAGGAACTTACTATAACCCTAAGTGCTCTAAACCTATTCTCTTGATCATCACTTGGCAGACAATTGCACTTAATAAATACTTAACAATTGCCAAATGAACATTAGTTACTAGGGACTCAGAGGTGACCACATGATGACCCGAAACATGACTAACTATACATATGCCACTGCTCTAGGTGAGTTGGATGGGCCTGCATCTTCTCCCCCTGTCCTCACTTTCTTTGTTGGCTTCTGTGCTTCCTGACTCTGACTCTCATAAGTCTGATATTAGCTTCACTTGTGTCTTGACGCCACCTTACTCACCAATTCTCCCAAACTGTCTCCAGCCCCGTTCTCTGTGCATGTAACCTCTTGGTTCTTTTGGTCCTAAAATTCCTAAGATTAATAACCACCTAAAATATTATTAATTTACCTTTATTGGGCAAAACTAGATATCATAATCCTCACTTTTCATATGAGGCAAGCTGAAGATTGTCTGGATAAAAAGAATGAGGCTCTCAATCTAGGTCTTAGTCTAAAGTCTCATGCTTTTTCAACCTTGCATGCTGCCTCTCAGTCTGCACTGTGTTATCAGGAGCAAATGAAGCAAGCAGTGTTAGAATCTGCACAGATTTTGGTTATGTTAATGGGCATGCAAACTCTCCCTAAAGTTTTCTCATTTTAAAAGCTGATTTCTGCAGCTAGAGTGATAAACACAGAAGAATGGATTTCTGTTAATAAGAATTAAGATGAGGTTATAGTTATGGGGATGGTGGGGTCAGGGGAGGTGGGCTGGATTACTGAGGATAGAGAGCCTTTTGTCAGTGCCATTAAAGAACCTCATCCAGGCACTGCTTGGACAAGCAGAGCCAGGTGATAACAGCAGAGTTTTTGTTGGCATTGCTTCTCCCACAGATGACAAAGCCAAGGACAATGTGTTCCAGCTTCAGGGGGAAGCAAGTTGTGCATTAGGAGGTAAATCTGTGGCTTGCAAAAGGTTGAATAAGATGCCTCTTAAAAAAAGCTCAGCAATCAGCTAAATTTAGCGTGGAGAGCACCATCCAGGCCAAGAATATTCTTTGGCCTTTGGCCCATAGCATTTTCATTTGACGGGGAATTGGATGCATTTTCATTTCCTCTAAGCTTTTCTCTTAACTCTCAGTACCTTCGCCTTTGGAGGCAGGAGTCTATGTGCTAATAGTTGGCTGAGGCCCCGTAGCTGATTCATGTTGGGTTAGGCTGTTGTTACATTGCTATAAAGAAATACCTGGGACTGGGTAATTCATAAAGAAAAGGGCTTTAATTGGCTCACAGTTCTGCAGGCTGTATAGAAAGCATAGCACCAGCATCTGCTTCTGGTGAGGTCTCAGGAAGCTTCCAATTATGGCAGAAGGCAAAGAAAAAGCAAGCATGTCACATGGTGTGAGTGGGAGCAAGAGAGAGACCTGGGACTATGTGGGGGAGGCACCACACTCTTTTAAACGGCCAGATTTCATGAGAAGGAATGCACTATCACAAGGACAGCACCAAGGGGATGGTGCTGAACCATTCATGAGAAATCCCATCACCTCCCACTAGGTCCCACCTCCAACACTGGGGATTACATTTCAACATGAAATTTGGTGGGGACATATATTCAAACTATATCACATGTCTCTGCTCATAATGACAGTTAAGGATGGTCTTGCTGCCCATTTTCAGTGAGAGATTGGGTGTTCACTGTGATGTTTTCATATAATGTTTTTCGTATGTCATCCATCTGGAGGAGGCTTTCTTGACTCTCCCCTCTCTTCTCATTATCCTTTGCATTCCCTTCTCTGAACTTTATTCTTTTTCTTTGAAGTTGTTTTCAAAGACAAGAAGATCTTTGGCAATGCGAGCCCTTTGCAGACCATAGTGAATGCCTGTTCATCTGCTCATTGATTCAGTGCCACTACTGCATGTCAAATGCCACAGCTTCCAGGGTACCCAGCTTTCTACCTACCATCTGATTTCCCAGAATGTAGAAATGGACATCCAAATCTGTGGAAAATTCAGAAACAATAAGATAGAGTAAAATAAAGTGTGAACTCTGGCATCAGCAGGTCCAAGTTCCAATACCAACTTTGCTATTTACTTGACATGTTATTTACCTCTCTGAGCATGATTTTTCTTGTCTGTGAGAAGGTGATAATAACTTGTAAGTTCTTTTCTGGCTTAAAAGGGGTACTGATAGGTATTCTTTAAGTGTCGGTTTTCTTCTCTCTTTTCTTACAAGGAACAACTGGTTTGGCTTTGTTACTCTTTACTCTGCCCTCTGATATTGCATATTCAGCAGAACCGATCTCTGGGTCTTACAGTCACCTAGCTGGCTCATTGTGAACTCTAGGGAGAGTACCTGGTTTTTGTGCCTGGGTACTTCCACTTCCCTTTCACCAGGTTTATTGGTTTGTTCCTCAGTAGACCTGAGTAGTTTTTTATCCCAACCATTAATCTGGTTTGGATTCACTCATTCATTAAACAAATATTTATTGAGCACTTCTATATGCCAACACTGTGTTAAGTGCTGGAGACATATTCTCTGTCCTCAAGGAACCTACAGTTTAGTGAAGATAGACAAGTCAATGCACAACTACAATGGTGTCAACTAATGCCCGTGTAGGTGAAGACACACATAGAAAGGGTACTGAAACCAACCTGGGGACTCACCAAGGGCTTTGTGCAGGAAGAGACATTTATACTGACATTCAAGAATGAGTAGGGACTGGCCAGGCAGAGACATGGATGGGTAGAGTAGGTGTGAAGGATGATGAAAGTGAAGGCAGTGCATATATGTGCAGCATCAAATAGGCTGGGCCTCCGCAGAGATTGAGCTGACTGTGGCACTGTCTACCTACCAGCACCTGGGAGGCTGCTGGGATTGGAGTTATTTTAGGGAGACAGATCATCAAGGATGGCTGGCAAGACTTGTCTCTTTGTGAAGTATTTTACAAAATACTTAATGACTTTTCAGAGACTCTTTGGAAATAGTCCCAGTGTGATATTTCTGTTGGTCAATGGGTAGGTGTTTGCATGCATTTATGTGTGGAGAGGTGCAAAGTGTAGGGGAAAGTCACTTCTCTCTTAATTTTTGTGCCATGATGTTAAATGTATTTTCTTTGTGGGACATTTATTCTTGAGGTCCAATCAGTCACTTTGAAGAACAAAGTGTGACATCTTCAGCCCAGCTGGGCCCATGTGCCCATGCCTGCCTGAGTTGCTCAAGCCCTCTCATTGGTCCTAAACGAGACACTGCTACTTTAGACAGGGTTTAGGTTGGCTGATGGGGAGGAGGAACATATAACATGTGAATCAGGGTCATGGATCCCTGCCCAGGCATAAGGGGCAGGCATAAGTGTGTGTGTGTGTGTGTGTGTGTGTGTGTGTGTGTGTGTGTGTGTGTTGCAGGTGAGTTGGAAGCCACATCTCAAAGCTGGCTGCTGCTTTTCACCTTCCTTCTCTGATGCTCCTGCCCTGCCTATCTACCACATGTGGGGAACACCTAGGTGCTTCATTACAAAGTCTGATTGCTTAGCTAGTTAGAGTCAAAGTGACTCAGTGCTTTCAAGTCTATCTTGGTTGGAAGAGAGCTTCTACCTGAAATTTGCAGCCATAATCTCAGAGAAGGAGGATTCTCTCTATTCTCCTGTTCTCCTTTCCTTGCTCCCCAGTTGCCTTTGGATACAATACAAGGTAGTCCTGTTTGATCTAGATTCTTCAGATCCTGAATTGGTCAGAAATGCTAATCTTGTCCAGCAATTCTGGTAGATCCCAAGGCTGATATCTCTGTATAACCCTAGATACAATGCCTTCTAGCATCTTCATCTATTTGTATCTTTGAATCTGAATTCCCTTATTGCCAGAGGATAATCTCTGAGATTCTTTAGTTTATTTTGCGTGTGATGGGAAGTAAGGTGACTTCTTCAAGATTCCAGAGCTAGTTGAGAGCAAGGTCACTAATTGTTAACCCAGTACTCTTTCCACTAAATATCAACAACTTTATCTACATTCTCTATGTATGGCCCCGAAGTGTGGGAGAGAACTGATGTGCTAGACATTGTGCTAAGGGATTTACACATATTTCCCTCATCCATTCATCATCCTAGCTCCTGAAATAGGGCCATTGACCCTGATAGTAAAAGAAGGGAACGGATTCAGAGAGGGAAGCAACTTATTCACAGATGGAGCTGGAGTTTGAAGCAAGGTCCAAAGCTTATGTTTTTACTTCGAGGCAACTTGGCTTCAACCTGCTACACTTGAGCCTAAGAACTGAAGGGCTTTGGGCTGGGATCAGGAGTTACTGCCCCTTGCTGTTAACACTGCCGAAATTCAAGCCTGGGTCTGACTCTACATTTTCTTCTTTATCCTCTATAGTAAGGCCTTTAGGACTGAATTTCTCCACTTAGACACCTTTTTACTACAATTCCGATTGAGTCTAATGGCTGCCTTTGCTAGCTTCTGGGGAGTGTATTTTTTTCTTATTCAGCCATCTTGATTCTTCCCACAAATGTGCAATGTAATGTTCTTGACTTTTGGGTTGGTTAAAGAATATCTGCGGACTATGGGAAGAATAATTTTAAAATGCAAAGCTTACTAGTGTCAGAGATGGATCTCAAATTATTTCAAGTAGGCTCTCATACCTTATTGAAGAGACGTCTTGACTTGGAAGCTCGTAGATAACACATTTAATTGCTACTTGGAGCTCCTGCTTATATTACCAGCAGAGGCACTTGGAAAAGGTGCTTGTGACTGAAATTGTGGTTTCTCTTTTTTATATATAAAACCTTCTCTCTCCAGTTTCTGAATTACTATTTGCAGTGATACATTCAATTCTTTTGACATGCATTGATCTCCCACAGGATGCGGATCACTACAGTGAAGACAGTCAGTTTGTGCTATCTTGACTTGTTTTTGATCTTGGAAGTTAGAGAATTGAAATGCAGAGCTTAAAGGGGCGAGGATGGAGTTTGCCAGGATAGGTATTGTCTTAGATGGAAGGTATTTATGTCATGTTTTCCGTCTCTTCATGAGCTTGATGTGCTTTGTCTGTGATTGCCAGGGTGTTCCAAAAGGCTTTTACAATGTCTCTGATTTTTCTCAAGTCACCACAGCATTGCAATAATGTGCTCCTTCTTCACATCCAGTCTCAGCTGCCTCCCTCTTTCATGACTGCATTTTACAGAAATCCCAAGTCTTAGTATCTTGGCTTCTTGGTACATAGGACACATGGCCGGGCAACTCCCCAGGGCCAGGCTCTATCTGGTGTCAGGAGAAGACAGCCCAGTGTGCTTGCTTTCCAGCTCCTGCCCAGATGTCTCCGACATTTCCCAGCCAACAGCTCTCTGGCTTTTTACTGAATCACTGACCCACTGTGAGCTCTCACATTATCTCTTCCTCCCAGGCCAGCTGTGGATTGATTTTTTTTTTTCAGGAGAGAAGCTCCTAAGACATAGATAGGGCCAGAAGGGCCCTGGGAAAGAGTGCAGCTCATTTGCCCACTTGATTTCTCAGGAGTGGGCCAGAGATGAGATTTAAGGAGAGGATAGGGCGGAAGGCAACACTGCTCCTGGACACCCGCTTTAGAATGAGAACTGTTTTTCAGGCAGCTTTTGAAACTTTCCTGAAACTTTCCATAATGCAAGGGGACACTGTAAGAGGCTATGGATATTCTAGCAAGAAAAGAGCAAGAGGACTGTTCAGTGAGTAAACTTGCTCTGGTGGAAATCAGCTTTAGACTTTTCTTCATGGAAGTGCCTTTCTAACTCCCTTACTATACCCCTTTTGTCTCCTTCCCTCCACTTTGCTGGCTTTATGTAGTACCCCTTCCTGATTTCTGCCTGATTGGATAACTTTAACCTGACACTGGCTGGGTGCTCCCTGCAATGAGTCGTGTGGTGATTTGCAGCTATGGGCTTTAGTATGCCTCATAGTGATGTTATTCTCCAGGTTCTGAGGGTCTGGGAAGCAGAGTTTATCTTGGTCTGGGGGTTAAATTAAACCTCGATGTGTTGCTGCCTTATGTTAAAGATCACAAATGCTCCAAGGTATGGCGACAGCTGATCCCTTGTGTAATAATGAGCAATGTTTCATAGTGTGTAGTTGTAAATGATCCTGTAGGAGCTTTAGTTCTTTGTTGTATATAGGCAAACTCTGACCTAGTACAAAATGCCAGGACTGGCATCCAGCCTAAATTATTATGATGAAAAAGCTGGTGGGGCTGGCCAGACTATCTCTCTTTTCAATCTCACCTCTTGCAGCTGCTCAGTAAATGGCAAGCATGATGGAAAAATATAGGTCCAGTCTTACTTCTCTGGAACCCATTTATTTAGTAGGAAGGATTCTAGAATTAGGTGGTTTTTCTCCTCTTCATTTTTCCTGACAGATTTTTCTCTCCCTGTCATACTGTAAGATTGATTTCTATCTTTAAAATGTGTTCATGGGGATGAGGGCTTTTCAGGGAAAGCATTACAAATCACCCACGACATCAGGCATCCTGGGAAGAAGCAGAGCTGTTTCTACAGTGCTCATTTTTCAGAGAGCGCAGTGCCACCTGCCATCTTCCTGTATTTCCAATTTCGCATTGTCCTTGTCTGTTTGAAGATGGGGTATGTGAATTCCAGATGAGCTTGTGCTGGCTTTTAAAATTCACATGGTTTGAGGAGAAGGAGCAGTGACAGCTGATTGATGTAGAAATGGCTTAGGAAGCCAGGCTGAATCAGAAATCCTGATTCCAATGAAATCCCCCTCTTGGCTGAGTGCTGGCTTGTCACCACTGAGACAGTATTTCAAAGTGATTTCACAGGTGTTAGTTCATTGACTCCTCCCACCATCTCATGAAAGAGGCAGGGGAGGAAAGAGTAAGTCCACAGGACAGAAGAGGAAGCTGAGAGTTTGAATGTTTTTGTGACTTAGACTTGGCCCAAGGCAAGTTAGCAGTGAAACTGGCATAAGAACCTAATTCTTTTTCCACTGTACCTGGAGGGTCTAAGGCCTAGGGAAACATTTTTTAAAGTCTCTAAAAAGCTCCTTAGGTGGCATAGTATCAAGGAACTTGGAAGGGATCAGAAAATTAACCTCAAATTATCTGGATTTTAAAGCATCAATCAATGTACCTTTTTATTAAGTTCCTAGCATTGTATTTGGCCTACAGTAGGTACTTAGAGATGAGAGCTTATTCATTATTTCTTTTTTATTTTATTTTATTTTATTATTATTATACTTTAAGTTTTAGGGTACATGTGCACAATGTGCAGGTTAATTACATATGTATACATGTGCCATGCTGGTGTGCTGCACCCAGTAACTTGTCATTTAACATTAGGTATATCTCCTAATGCTATCCCTCCCTCCTCCCCCAACCCCACAACAGGCCCCAGAGTGTGATATTCCCCTTCCTGTGTCCATGTGTTCTCATCGTTCAATACCCACCTATGAGCGAGAACATGTGGTGTTTGGTTTTTTGTCCTTGCGATAGTTTACTGAGAATGATGATTTCCAGTTTCATCCATGTCCCTACAAAGGACATGAACTCATCCTTTTTTATGGCTGCATAGTATTCCGTGGTGTATATGTGCCACATTTTCTTAATCCAGTCTATCATTGTTGGACATTTGGGTTGGTTGCAAGTCTTTGCTATTGTGAGTAGTGCCGCAATAAACATACGTGTGCATGTGTCTTTATAGCAGCATGATTTATAGTCCTTTGGGTATATACCCAGTAATGGAATGGCTGGGTCAAATGGTATTTCTAGTTCTAGATCCCTGAGGAATCGCCACACTGACTTCCACAATGGTTGAACTAGTTTACAGTCCCACCAACAGTGTAAAAGGGTTCCTATTTCTCCACATCCTCTCCAGCACCTGTTGTTTCCTGACTTTTTAATGATCACCATTCTAACTGGTGTGAGATGATATCTCATTGTGGTTTTGATTTGCATTTCTCTGATGGCCAGTGATGGTGAGCATTTTTTCATGTGTTTTTTGGCTGCATAAATGTCTTCTTTTGAGAAGTGTCTGTTCATGTCCTTTGCCCACTTTTTGATGGGGTTGTTTGTTTTTTTCTCATAAATTTGTTTGAGTTCATTGTAGATTCTGGATATTAGCCCTTTGTCAGATGAGTAGGTTGTGAAAATTTTCTCCCATTTTGTAGGTTGCCTGTTCACTCTGATGGTAGTTTCTTTTGCTGTGCAGAAGCTCTTTAGTTTAATTAGATCCCATTTGTCAATTTTGGCTTTTGTTGCCATTGCTTTTGGTGTTTGTCATGAAGTTGTTGCCCATGCCTATGTCCTGAATGGTAATGCCTAGGTTTTCTTCTAGGGTTTTTATGGTTTTAGGTCTAACATTTAAGTCTTTAATCCATCTTGAATTAATTTTTGTATAAGGTGTAAGGAAGGGATCCAGTTTCAGCTTTCTACATATGGCTAGCCAGTTTTCCCAGCACCATGTGTTAAATAGGGAACCCTTTCCCCATTGCTGGTTTTTCTCAGGTTTGTCAAAGATCAGATAGTTGTAGATATGCGGCATTATTTCTGAGGGCTCTGTTCTGTTCCATTGATCTGTATCTCTGTTTTGGTACCAGTACCATGCTGCTTTGGTTACTGTAGCCTTGTAGTATAGTTTGAAGTCAGGTAGCGTGATGCCTCCAGCTTTGTTCTTTTGGATTAGGATTGACTTGGTGATATGGGCTCTTTTTTGGTTCCATATGAACTTTAAAGTAGTTTTTTCCAATTCTGGGAAGAAAGTCATTGGTAGCTTGATGGGGATGGCACTGAATCTATAAATTAACTTGGGCAGTATGGCTATTTTCACAATATTTATTCTTCCTACTCATGAGCATGGAATGTTCTTCCATTTCTTTGTATCCTCTTTTATTTCATTGAGCAGTGGTTTGTAGTTCTCCTTGAAGAGGTTCTTCACATCCCTTGTAAGCTGGATTCCTAGGTATTTTATTCTCTTTGAAGCAATTGTGAATGGGAGTTCACTCATGATTTGGCTCTCTGTCTGTTATTGGTGTATAAGAATGCTTGTGATTTTTGTACATCGATTTTGTATCCTGAGATTTTGCTGAAGTTGCTTATCAGCTTAAGGAGATTTTGGGCTGAGACAATGGGGTTTTCTAGATATCCAATCATGTCATCTGCAAACAGGGACAATTTGACTTCTTCTTTTCCTAATTGAATACCCTTTATTTCCTTCTCCTGCCTGATTGCCCTGGCCAGAACTTCCAACACTATGTTGAATAGGAGTGGTGAGAGAGGGCATCCCTGTCTTGTGCCAGTTTTCAAAGGGAATGCTTCCCGTTTTTGCCCATTCAGTATGATACTGGCTGTGGGTTTGTCATAGATAGCTCTTATTATTTTGAGATACGTCCCATCAATACCTAATTTATTGAGAGTTTTTAGCATGAAGGGTTTTTGAATTTTGTCAAAGGCCTTTTCTGCATCTATTGAGAAAACCATGTGGTTTTTGTCTTTGGTTCTGTTTATATCTGGATTACATTTATTGATTTGTGTATATTGAACCAGCCTTGCATACCAGGGATGAAGCCCACTTGATCATAGTGGATAAGCTTTTTGCTGTGCTGCTGGATTCGGTTTGCCAGTATTTTATTGAGGATTTTTGCATCAATGTTCATCAAGGATATTGGTCTAAAATTCTCTTTTTTGGTTGTGTCTCTGCCAGGCTTTGGTATCAGGATGATGCTGGCCTCATAAAATGAGTTAGGGAGGATTCCCTTTTTTTCTATTGATTGGAATAGTTTCAGAAGGAATGGTACCAGTTCCTCCTTGTACCTCTGGTAGAATTCGGCTGTGAATCCATCTGGTCCTGGACTCTCTATGGTTTGTAAGCTATTGATTATTGCCACAATTTCAGAACCTGTTATTGGTCTATTAGGAGATTCAACTTCTTCCTGGTTTAGTCTTGGGAGGATGTATGTGTCAAGGAATTTATCCATTTCTTCTAGATTTTCTAGTTTATTTGCATAGAGGTGTTTGTAGTATTCTCTGATGGTAGTTTGTATTTCTGTGGGATCGGTGGTGATATCCCCTTTATCATTTTTTATTGTGTCTATTTGATTCTTCTCTCTTTTCTTCTTTATTAGTCTTGCTAGCAGTCTATCAATTTTGTTGATCCTTTCAAAAAACCAGCTCCTGGATTCATTAATTTTTTGAAGGTTTTTTTATGTCTCTATTTCCTTCAGTTCTGCTCTGATTTTAGTTATTTCTTGCCTTCTGCTAGCTTTTGAATGTGTTTGCTCTTGCTTTTCTAGTTCTTTTAATTGTGATGTTAGGGTGTCAATTTTGGATCTTTCCTGCTTTCTCTTGTGGGCATTTAGTGCTATAAATTTCCCTGTACACACTGCTTTGAATGTGTCCCAGAGATTCTGGTATGTTGTGTCTTTGTTCTCGTTGGTTTCAAAGAACATCTTTGTTTCTGCCTTCATTTCGTTATGTACCGTACCCATTCAGGAGCAGGTTGTTCAGTTTCCATGTAGTTGAGCGGTTTTGAGTGAGATTCTTAATCCTGAGTTCTAGTTTGATTGCACTGTGGTCTGAGAGACAGTTTGTTATAATTTCTGTTCTTTTACATTTGCTGAGGAGAGCTTTACTTCCAACTATGTGGTCAATTTTGGAATAGGTGTGGTGCTGAAAAGAATGTATATTCTGTTGATTTGGGGTGGAGAGTTCTGTAGATGTCTATTAGGTCCGCTTGGTGCAGAGCTGAGTTCAATTCCTGGGTATCCTTGTTAACTTTCTGTCTCGTTGATCTGTCTAATATTGACAGTGGGGTGTTAAAGTCTCCCATTATTATTGTGTGGGAGTCTAAGTCTCTTTGTAGGTCACTCAGGACTTGCTTTATGAATCTGGGTGCTCCTGTATTGGGTGTATATATATTTAGTATAGTTAGCTCTTCTTGTTGAATTGATCCCTTTACCATTATGTAATGGCCTTGTCTCTTTTGATCTTTGTTGGTTTAAAGTCTGTTTTATCAGAGACTAGGATTGCAACCCCTGCCTTTTTTTGTTTTCCATTTGCTTGGTAGATCTTCCTCCATCCTTTTATTTTGAGCCTATGTGTGTCTCTGCACGTGAGATGGGTTTCCTGAATACAGCACACTGATGGGTCTTGACTCTTTATCCAATTTGCCAGTCTGTGTCTTTTAATTGGTGCATTTAGTCCATTTACAGTTAAAGTTAATATTGTTATGTGTGAATTTGGTCCTGTCATTATGAATGTTAGCTGGTTATTTTGCTCATTAGTTGATGCAGTTTCTTCCTAGCCTCGATGGTCTTTACAATTTGGCATGATTTTGCAGTGGCTGGTACCGGTCGTTCCTTTCCATGTTTAGTGCTTCCTTCAGGAGCTCTTTTAGGCCAGGCCTGGTGGTAACAAAATCTCTCAGCATTTGCTTGTCTGTAAAGTATTTTATTTCTCCTTCACTTATGAAGCTTAGTTTGGCTGGATATGACATTCTGGGTTGAAAATTCTTTTCTTGAAGAATGTTGAATATTGGCCCCCACTCTCTTCTGGCTTGTAGAGTTTCTGCCGAGAGATCCACTGTTAGTCTGATGGGCTTCCCTTTGTGGGTAACCCGACCTTTCTCTCTGGCTGCCCTTAACATTTTTCCTTCATTTCAACTTTGGTGAATCTGACAATTATGTGTCTTGGAGTTTCTCTTCTCGAGGAGTATCTTTGTGGCGTTCTCTGTATTTCCTGAATCTGAATGTTGGCCTGCCTTGCTAGATTGGGGAAGTTCTCCTGGATAATATCCTGCAGAGTGTTTTCCAACTTGGTTCCATTCTCCCCATCACTTTCAGGTACACCAATCAGACGTAGATTTGGTCTTTTCACATAGTCCCATATTTCTTGGAGGCTTTGTTCATTTCTTTTTATTCTTTTTTCTCTAAACTTCCCTTCTCGCTTCATTTCATTTATTTCATCTTCCATCACTGATACCCTTTCTTCCAGTTGATTGCATCAGCTCCTGAGGCTTCTGCATTCTTCACGTAGTTCTCAAGCCTTGGCTTTCAGCTCCATCAGCTCCTTTAAGCACTTCTCTGTATTGGTTATTCTAGTTATACATTCATCTAAATTTTTTTCAAAGTTTTCAACTTCTTTGCCTTTGGTTTGAATTTCCTCCTATAGCTCGGAGTAGTTTGATCATCTGAAGCCTTCTTCTCTCAACTTGTCAAAGTCATTCTCCATCCAGCTTTGTTCCATTGCTGGTGAGGAGCTGCATTCCTTTGGAGGAGGAGAGGTGCTCTGCTTTCTAGAGTTTCCAGTTTTTCTGCTCTGTTTTTTCCCCATCTTTGTGGTTTTATCTACTTTTGGTCTTTGATGATGGTGATGTACAGATGGGTTTTTGGTGTGGATGTCCTTTCTATTTGTTAGTTTTCCTTCCAACAGACAGGAGCCTCAGCTGCAAGTCTGTTGGAGTTTGTTAGAGGTCCACTCCAGACCCTGTTTGCCTGGGTACCAGCAGCAGTGGCTGCAGAATAGCGGATTTTTGTGAACTGCGAATGCTGCTGTCTGATCGTTCCTCTGGAAGTTTTGTCTCAGAGGAGTACCTGGCCGTGTGAGGTGTCAGTCTGCTCCTAATGGGGGGTGCCTCCCAGTTAGGCTGCTTGGGGGTCAGGGGTCAGGGACCCACTTGAGGAGGCAGTCTGCCCATTCTCAGATCTCCAGCTGCATGCTGGGAGAACCACTGCTCTGTTCAAAGCTGTCAGACAGGGACATTTATGTCTGCAGAGGTTACTGCTGTCTTTTTGTTTGTCTGTGCCCTGCCCCCAGAGGTGGAGCCTACAGAGGCAGGCAGGCCTCCTTGAGCTGTGGTGGGCTCCACCCAGTTCGAGCTTCCCAGCTGCTTTGTTTACCTAAGCAAGCCTGGGCAATGGCGGGCGCCCCTCCACCAGCCTCGCTGCCGCCTTGCAGTTTGATTTCAGACTGCTGTACTAGCAATCAATGAGACTCCATGGACGTAGGACCCTCCAAGCCAGGTGCGGGATATAATCTCCTGGTGTGCCATTTTTTAAGCCTGTTGGAAAAGCGCAGTATTAGGGTGGGAGTGACCTGATTTTCCAGGTACCGTCTGTCACCCCTTTCTTTGACTAGGAAAGGGAACTCCCTGATCCCTTGTGCTTCCCGAGTGAGGCAATGCCTCGCCCTGCTTCGGCTGGCACATGGTGTGCTGCACCCACTGTCCTGCACCCACTGTCTGTCACTCCCTAGTGAGATGAACCCGGTACCTCAGATGGAAATGCAGAAATCACCCGTCTTCTGCGTCGCTGATGCTGGGAGCTGTAGACTGGAGCTCTTCCTATTCAGCCATCTTGGCTGCCCTCATTATTTGAATAAATATTCACTAAGTCCCAAGCTCTGAGAAAATAAAGCTTTCTGTTAAGTATAGAATATAGAATATACTGTATATATAGTATAGAATATATATGTATATATAATATAGGGCTTTTCTGTATTCTATACTGACAATTTTCTTTTTTTGTTTTTCATTTTTAACTTCTTTTTACATTATTATTATACTTCTAGGGTACATGTGTCCAACGTGCAGGTTTGATACATAGGTATACATGTGCCATGTTGGTTTGCTGAACACATCAACTCATCATTTACTCTAGGTATTTCTCCTAATGCTATCCCTCCCCCAGCCCCCCACTCCCCAACAGGCCCCGCTGTGTGATGTCCCCCACCCTGTGTCCAGGCGTTCTCATTGTTCAATTCCCACCTATGAGTGAGAGCATGCAGTGTTTCATTTTCTGTCCTTGTGATAGTTTGCTGAGAATGATGGTTTCCAGCTTCATCCATGTCCCTGCAAAGGACATGAACTCATCCCTTTTTTATGGCTGCATAGAATTCCATGGTGTATGTGTGCCACATTTTCTTAATCAAGTCTATCATTGATGGACATTTGGGTTGGTTCCAAGTCTTTGCTATTGTGAATATTGCCACAATAAACATACGTGTGCATGTGTCTTTATAGTAGCATGATTCGTAATCCTTTGGGTATATACCCAGTAATGGGATGGCTGGGTCAAATGGTAATTCTAGTTCTAGATCCTTGAGGAATCTCCACACTGTCTTCCACAATGGTTGAACTAATTTACACTGCCACCAACAGTGTAAAAGCGTTCGTATTTCCTCCACATCCTCTCCAGCATCTGTTGTTTCCTGAGTTTTTAGTGATTGCCATTCTAACTGGTATGAGATGCTATCTCACTGTGGTTTTGATTTGCATTTCTCTGATGACCAGTGATGATGAGCATTTTTTCATGGTCTGTTGGCTGCATAGCTGTCTTCTTTTGAGAAGTGTCTGTTCCTACCCTTTGTCCGCTTTTTGATGGGGTTATTTGTTTTTTTCTTGTAAATTTGTTTGAGTTCTTTGTAGATTCTGGATATTAGCCCTTTGTCAGATGGGCAGATTGCAAAAATTTTCTTCAATTCTGTAGGTTGCCTGTTCACTCTGATGGTAGTTTCTTTTGCTGTGCAGAAGCTCTTTAGTTTAATTAGATCCCATTTGTCTATTTTGGCTTTTGTTGCCATTGCTTTTGGTGTTTGTCATGAAGTCCTTGCCCATGCCTATGTTCTGAATGGTATTGCCTAGGTTTTCTTCTAGGGTTTTTATGGTTTTAGGTCTAACATTTAAGTCTTTAATCCATCTTGAATTAATTTTTGTATAAAGTGTAAGGAAGGGATCCAGTTTCAGCTCTCTACATATGGCTAGCCCTATACTGGCAATTTTCAAGATGAGAAGGCACACCTATAGAGGCTTAGCCCAGGAGCTTTGATGGAGACCTCAGTGGCAATGACCAAAAAAAAACAAAAACAAAACAAAAAAAAAACCAAAACGGGTGCAAAATTAGGCCCAAGTGCCTGTATCTCAGCCTCAAACCTCTTGTCCTTTTGATCCCATAGGTTTTTAACTGACTTTACAGGGATTTTTTTTTTTTTTTGCCTTGTCCATTGAAATTCTGGAAACCTCTATCAGGAAAGGAAACTGACATTTCCCAGCAGACATTTTCCACAGCTTTGACTGTGGCCTATGCCAGGCATGGCCTGAGACATATTACTGCAAGCATTGTACAGGAGAAATTGTTGGGACTTGATTTTCTTTTTCATGTCTCTCAACTTTTTTTAACTTTCTCATAGGCTTTTGACTCGTTATTTTCTGACTTGGGATAGACATATTCTAATCCACCACGTGGCTCAGTTAGGACTTTTTGCTTTCGATTTTCTTGATGACCTCATTCTTTGGCCACGATGTCTTCTTGCTGAGTATCTGGATCTGCTCTTTGGGCTTTCTGATGCCAGATTGCTTGTTTGGTTTCACAGTCCTAACTCCATCTGCAGTTTTGGCTTCTGGGCCCCTCTGGCCTCTGGCCCTATAACCTGAACCATGTTTTATTTTCAGTTTTGTTATGTTTTCCTGTCTTTTATCTGACAACTCTTACTGACCATTGTTCATGTAGAGGAGAAGTTATTTTGTAAATTTATAGCAGAAAAAATTATCAAAATACTAATTGATGAGGTTAAAACAAATCTTTTTGGTTAAACTCCTCAGTTTATTGATGAGAAAACAGGCTCCAAGAGGTTTAGTGAATTGTATCAACTGACAGAGAGAGTTAGTGACTGACTCAAATGTAGAAGCCAGGTCTCCTGACTTCTAGCTTGGTGTATTTTTTTTTTACTTTTGACTTAAAAAATTGTTTTTGATTGACAAATACAATTGTATATATTTATCATGTACAATATAATGTTTTGAAATATGTATACATTGTGGTATAGCCAAATTGAGCTAATAAGATATGCATTACCTGACATACTGGTCATTTTTTGTGGTATGAACACTTAAAATCTACTCTCCTGGCAACTGGCAAGAATATACTACATTGTAATTATAGTCACCATGTCATGCAGGAGTTATTACCCTTACCTGACTGAAATCAGGAATCCTTTAATCAACATCTCTTGGTGTTGTGTCCCCCCACAGTGTCCCCATGGTGTTACCTATTTTCCTTTTTTTAATTAGATTTTTTTCATTTTTAATTTTTGTGCATATATAGTAGGTGTATATGGGGTGCTTGAGATATTTTGATACAGGCATACAATGTGTAATAATCACATCAGGGTAAATGGGGTATCCATCATCTTAAGCATTTTTCCTTTCTTTGTGTTACAAACAATCCAATTATGCACTTTTAGTTATTTTAAAATGTACAATAAATTGTCAACTTTAGTCCCTCTATTGTGCCATCAAATATTAGATCTTATTCATTCCATCTAACTATATTTTTGTACCCATTAACCGTCCCCAATCCCCAACCCCCAACCCCCAACCCCCACTACCCTTCCCAGTCTCTGGTCACCATCCTTCTACACTCTAGCTCAATGAGTGAGTTCAGTTGTTTTAATTTTTAGCTCCTATAAATGAGTGAGAACATGCAAATTTGTCTTTTTTGCCTGACAAAATGTCTTTTAGTCCCATTAGTGTTGTTGTAAA
This sequence comes from Homo sapiens, assembly GCF_000001405.40. Classification (NCBI taxonomy): domain Eukaryota; kingdom Metazoa; phylum Chordata; class Mammalia; order Primates; family Hominidae; genus Homo; species Homo sapiens. The sequence continues at coordinate 109,087,392 of NC_000011.10, forward strand.
TAACAGAATCTATTTTTTTGACTGAATAGTTCTCCATTGTGTATATGTACCACATTTTCTTTATTCATTCATCTGTTGATGGATACTTAGGTAGCTTCCAAATCTTGGCTGTTGTAAACAGTGCTGCAGTAAATGTGGGAAGGTAGATATCTCTTAAACATACTGATTTGCTTTCTTTTGGATATATACCTAGCAGTGCGATTGCTGGATCATATAGTAGCTCTATTTTTAGTTCTTGAGGAACCTCCACGCTGTTCTCCATAGTGACTGTACTAATTTACATTCCCAGCAACTGCATATGAGGGTTCCCTTTTGTCCACATCCTCACCAGCATTTGTTCTTCCCGGTCTTTTGGATATAATCCATTTTAACTGGGGTGAGATGATATCTCATTGTAGTTTTGATTTGCATTTCTCTGATGATCAATGATGCCGAGTACCTTTTCATATACCTGTTTCCCATTTGTATGTCTTCTTTTGAGAAGTGTCTATTCAAATCTTTTGCCCACTTTTTGAGTTATTAGCTTTTTCTCCTGTTGAATTATTTGAGCTCCTTATATATTCTGGTTATTAATCCCTTGTCAATGACTTTTCTTAAATTTGTAAAAATATCTGAGCTCCACTCACAGAAGAAAAGGGCCAGAAGAAACCTCTTTCCTAATGGAATGAATACACTTTCTTCTCTGTCTCTTGCCCTTCTTCATTCATACTTAAGCTCCTAAAAAAGGAGAGGAAGTTCAAATACAAGTGCTTTGATTGCCTAATACTTCTAGTCTCCCAAGAGCCAATGCATGGGCCGTTAGTAAAAAGCATTATAGTTGGTTTCCACAGAGAAGCATAAGGTGATTCCCATGGTAACCATGACCAGAATGGAAATGGCAGTTTGTATTGCATCTGGGAGCTAATTGTTGGCTATACAGGACCACAGACCACAGATGTAATGGGCTTTCTGGGACCCATGGTCTCAGAATGGTGACGCTGGATGCCAGCCAAAGTTTGTAAGTGAATGAGCTTGAACAAACTTGATTTGTTAAGCTGTACAGATGAGAATCAGAATTGGAGAAATTCAGATTTGAGATTTGGCCAGTATTTTGTCTAGGAGCTAGGCCAGGTTTGGTGTTGCCTATGATGTGAAGGCTTCATCAGTGGCTAAGGGATAAAGCTGTACCCTGGAGCACCTAACCTGGGCAGGCTAGATGCTGTTCCCTGCTGTCTGTTCTGTAAGTCACATAGTGCCCTCTTGGGTTCTATCTTAGAGCAGAGCCCACACTATGACCTCCATGTGACCCTGTAGTCTTGCTGTAGGGACAGCTAAGTCTCAGGCATAACTTGAGGTAAAGGTCACTTCAAGGGGTGATGGTCTTGTGTTGTTGCTGCCACGGGCCTCATTCACCTCAGAAAGTCTCCATTTCTTCCTGGTAACTACTGCAAATCCAGAAATTCCCAGCTAGGGGTAGAGGTTGCCGAAAATAAGAGGAGCAGCAGTGGTTTTGGACAATGTCAGATATGTGACTATGTTGTCTTGGCTGCTTTCTTCTCCAGGTGCTCCTGTGCCATTTCTCTCCCACCTTCCTGTGTTCACCATCCTGTCCCCCCTCCCCGTACTGCTGTGGTTTCTCATGTTCTACTTCCTTTCCTCTCTGTCAGGAAAGGAGGCTGACATTTTCCAGCAGACATTTCCAAAATTTTAGTGGCTTATGACACACATGGCCTGATTCACACACAGTCAGTGTGTTGGAGGAGGAGTTGTAGAAATGGCTGCAATGGTTTAGGGTTACAAAAAAAGAAATTCTGGCCCTGGATTATAATGATAAAACACTTTTCTTCAATGTTAAGCACTCAACACACCTTCACTGTGGCTTACAATGAGCCATGATGCAAAGACGAATCATGGACAGTTTCCCAGAGCAGGTGGTACCTGAGCTACATCTTAGAGGACGAGTGAACTGAGGAAACAGCAGAAGGGAATTCCAGCCAGCAGGGTCAGCAAGAACAGTACTGTGGAGGGAAGAAGGAGTGTCTGAGCAGGGCTGTCACAAGCATTTGGTTTGCTAGAGCATAAAATGAATCAAAGCAGGAGACTGAGGTAGGAGTACAGGAATCCTTTTTTATCATGTACTACCTGAACTATGTATTCTTTTATTATTGCTGTTTGAGGGACATTAATGAAAGCTACGTTTTGATTATCCATGTTAAGGGAGCTTCAGATAGTGAAAAATAATGGATAATTTTCAACTCACTTAAATCTCGCCAGGGAAAGCAGCCAGGAGAGAGCACAGGTTGTAAAGCCTGTTTTCTTCCCCTTTTGTCAGGGGATCCACTCGAAAGACATGAAGCTCTGTCTGTAACATTTTCTTTACTCTCGTCAAGGTCAGCTCTTCCTCTCTCTTCCTCTGGGGCCTCCCTGAGGGCCCCACCTTCCTCCCTCCAGCTGCCTATGATGCAGAGTGGGTGGGAAGGCCTTGGGCTGGGACTAGGATCTAGATGTACCCCTAATTTTGTTGAATGGTGTGACCTCAGGGAAGTGACTTCTCTCTGAGCTTGAGTTTCTTCATTTGTAAAATAAAGATATCTATATTTTGTGAAATCCTACTGGGGAACTTTGCCCCACTCTGAATGGCCATAGCTCCAGAGATGGTGCCAGGTAGGGCTTTCCTGAATTGTATTTTTATTTCAGGTTTTAAAAATTCAGGGTGCTAGGGAAGCTATGTTGTCCTTCCTGTTTCATATTTTAAAGTTTGGATATTTTGTGGTATCATTTCAGGTAAAGAATAAAAATTGCTCCGTTATCCTCACTCCATCCCTCTTTCTTCATAGTACAACCTAATTGGAATCTATATTAACCATGTCTTCTTGTCTGGGTATACAGGGTACAAAAGGGAGATTTTTTTACAAGGAAATAGGTTGGTATAAAATGGAATGTTATCCTGAAGACATTCCCAAGGTCAAAGACACATTATCTCTTAGGGGTTGTGAGGGGAGCCATTCAGTATATTAATAATACAGTAGCTATCATCGATCAGACATAGTGTTCTGTTATGTACATTATCTCTAACCTTTATACAAACCTTGCAAGGTACTTTTCTGTTCCTCATTTTGCAGGTGAGGAAACTGTGGCTCAGAGAGAAGTTCAGTAACGTGCCCACAGTTGCAAAACTAGGGCATGAGAAGTTGGAATGTGAACTGGATCTGTCAGGAAAGCTGGTTCTCCTCTCTTGGCTGCCCTGCCCCATCAACTAGAGAAACCTTAGTGTGCCTGACATGAACTAGACACCCTCACCTGCCTCTAAATTCTAGGGGGTGACTAAGAAACTGGGGAGTATAGAAGCTCCATCTTCATCTGGGAGACAGAGTTGCAATGATTTTTAAATAAGATTAAAGGACACAATCTCTACAGTCAGGGGCAGGTGATTGTCTATTCTGGTCCTAATATTGGGCTATTAGCCCAATTATTGCACGTTGTGTAATATGTAGCTCACTCACTTGGGTGGTGGATACTTACTGTTTCTATGCTAAGCATCTGCTTCTTTGGGAAATGGCAATTTCCAGTGGCCATATTCTTTCATGACCTCATCCCTTTGACCTCTGTTCACTAATACAAGGTTGGACACCTGAGCATTGCTGGGCCAGTCAAAGCAGTCTGCCATCTCTCCCACAGTCGAGTGGCCTATCTTTGGGAATCTGACTGAGCCTGGGCCCCAAATTTTCTTTTCCACTGTTTTAACTGGGATCAGAGAAAGCCAGTCAGTCTCTGAGGACTGGAGCTTTAAGATCTACGAGTCTGGGGCTGATGTTGCCCATGTTTTCCTCCACCCTGGTCCACACTGAGACGGAGGAATGATGCAGGGGCACAGAGACACAGACACAGGAGAGTGGGTGGGATCCTGATTGTGCATGTGTTTGAATTGCTAATGAGGTCCAGATATTCTTGGCTTAAGTTCTACGAGACACCTCAGTATACTTTTTTTTGCCTAAACATTTTGGACTGAAACTTTGTCACTTGTAATCAAAGTAGTGCTCACTGACTCACTTTGTAACTTTATTTTATGAACTGACCTAATGACCAGATGAGTTGGGCTCCAGATAAGGTGTTCAGGTGTTTAGAGCACTGTGCTGATGAAACCAAGGGTTTGCACCACAGTGAGATGCTCTGTTCCACCTTGGCTAATTTTACTCTGTTTCTCAGCTCACTGCTACATAAATCGTCAGTTTTGTTTTTTGGACAAATTTCGGCTTTGAGACTATTCCTTTAAAAGGTAGGGAGGATTTGGTAGCAGATTTAACGTTTTTTGACCAGAATTCCAAGTCTTCAAATCATAAAATTAGTGTTCTTCATAAATCTCTGGGCTGATAAGAAAAATGCTCTGTGCTTTGTGCTCTAGTTTTGCTTCTTGCCATGGCTTCTGTTTGTTTCCCTATCTGGCTGCATTTGTTTTCTGAACTCCCAAGATTGACCTCCACCTATGGCTCTCAACCAGTTCCGTCTACACTATGATTGTAATATATTGGTAGTTTCTGTCACCTTAATACCCACTTTTTGGTTATGTTTCCCGTTCCATTCTCCATTTCTGAGCCTTGGGTCAACTGGGGCCTTGTCTGAGTTAGGACTCAGCTGTGTGTACCTTTGGTAATACAAGATACATTATTGAAAAGCATTTAAAAGAATATGATTGGGTCAGTTAAAATTCATTATCACTACTTTTGACCGTAGGTCAGTAACATCATCTTTCTTACAAAGAGCGGCTTCCATATTCATGTTTGGCTCAGTTCAACTTGCTACAAAGTCTTCTAGAAAAAAATAGAGATATCAAGGAAAGATAAGGGCCTTCTTCCACCCTCAGTTTTCTGGTAAAAAGTAGAACTTCCCTTTCAAATCATATTGCACAAAACATATTTTCATATCTCTCTTCTTCTTTTTAAATGTATTAACATTAGATTAAGAGAAAAAGGACAAGAGAAAGTAATTTTTTTAAAAAAGTACCAGTTGGTATTCTGCCAATGATATTTTTGCATGCTTCTCACACATCACTTTGAACAGCAAACTATTTCTACTATGGTTAAGAGTATTTTACTCACTACAGTTCACATTTAATTTTAAAAAGCATTAGTGCTTGAGTGAACACTGAATGGCTGTTCTGCAAAATGAAAATAAGTAGCAAATCACTTCTGGATCATGTCTAACAACACTTGGCTATGACCGCTGACAACTATCGTTGGGATGGAGGAGCTACCGTATAATGAGACTGGTTGCATGACTCTAAGAAGACTGCTCCTGTTGGCTTGAAATGCTCAATAAATGTTTGCTGAATGAGTGTAGATGGAAAGTACAGCCTTTAATTATTGAGCTTATCCCAAATTAGGTATTTGTGTGAGACTCTTTGCTGAAGGGACATGGCCCTAGGCATACACACATGCCTCCTAGTGTGGGTTCAAGGCGTCGGGGTTGCTGAATGCACTGGGCCAGTGTGGGCTTTCTCCACCTAGACTATTTATACTATTTTACCCTCATTTTGAAGTTCATAATAATGCAGTATCAGTTGCTGTTATTTTCAAGTGGTCAGAATAAGAGTAATGCTAGGGAATAAGAGCATGAGTATGAGGGAGGTGGCGGGGGAGGAGGAGTACAGGGCAGGTGACAGGCTCACAGAACAAGGCACTGCTTTAGGATGTGAATAATGGGACCTCCTCTCATGTGTCTGATATAGCAAGCAAGGACCTCTTGGCTCCCTGGCCCCAACCAATCCCTATCTAGCTTTCTCTATGGTCTTATGATTTCCCATGGCATGTCTTATTTTTCAGTTACATTGTTCTTTGGAGAATGGGGAACCTTCAAACCATTGCTCACACTTTTTTCATCTTGCGCTGTACTTACGTATACTTACTACTCTCTGTATCTTCCTAGAAATTCTATTGTTCAAAGTCCAGTTCAAAGGTCACCTTCCCTATAATGTATTCCTTGACTCCCATAGACAGAAATCCTTCCTCAGAACTCCCATGATGCTTTGTATCACTGTTATCATTAATTACATCTTGCCATTTATATAGATGGCATTATACTGTATGTGATGTCTGTGACTTGCTTTTCCTCACTATTGTTTTTGACATTCATCCACATTCATGTGTGTAGCTGTAATTCATTTGCTTCACTGCTGTAGAGTATTATGTAGTATTCACTTGCCACAATTTATCTGTTTCCTTGGTGATGAGCATGTGAGTTGTTTTCATTTTGTTGCTCTTGACACTCAACACTGCTCTGTTTTCCAGTGTACATTTGCAAGTGTATGTTGGATACGCATCAGAAAGTGGGATTGTGGTCCATAAGGTCTGCACATTTTCAGACTTAAGAGTAATATTAAATTATGTTTCAAATAAGTTAAATTCAATTATAGTCGCACCTATCCATGTATGAGGGTTCTCATTGTCCTGTATCCTCACCAAAAATTGGTACTGTCAGAGTTTAATTTTTGTATTTTTATTAATGTAAAATTAGTTTTATTGCAGTTAAAATTATATTTCTCTGATTACTGACAAGGTTGACAACTTTTTCTTATGTCTATGGTCAGTCTGTTCTTGTGTAACATGATGGGACAGTCTATTTTCCAACTGGGCTATGACTTACCAGTTGAGAGGTAGGAGATTATGAGAGATTATTGATACTAATCCTTTGACAGTTACATTTGTTGCAACTTCTATTTTCCCTAGTTTGTTGGTTTTTGTAAATTTTTGGTTTCTAAACAGCATCTTTTGCCTGATAGAAATGTCACATTTTTACATTTTACATGTATTGACTGATGCCTAATGTTTCCCTAAAATGTATAAAACCAAGCTGTATCCAGACCACCTTAGGCACATGTTATCAGGATCTCCCTGAGGGCTGTGTCACAGGCCATTGGTCACCCATATTTGGCTTAGAATAAATCTCTTCAAAATAAATAAAGTTACCTTTTAATATAGTGAAATGTACCAATTGTTTTCTTTGTTATTTTTATGTTTTGCCTAAGTTTGTAGAGATATTCTTCTCTGTTTGCTGCTAAAAGTTTAGAAGTTTTGCATTTCACAGTTAACTTTATAATCTACTTGAAACTGAATTTTGAAGAGTCAAATTTAATTTTTTATACAGACAACCAATTGTGACAATGACAATGCCAACTTTTAAATTGTTCCTCCTTTCCCACTAATCTGGAAGGCCACCTCTGACATGTTAAGTTGCTAGGTGTGAATGGCCCTCTCTCTGAGCTTTCTGCCCAGTTTGTTGGTCTATTTGTCCACTCTTGCCCCAGTGCCACACTGACTCCATGACTATGACTTTATAATACATTTTGGTATTTTGTAAGTTGAGATTTCCTCCATGTCCTTTCTCAGGATTGCATTGAACTTTTTGTTTCTATACGTATATGTTTTAAGTCCAAACTTTTCATATTCACAGAACAAAACAAATACAACTATGATTAGCATATCAATTGGAATTATATTGAAGCTACAGGTCTATTTGGAAAAATTGATATCTTATGGTATTCAGTTTTCCTGTTTATGCATATATCTCTCTATTAGACCTTTTCAGTGTCTTTCAATAATGTTTTGTAGTTTTTGTCATAAAGGTTTTACTTATTTTTTGTTTTATTCATTCCTGGGTGACTTCGCTTTTGTTGCTATAATAACGATTATTTTAAAATTACTTTTTCTCTTTTGATGTATATTGGTTTTATATTAATTTACTATGTCCTCTTATCAATTCTAATTATTTATTGTTGCTTTTGTGTTTTCTTTGTAGAGAGCATTCATTTGTAAACAATCTATTGATTCTTTCATTCAACAGACACTTATTGAGCATCCACAATGTGATGGCCATTTTCTAGGCAATATTCCAGGGAGTTAACAAAACAAAATTATCTATCCTCAGTAGCTTATGTAGACTTTTCTTTCCCCCCAATCCCTGGGCCTTTGAGTGGGAAGAGAAGGGTTAGCAGCTAGTTTGTAAGTCATCCTGTGTACCCCAGGGATGAGAGGAAAAGAGCCAAAAAGAATGAAATGGCCTGGTCAAATCTCCTTGTAATCATAATGGAGAGTCCTTACCATGGAATGCTTTGAGTAGGATATACCTGGTCCCTGGAGTTCGCCTATGGTAAGCAAACTTGTTTATAGATTTGTGAGGCATGGCCTACTGGAAAATGTCAGGATCAGTTATGTAATTTCTGATGTACACGATAGAGATATTTCATGATAGGGATTGCTCCCCTGTGTGTAAGTGATACCCAGCCTGCCTCATCAGAACGTACCTTAAATCTGGACCCCTGACCTAAGGAGTCCAGAATTAAGGAGCAAAGAAAGAGCTGGGGAGTTGTGACAGCAGTATGAGACTTCTCCATGATTTTTCTGCTTTTTGTGATTTCCTTCGTCTTTTGAATTACTAGCAAAGTTTTATACTAGGTGAGATCTCTGATCCTGGTGAGACTGATTTGACAAACTCTCACTCTGTGTCATCACTGGGGCTAGCCATATGTATGTTGCTTTTGATTCTATATAGACTATGCCTAATGTTTCTTCATTTAGAATGTTTTCTCTATGTTTTAGTAGGTATTCTTTAGCAGGCTGCAAAAATTTCCTTTTTTTTATACTTAAGAATGGGTATTAAATTTCTTTGTTTTTTTCCTCCATGTATTGAGATAATTAAATGATTTTAAAAACTATGTTGATGTGGTGAATTGTATTGTTAGGTGTTAAATCAAACTTACATTCCTTTTTTGTTTTTGAGTCAGGGTCTCGCTCTATCACCCAAGCCAAAGTGCAGTGGTCCAATCATGGTTCACTGCAACCTCAAACTCCTGGGCTCAGCAGTCCTCCTGCCTCAGCCTCCTGAGTAGCTGGGACTTACAGTTGAAGGCAACCATGCCTGGCTAAATAGATATTTTTTAAATTTTTGTAGAGATAGGGTCTTGCCATGTTGCTCAGGCTGGTCTTCAACCCTGGATAAATATTTTTTTTAAATGTTTTTGTAGAGATAGCGTTTCACCATATTGCCTAGGCTGGTCTTGAATTCCTGGCCTCAAGTGACCCTCCTGCCTCGGCCTTTCAAAGTACTGGGATTACAGCAGTGAGCCATGGTGGCCAGACTGCATTCCTTGAATAGACTCAAATTGGTCATGATGTGTATCTTTTATATACATTGTTGGATTTAGTTTGTAGTATTTTTTAAATATGTTTAGGAGGGAGATTGACTTTTTCTTTTCTTGTAAGTACTTTCCTAATTTCGATACAAGATTACATATTTTTATATATGTATTGGTGAGTATTCCTTGTTTTTATTTCCCAGAAGAGTTTTATAAAAATTGAAATTATCTATTTTTTCTTTTTTTGTGGGAAGATCTTTAGCTACTAATTTAATTTTTTTTAATGATTACAGAACTATTCAGATTTCCTATTTCTTCATGAGTCACCTATGGTAAATTGCTTTTCTTCCCTAGCAATTTGTCAATTTTACATGTTTTAAAGCTCATTGGCTAAAGTTATTATCTTTTCAATTTTCTGCTCTGTCTGTAACATGATCCCTTTTTCATTTTTGATATTGCATATTTGTGTTTTCGCTCTTTTTAAATTGATTAATCTGACCAAATATTTAATACTTTATTAGTGTTCTCAAAAAAATGTCTTTTGGATTTGTGAGTACTCTATACTGAATTTTTGTTTTCTGTATTATTTGTTTCTGTTCTTTCATTCTTTTTATTTTCTTTGGGGTTTTTCTCGTTGTCTTTTTTTTTTTTTTTTTTAAAGACATAGAGATTCATCGGAAGTATAGTTTTTTTTTTTAAAGAACTCAAGTTTCTATGACATTCCAAAGAGATAGTTGAGAAATTGCCAGGACATATGCTTATTAGATACTAGAATCTCATCTGGAAAAATTGTACTGTTTAAAAATTTTTTTCCTAAGTTAGTCAACTTTAATTTTTTAGCCTTTCTCCTCCCATAAGTGTACAGATTTATGAATGTTCTCAAATTGTTATTTTAGCATTCCACAAGTTTTAATATGTATAATTATTTTAAGTATATTTTACTTTTCATAATTCTTTATTTCACTCACGTATTAGAAATATTTTAATTTCCCATCGTAGGAGCTCAAATTATTTTGTTATTGAATTCTAATTTAATCGTGATCAGGAAATAGGCTCCTGAGATACTGATAATTTGAAATTTATTGAGACTTATGGCCTGATATTGAGACAATTTTTGTAAATATTCTCTGGATCTTGAGGATATTTCGTATTTCTTATTGTTGAACACATGGCCTATAAATGTCTATCAAATCAAGCTTCAATTTTTGTTTGTTTGACTACTAAAAATTGATAGAAGGATGTTGAAACCTTCTATTATGATGGTAGATTTATACATTCCTTGACATTATCAACTTTCATTTTATATCTTTTAGGGTTAAAGATAACCCCTAAGAGGATGCATATTATCCTTGGTTATTGACAATTTTTATTATTAAGCAACGATTCTCTTCACATATGCTTTATGTCTCAAAATTTAATTCACCAATATTATTAGTTTTGTTTTGATTTGTATTTGCCCAGTATGTCCTTTTTATCTTTATATTTTTAATGTTTCCATGTTTGTATATTTTAGATCTTTCTCTTAGAAATAACATTCATAACATTCATCTCATTTTAAAAAATTTTATCTGACAATATCTTTTAATTAATGAGTTACATTTGCACTTGTTATGATTGCTGATCTATTTGCACTTATTTTGCTGCATTAGGTTGCACTTTCTGTTTGTTCCTGGTGATCTGTGCTTCTTAATGTCACATTTCTGACCTCCTGTTTTCTTGTTCAGCTTTCCCCTCCCTATAACTTTTAGGAATATACATACCATTTATCTTCTTTTACAGGTGTTCCTTGTGGACTTGAAATCTAAAATTAATTAGTGTCTGAACTTCTTTTTGAATAATTCAAGAGTTTTTTAATTCTTTTGTCTCTGATCATCCTCCTCTGGGCTTACTTGCTATTGGTATTCATAATTTCATTTCTCTCTTTAAGAAAAAAATCTAACAAATTAAGCATGCCTACTTTTTATACAGTCAGGTTTTTCAGATTTATCTAAATCTTTACTCATTTGCTTTCCATTCTTTATTGTATCTCAAATCTTTTTGAATTTTGTCTTTCATCTTGAGGTTTATCATTTGGAAGGTAATGTTTTGAGAGCCTGCTAGTGGTAAGCTTTCACAGTTGATGTTTATCTAAAAATGTGTTTATTTTACCCTTCTTGTTGAAAGGTAACCTTGCTTAGTATATAATTGTAGGGTTATAGTTATTTTCACTCAACAAGTTGATATCTTTGGGAGGTTTGATGTCAGTCTGACTTTCATTCCTTTTAAAATTATCTCTGCTTTGGTTTTATTGGTTGTTTTTAAGATCTTCTTTTAGTCTTTCATATTCAGCAATTTTATTTTGATATTTCTATTTTTATTATTCTGTCTGGAATAATAAACTGGAGTTCTGAATCTGAAAATGGGTTTATTTCACAAATTCTCAAAATTCCTTAGCCATTTTCTCTTCAAATATTAGATCTCCATTCTTCCTACTAGCTAATTTCTGGACCATCAGTAAAACCAATGTTAGGCTCTCTCATTTTATCCTCTTTATTTTAATTTATTTTTCTTGTTTTTAAAATCTCATTTGTCCTTAATTAGGAATAAATTTTAAAAATATATTTTCCAATGTAATAATTACCTTTTCACCTTACATCTAATTAGAATCAAAATCTAATTTTAGACTTTAAGCCTAATCTGTTTCTATATCCCAGTTATAAAGTTTTAAATTTCAATAGTTACTTTTTTATTTCTAAAAGCCCTGTTTTGCTCTACTTCCAAGTTGGTTATTTGGAGTAGTCTTATTCTTATAAACTTTTAAATTCCATTTTTGATTTCTTTAAACATTTTGCACAGAGTTATTTTATATTCTGAATCAGATAATGGCAAAATCTAAAGTCCTTGGGAAAGTGGTGCTAAAACAATTTTGTTTGTTTTTTCCTCCTCGGACTCTTGCTCATGGTGTATTATTCCTTCATTTGCTTAACACTTTCTATTTTGAGCTCATTATTTGTGTGTGTGTGTGTGTGTGTGTGCCTTCCTTAGAAGCTGTGCATGTTAATCTACTTTAATGTATATGAATTAGAAAGAAAAATACCAAATCCCTTGATGCAGTCCATGTTATAAATCCATTTATACTTATACTTTCCTTTGTCTTATTCTTTCAATCTTCATGCTTATTTTTTCACTTAAAAAACTTTGGGGACTTCCCTTATATTACTAGATGATTTCTGGTAGCTGGAGCCCTTGGGAAATTCATTTGTCCATTCACACTGCTTGGTTCAATACAACACTCTGAGAGAACTTTATTCTACCAAAGACAATGACTGATTGGACTTTAAAAATAGTAACTTCTATAAATATGGCATAATATCAGGCAGCCATGTTTCTAGCTGATCAAATAAACTTTTAGCCCTACAAAAGGCTCATAATTATGAGGTAATAAACATGTAAATTTCCCTTTCTGGCATAAAACTAAAGGTCCTATAGGTTCTAAGTTAGTCCTGAGTTTTTGCATTAAGATTGCATTAATGCTGTTTATTAGAAATTACTTTCTCAGTCCCAACAAATCACGTTAAAATTCATAGTGTATGGCAGATCCTGAGTGCCCACATGAAAAGCAAGGACTCAAAGGTTAGAGACCTAAATTGAAATTAAGATTAAGATAGATGTGAGTCAATTCAACTTAGGAGTTATTGCTGGTCCTGAGTCCAAGGAAGAGGCCATTTAATGATTCATCCAAGGAACACTAAGAGTTCCAGGATATTCTCTTGGACATCTGGAAACTTGGGTTATTTTATCTGAGCATGACTGAAAATTTGGCAAATATTTTTCATACTTATCTTAGGTTGGACACATATCGACAAGATAAGATGGGTATTTGATAAGCTCTCATCTTTATCATTTATTTCTTTAAATTTCAGATTCCTGATGTATTTTTGTCACAAGATGTGGTCATGGTTGCACATGGGTTGAGAGCTCACAGTAGTTCAGTAACTAAGATGTTGCTCTAATATTGGTCTCCCTTGCAGACATTGAAAGTCCAATATGCTATCATCAATGACAGTTCATGGGAAAGTTGACGTAATAATGCTTCAATTTTTCCATTTGTAAATAGGCCATTTCAATAATAAAGTAGGGAGCACAACTGAGAAATGTTTGAAAATGTAAATAGTTTTTGTTTCAGAAAACAACCTTATTTCTCCAACACAGTAGTATTTCTTCTTTATGTAGCTAAATCTCTCTAACACGAGGCTCCCACACAAGCTATTGAGACTTCACCTAGATGGTCTCAATGGCCTTAGAGACATACATATTTCTTTTTTTTTTTTTTGCACTTTTTTGTATACTGTATTTTATTTTTTAAAATTTATTTTCTTTAATTTTTTTTACTCTTTTATTTCAGTAGGTTTTTGGGGAACAGGTGGTATTTGGTAACATGAATAAGTTCTTTATTGGTGAATTCTGAGATTTTGGTGCACATAACACTGTACCCCGTGTGTAGTCTTTTATCCCTCGCCATGCCTAACCCTTTCCCCTGAGTCTCCAGTGTCCAGTGTGTAATTCTTAGGCATTTGTGTCTCATAGCTTAGCTCCCACATAAGGGTGAGAACATAGGATGTTTGGTTTTCCATTCCTGAGTTACTTCACTTAGAATAATAGTCTCCAATTCAATCCAGGTTGCAGCGAATGTCATTATTTCCTTCCTTTTTATGGCTGAGTAGTATTCCATGGTGTGTGTCTCTCTCTGTGTGTGTGTGTGTGTGTGTGTGTGTGTGTGTGTATAAATGTGATATATATATATGTTGAATAGAAAATAAATATATATAAATGTTTTCTTTATCTACTTGTTGATTAATGGGCATTTGGGCTGGTTCAATATTTTTGCAATTGCAAATTGTGCTGCTATAATCATGTGTGTACAAGTATCTTTTTTGTATAATGACTTCTTTTCTCTAGGTAGATACCTACTAGGTACTAGATACCTAGTAATGATCCAGTAATGTAGATTGCTGGATCAAATGGTAGATCTACTTTGAGTTCTTTAAGAAACCTCCACACTGTTTTCCATAGTGGTTGTACTAGTTTACATTACCACCAGCAGTGTAAAACTGTTCCCTTTTCACCACAATCATGCCAACATCTATTATTTTTTGATTTTTTGATTATGGCCATTCTTGCAGGAATGAGGTGGTATTGCATTGTGGTTTTGATTTGCATTTCCTTAATAGTTAGTGATATTGAGCATTTTTCCACATGTTTGTTGGCCATTTGTATATCTGCTTTTGACAATTCTCTATTCATGTCCTTAGCAACATTTTTGATGGAATCGTTCATATTTTCTTGCTGATTTGTTTGAGTTCTTTGTAGATTCTGGATATTAGTCCTTTGTTGGATATATAGATTGTGAAGATTTTCTCCCACTTTGTGGGTTGTCTGTTCACTCTGCTGATTATTTCTTTTGCTGTGCTGAAGCTTTTTAGTTTAAGTCCCATCTATTTATCTTCGTTTTTGTTGCATTTGCTTTGGGTTTTTGGCCATGAAGTCTTTGCCTAAGCTAATGTCTAGAAGGAATTTCTAATGTTATCTTCTAGAATATTTATGGTTTTATGTCTTAGGTTGAAGTCTTTGATCCACCTTGAGTTGATTTTTGTATAAGGTGAGAAAGGATCCAGTTTCATTCTGCTCCACGTGGCTTGCCAATTATCCCAGCACAATTTATTGAATAGTGTGTCCTTTCCCCACTTTATGTTTTTGTTTGCTTTGTGGAAGACCAGTTGGCTGTATTTGGCTTTATTTCTGGGTTCTCTATTCTGTTTCATTGGTCTATGTGCCTATTTTTATACCAGTACCATGCTGTTTTGGTGACTATGGCCTTATAGTTTGAAGTTGGGTAATGTGATGCCTCCAGATTTGCTCTTTTTGCTTAGTCTTGCTTTGGTTATGTGGGCTCTTTTTTGGTGCCATATGAATTTTAGGATTTTTTTTCTAGTTTTGTGAAGAATGAGTGGTATTTTGATGGGAATTGCATTGAATTTGTAGATTTCTTTTGGCAGTATGGTCATTTTCACAATATTGATTCTACCCATCCATGAGCATGAGATGTGTTTCCATTTGTGTCTTCTATGATTTCTTTGAGCAGTGTCTTGTAGTTTTCCTTGTAGAGGTATTTCACCTCTTTGGTTAGGTATATTCCTAAGTTTTTTTTTTTTTTTTTTTTTTTTTTTGCTGCTGTTGTAAAAGGGGTTGAATTCTTTATTTGATTCTCAGCTTGGTCACTGTTGGTGTATAGCAGAGCTACTGATTTGTGTACATTAATTTTGTATCCTGAAACTTTGCTGAATTCATTTATCAGTTGTAGGAGCTTTTTGGATGATACTTCAGGGTTTTCTATGTATATGATCTTATCATCAAACAGTGACGGTTTGACTTCCACTTTACTGATTTGGATGCTCTTTATTTCTTTCTCTTGTCTCCTAGCTCTGGCTAGGACTTCCAGTACTATGTTGAATAGAAGTGTTGCAAGTGGGCACCCTTGTTGGCTGTGGGTTTGTTGTAGATGGCTTTTATTACCTTAAGATGTGTCCCCTCTATGCTGATTTTGCTGAGAATTTTAATCATAAACGGATACTGGATTTTGTCAAATCCTTTTTCTGAATCTATAGAGATGATCATATGCTTTTAATTTTAAATTCTGTTTATGTGGTGTATCACATTTATTGACTTAAGTATGTTAAACCATCCCTGCAACCTTGGTATGAAACCCACTTGATCATGGTGTATGATCTTTTTGATATGCTGTTGGATTTGTTTAGCTAGTATTTGGCTGAGAATTTTTGCATGTATGTTCATCAGGGATATTGGTCTGTTGTTTTCTTTTTTGTTATGTCCTCCCCTGATTTTGGTATTAGAGTGATAGTGGCTTCATAGAATGATTTAGGGAGGATTCCCTCTTTCTCTATCTTGTGGAATAGTGTCAATAAGATTGGTACTAATTCTTCTTTGAATGTCTGATAGAATTCAGCTGTGAATCCATCTGGTCCTGGACATTTTTTTGTTGGCTTTTTTTTTATTACTATTTCAATCTTGTTCCTTGTTATTGGTTTGTTCAGAGGTTCTAGATCTTCCTGGTTTAATCTAGGAGGGTTGTATGTTTTTGGGAATTTATCCATCTCCTCTAAGTGTTCTAGTTTATGCATATAAAGTTGTTCATTGTAGCCTTGAATAATCCTTTGTATTTCTGTGGTATCAGTAGTAATATCACCTGTTTCATTTCTAATTGAGCTTATTTGGATCTTGTTTTCTTGGTTAATCTCACTAATGGTCTATTAATTTTATTTATATTTTCAAAGAACCAGCTGTTTGTTTCATTTATCTTTTTTTTTTTTTTTTTTTTTTTTGCTTGTTTCAATTTCACTTAGTTCTGCTCTGATCTTCATTATTTTTCTTCTGCTGAGATTGGGTTTGAATTGTTCTTGATTCTCCAGTTCCATGAGGTGTGACCTTAGATTGTCTACTTGTGCTCTTTCAGACTTTTTTATGTAAGCATTTAATGCTATGAACTTTCTTCTTTGCACCACTTTTGCTGTGTCCCAGAGGTTTTGATAGGTTGTGTCACTATTATTTTTCAGTTCAAAGAATTTTTTAATTTCCATCTTTATTTTATTGTTGACCCAACAATCATTTAGGTATAGGTTATTTAATTTACATACATATGTTTGCATCGTTTTGAGGGTTCCTTTTGAAGTTGATTTCCAATTCTATTCCACTGTGGTCTGATAGAGTACTTGATGTAATTTTGATTTTCTTAAATTTACTGAGACTTGTTTTGTGGCTTATCATATGGTCTGTCTTGGAGAATGTTTGACGTGCTGATGAATAGAATGTATATTTCTGCAATTATTGGATAGAATCTGTAAATATCTGTTAAGTCCATTTGTTGTAGGTTATAGTTTTGGTCCATTGTTTCTCTGTTGACTTTCTGTCTTGATGACCTGTCTATTGCTGTCAGTAGAATATTGATGTCTCCCACTATTCTATCTTCTTTCTTAGGTTTAGTAGTAATTGTTCTACAAATTTGGAAGCTCCAGTGTTAAGTGCACATATATTTAGAATCGTGATATTTTCCTGTTGGATTAGTCCTTTTATAATTATATAATGTCCCTTTTTGTCTTTTTTACATGCTGTTGCTTTACACTTTGTTTTGTCTGATATAAGAATAGCTGATCCTCTTTGCTTTTCATGTCCATTTGAATGGGATATCTTTTCCACCCCTTTACCTTAAGTTTCTGTGAGTTCTTATGTGTTAGGTGAGTCTCCTGAAGACAGCAGAAACTTGGTGAATTCTTCCATTCTTCTATTCTGTATCTTTTAAGTGGAGCATTTGGGCCATTTACATTCAATGTTACTCTTGGGATGTGAGGTATGATTCTATTTGTTGTGCTATTTGTTGCCTGAATACCATTCTTTTTTTCACTGTGTTATATTTATATAGGTCCTGTGCTTTAAGGAGGTTCTATTTTGGTGTATTTTGAGGATTTGTTTCAAGATTTAGAGCTCTTTTTAGCAGTTTTCATAGTGCTGGCTTGGTAGTGGTGAATTCTTTTAGCATTTGTCTGGAAAACACTGCATCTTTTTTATTTGTGAAGCTTAGTTTCTCTGGTTACAAAATTCTTGGCTGATAATTGTTTTGTTGAAGGAGGCTAAAAATAGGTTCCCAGTATCTTCTTGCTTGTAGGGTTTCTACTGAGAAATCTGCTGTTGATCTGATAGATTTTCCTTTACAGGTTACCTGATGCTTTTGCCTCACAGCTCTTAAGATTCTTTCCTTTGTCTTGAATTTAGACAACATAATGACTATGTGCCTAGGCAATGATCTTTTTGTGATGAGTTTCCCAGGTGATTGTTGAGCTTCTTGTATTTGGATGTATGGCTCTCTAGCAAGGCCAGGAAAGTATTCCTCGATTTGTCCCTCAAATATATTTTCCAAACTTTTACATTTCTCTTCTTCTATGGGAACACCAATTATTCTTAGGTTTGGACATTTAACATAGTCCCAAGCTTCTTTGAGGCTTTGTTCATTTTTTTAAAATTCTTTTTTTTTTGTCTTTGATGGATTGGGTTAATTGGAAAGCCTTGTTTTCTAACTCTGAAGTTCATTCTTCTACTTGTTTGAGTCTATTGCTGAGACTTTCCAGTGCCTTTTGCATTTCTCTAACTGTGCCCTTAATTTCCAGAAGTTGCAAATGTTTTGTTGTTGTTGTTGTTGTTGTTGTTGTTGTTTTTGAGATGGAGTCTCACTCTGTCACCCAGGCTGGAGTGGACTGTTTTTTATTTATGATATTTCACTGAAGAATTTTCCTTTCATATCCTGTATCATGTTTTTTATTTAAGTTGACTTCACCTTTCTCTGGTGCCTCCTTGATTAGCTTAATTTCCCTTCTGAATTCTTTTTCTAGTAATTCAGATATTTTGTCTTGGTTTGGATCTATTGCTGGTGAGCTGGTATGATCTTTTGGGGGTGTTAAAGAATCTTGTTTTGTCATACTACCAGAATTGTTTTTCTGGTTCCTCCTCATTTAGATAGAGTACATCAGAGGAAAGATCTAGGATTCAAGGGCTGCTGTTCAGATTCCTTTGTCCCATGGAGTGCTCCCTTTATGTGGTGTTCTCCCCCTTCCCCTGGGAATGGGGCTTTCTGAGAGATGAGCTGTAGTGATTGTTTTTGCTCTTCTTTGTCTAGCTACCCAGTGGGCTACCGGGCTCTGGGTTGGTGTTGGGGAGTGTCTGCAAAGAGTCTTGTGATGTGATCTGTCTTCAGGTCTTGCAGCCGTGGATGCCAGCACCTGCTCCAGTTGAAGTAGCAGGGGAATGAAGTGGACTCTGTGAGGGTCTTTTGTTGTGTTTAGTGTGCTGGTTTTGTGTTGATTGGCTTCCAATCAGGAGGTGGCGCTTTTAAGAGTGCATCAGCTGTGGCCCTATAAGTAGGATGCAAACTTGCCCTAGGGACACCTGGTTAAGTATTCAGGTTTCTCAGGTGGTGGGCAGCTACATAGCGCTCCCAAGAGATTATGACCTTTGTCTTCAGCAGCCAGGGCTGGTAGAAAAAGACTAACAGGAGGGGGCAGGAATAGGCATATCTGAGCTCAGCCTCTCCTTGGGCAGGGCTTGCTGTGGCTGCTGTTGCAGGTGGCGGTGTGGTTCCCAGGCCAATGAAGTTATATTCCCAGGTGGATTATGGCTGCCTCTGCTGAGTCATACAGGTCACCTGGGAAGTTGGGGAAAGCCGGCAGTCACAGGCCTCACCCAGCTCTCACCTAGCCGGCAGTTCTAAAGGCCAATCTCACTCTCACCATGCCCCCTCAACAGCACCGAGACTATTCCCAGGCAGTTGGTGACTGTGGCTGAGAACTTGCCCCAGACTATGTGCTTCCCCACTGAGGAAGCAAGCTAACTCACAGTGTTTCAGCATCTCAGGGAGTCTGCAGCGGTGATCCAGTTCCTTTAGAGGGTCTGTGGATTATCTTGGCTTTCCTGGTATATTCCTGTGGTTGTTCTTGGAACAAAAGTTCAGGATGTGAGTCTCCACATCTGCTCTGTCCCTTTGAGTGGGAGCTGCAAGCTAGTCCTGCCTCTTATCTGCCATCTTAATCCCTGTATCCAGCTTATTATTATTATTATTATTATTTTGAGATGGTGTTTCACTCTTGTTGCCCAGGCTGGAGCGCAATGGCACGATCTCAGCTCACTGCAACCTCCGCCTCCCAGGTTCAAGCGATTCTCTTGCCTCAGCCTCCGGAGTAGCTGGGATTACAGGCGTGTGTCACCATGCCCGGCTAAGTTTGTATTTTTAGTAGAGACGGGGTTTTTCCACGTTGGTCAGGCTGGTCTTGAACTCCCGACCTCAGCTGATCTGCCTGCCTTGGCCTCCCAAAGTGCTGGGATTACAGGTGTGAGCCACCACGCCCGGCTCAGCTCATTATTTTTTAAACATAGCATGTAAGAAGCCTTAGGGGCCTAGTTTTAGATGCTTTTAATCAGAAAGAAATGACATTTGTTTCTGCCACACATCTGAGAGTATTACTAACTGGGACACATTTTAATTTACTTTCTGGATGTGGGATTTCTCTGACTGTACCTATAAGTGAACAGACCTATGATTGTGGATCATAAATTCTTAAAAGGTGGCTATCATCAATGGTAATTTTTTAAAAATTTTTTCTTACCACGTTGATAGCAGAGATTTCCTTATAAGCTCACATTATTGGAAGTTATATATATATATATATATTTTTTTTTTGGCTCATTCTTTTTTTTTTTTTTTTTTTTTTTTTTTGAGACGAAGTCTCACTCTGTGGCCCAGGCTGGAGTGCAGTGGCACAATCTCTGCTCACTGCAAGCTCTGCCTCCAGGGTTCACACCATTCTCCTGCCTCAGCCTCCTGAGTAGCTGGGACTACAGGTGCCCGCCACCACGCCTGGCTAATTTTTTGTTTTTTTTTTTAAGTAGAGATGGGGTTTCACCGTGTTAGCCAGAATGGTCTCGATCTCCTGACCTTGTGATCCGCCCGCCTCGGCCTCCTAAAGTGCTGGGATTACAGGCGTGAGCCACCGCGCCCAGCCAGCTCATTCTTTCATTAATGCTGAAGTCTGGATTCTTTTGGAAATCCAGTGAATCCTATGCACTTTTCTTAAAATGTTTTTGTGTACATAAAACACATAGGATTATAAATTATTACAATTACATTGAAGTACAGTCATCAAATACTAAAAACAGTGATATATTAGTATATATGCTTCTTATTCATGCATTAAATAATAAGATCTAGTTACTTGCCTAAAACTATTACAAAAGAGTAATGAGTGTAGTCATCATTTCAAGGTAGTTTACAACACTGTGATGTGATATGAAATATCTGATTTCTTTTGGAGGCAAAGGTAGTTACTGGTGAAATTACTATGCTCTGTTGCTTACCTTTTGTAATTGAAGCCTATTTTAATTAGAGGCATATGAAAATACAGATGTAATTTTTTTCCCCATATAAGTTCACAGATTCCTTGAATTCTTGCACAAATATTAATATTTTGGGAGTCCACAGACTCCAGGTCAAAATTTCCGGAAAGGACTAATTTCTTGTTGCCTTTTTCATAATCTGAAAACTCAAAGCTCCTGGTTACCCTGACCTTACAGTTCTCTCTATGAGGATTCTGTTACTTTCTTTATTTTTTATTTTTTATTTATTTTATTTTTTTTTGAGACGGAGTCTCACTCTGTCGCCCAGGCTGGAGTGCAGTGGCGCGATCTCGGCGCACTGCAAGCTCCGCCTCCCGGGTTCATGCCATTCTCCCACCTCAGCCTCCCAAGAAGCTGGGACTACAGGCGTCCACCACGACGCCCGGCTAATTTTTTTTGTATTTTTAGTACCGGCGGGGTTTCACCGTGTTAGCCAGGATGGTCTCCATCTCCTGACCTCGTGATCCGCCCACCTCGGCCTCCCAAAGTGCTGGGATTACAGGCGACAGCCACTGCGCCTGGCCGAATTCTGTTACTTTCTTAGAGATCAACACTATATTTCAAAGTTTGCTTTCGTTGCTTATACTGTAGCTTCTTATATTGTAATAAGAAGGCTCTTTTTATTATATAGGCGTGGTATAGGCTGCCACACTGCCAAAAGTAGAATTGTATATTTCTTCCCTTATTATAAGATCTTGGAGGACAGAGACCTTTTCTTTTTGTTGTTGTTAAACCCACAAAAATGGGTTCTACGTGTCATAGATATTCAGCAAATATTTGTTGAATGGATAAGTAAATAAAGACATGGCTGTGGGACCCAAAGGTGACCTCTGACTTCTCACTTCCCAAGGCCATCTATGTGAACTATCAAAAGAAGCATATAGTTTCAAGGTTTTAAAAAGCAATCCTCCTGTGAACACAGCGTGACCTATGTTCACAGTGAATATTCTATCTGGATCTATATATGGAGCTAATGAGTGAAGCGTATACCAGGAATGGCTATATATAGATTTATCTAGCTCCAGAGAGCAAGGGAGATTAAAACAGAGCTTTTATGCAACTTTTGAAAGATGGTATCATTTCCTGCATTTTTAATTACTCTAATAAAATCATTTTGAAAGAGAAACATTTTACAAGACTGTCTCCTAAACACTCCACTTTAAGTACCATACTTCCATCTGAAGATAGATTAGTTTTCATTTTTGTTTAATATCTTAACCTCAAGGGCAAAATCTGCCAGACTTCTCACTAATGCTGCTTCCTCATAAGCTGCTGCCAAATGGAAGGTGACTGATTATAAATCAAACTTTGGGACAACTATAGTACAGCTTCCCCAACTGTCACTATTTCAAGCTACTATTAAGAACAAGAAAAAGCACCCAGATGTGTTAGTGACATTTTTCGTTATGAAAGATTAAAATGGGATCCTTGCTATGTTTGGTTCCCAGTGTAATTAGTCTTTCCTTTATAAAATATCACTGCTGTATTATTCCTTCTGCCGTTTGTTGAGAGCAAATTATATATTACTTTTAGCATTTCATTCACCTCTTATCTACCAAAACGTGGTGCTGAGTAAGAACTGGACATTTTGTTCAGGATGTCTGATACACTAGAATGCCAAGTCTGTAGAAAGAAGACAAATGTGAGCACAAAGAGAGAAACCACAACAGAACCATTTCAGATTTATCATGCTCAAATGTAATGCACTACGCACATACACATCCATTTTAGAGAGGAGAATGGTGGATAGCTCACACACCTGTCCAGCTAAAAGATCAGAAAAGAACCTTTTCCTCTTCGTTTACTGCCAAATATATAGGTACCTTACTGTTGTGAGAGTTCCCAGGCAATCTTCAGGATAAAAAAAAAAAAAAAAAGAGGAGAGAGATGGCAAGGATATTTCCTGGCTTTTTAATCTTTTGCCTTTGCCACATTTCCCTGGATTGAGTGTTGGTCAATGAGTGACTAATCTTTGGTAAATCATCAGTGGCTGAGATGAAAAGTGAGCAGGGCTAGTGGGTATTTGCTGTGGGTTGAATGTGTCCCCCCAAAAGATATGTTAAAGTCCTAGCCCCCAGGACCTGTCAATGTGACCTAATTTGGAGATGTAATCAGTTAGTATGAGGTCATTCTGGATTAGGGTGGACCTTAATCCATTGATTGGTGACCTTTTATGATGATGAAACTCTGGACACAGAGACACACAGGGGAGAAGGCCATGTGAAGACGGAGGTGGAAGTGGAAGCGATGCAGCTACAAGCCTAGGAACTCCAAGGACTACCGGCAACCAGCAGAAGCTGGGAGATGGATTCTCCCTCAGTACCCCAAAAATAGCAACCACATCTGCAGACACCCTGGTTTCAGACTTTTCATCTCCAGAACTGTGAGAGAATCAATGTTTGCCTGTTTTTTTAAATTTTAAGTTCCAGGGTACACGTGCAGGATGTGCAGGTTTGTTATATAGGTAAACATGTGCCACGGTGATTTGCTGCACCTATCAACCCATCACCTGGGTATTAAGCCCAACATGCATTAGCTCTTTTTCCTGATGCTCTCCCCCCTCATCCCACCCCACCCCCCCACAGGCCCCAGTGTGTGTCATTCCCCTCTCTGTGTCCATGTGTTCTCATTCTTCAGTTCTCACTTATAAGTAAGAACATATAAGTGTTTTTTGTTTTGTTTTGCGGTGTTTTGTTTTCTGTTCCTGCGTTAGTTTACTGAGGATGATGCCTTCCAGCTTCATCCATGTCCTTGCAAAGGACATGATCTTATTCCTTTTTATGGCTACATAGTATTCCACGGTGTATATGTACCACATTTTTTAAATCCAGCCTATTATTGATGGGGATTTGGGTTGATTCCATGTCTTTGCTATTGTGAATAGTGCTGCATTGAGCCTGTGTGTGCATGCATCTTTGTAACAGAATAATTTGTATTCCTTTAGGTATATATCCAGTCATGGGATTGCTGGGTCAAATGGTATTTCCAATTCTAAATCATTGAGGAATTGCCACACTGTCTTTCACAATGGTTGAACTAATTTACATTCCCACCAACAGTGTAAAAACATTTCTATTTCTCTGCAGCCTCGCCAGCCTCTGTTGTTTCTTGAAATGTCTGTTTTAAGTCAACCAGTTTGTGGGACTTTTTTTACAGCAGCCCTAAGAAACTAACACAGTATTAGTCATCAATAAAGTGTTTTCTGGCTTCAATGATTTTTGATAATTCTTTGTGTTATTTACTTTGTTTGGTCTAAAACCAAGAATGCCAGCAACTATGCCTCAAAGTCCATGGGGCTTTTTGGGTTGTATCTACATTCGCTTTCTTTGTGTTGTTTTTTCCAAAAAAATATTATTATTAAAAATAAACTTTAAAAAACAGGGGCCATTCTCATCTTGATTGATCAAAATCTTCTGGCCCCTGCCCCCACCCTCTTCATTGTCAGTGAATTTTTAAACTCCCCACACATCTGGCATACACATATTGTTAAGGATAATGTATGAACAAACAAGAAATAGAAAAAGAAAAGCTTGCAGGGTCTCAAATGTTAAATAACAATGGATACACACTGTGAATTTCTGAGAAGAGGTCTTTTGAATGATCCATGTGTTGGCCTGTGGGCTAAGGCATGATTTCTTCCTAGAAGCTTCTCCCAGGGCAGGCACTTTCTGATCCAGAACAGTCAGAGATTGCCCTATTCAAAGCATCACACTCTGGTGCCGTAGTGTTTTCTCTTAGCTGACACTCTTTCTCTATCTCTGGTCTATCTCCTTTGTTAGATTCAAGGGGTCCTAGAGCAGGGTCCCATTTTCATTCCATCTTTGTATCTTTGTTTTCAGCATCCTGCCTGGCAAAGAGCAGTTTCTCAGCCTTGGAATGACAGAGTCTCTGCCCTCCAGGGCCCCACAGTACAAGCTGGCACCTCTTCTCAAAGCAACATTGACAAATGGCAATGGCTTTCTATTTGAGCCCACATTTGTTAATGCTGCTTTTAACAAGAAGTGCCAGCATGCTATACTGGCACACACAGCACCATAACAACAAAATAAAGTCATCTGCACAAAACTAAGATTATCCTAAGATAAGCCCCTACAGCCGGGGAGGGAAGTGCAAGAGAGGGGAGTCAAAATATTTACAGATACGTTTTAGATCCAGAAGATATTCTCACATTTCTGGTTATTTACATTGTTCTACCGAAATCTCTCTCTAGCAGTGACTTCAGTTAGCTGTGGATGCCCTGGCTTTAAATTAGTCATGGTGTTGTTATTGACTTTTGGGAGCAAATCTAAGCTACTCCGTATTTTAGCTGATCTGTCAGGCATTGCCAGCAGCTGCAAATCAATACGATCCCCCTCACCCTACCATACTCGTTGGCCAGGATTTACTGGCTGCGGCTGTTCTGTGTTAACGCAGCTCTTGGAGTGGGCCTGTCCTGGAGATGATTATTTATTTTCAGGAGGTGGCCTTCTCACAGGAGCCCATCCATCCCATGTCAGCACACCTTGTCCACCAGCTGCTGTGGCTGCTGTGGGCATCTTGCCAGCCCAGCACTGCCAGCAGAGAGTGGCTTTCTCTGCTTCCTCTAATCCCCCTTCCCCTTCCCTGCCATGTGAATTTCCATGATAAATCACCCAAGAAAGATTTCCAATGCGTTTTGACAGGATGAGACTGTGTGATTCAGCTTGATCTCGTTAAGAGCCCTATAGCCAAATCCTCCAAAGCACAGCAGGCGAGGAAAGCTTGCAAATTGTGGATGGCTTGTCTCTCCAGCTGAGGGAGAGACTTAACTGACACTCTGCTGCCTTTCTGCCCTTGACCTAAAGGAGGGAAGAATATTTGCTGCACATTTTCATTTGCAAAGTCCCTGTGTTCAGTGAAGGCATTCTTGTAAGAGCTGAGTACCCAGGCTTCTAAAGAATGTATTAGCCCTCTTCATTCATTCATTTATTCATTCATTCATTAATCCATTCATTCATGCTACAAACATGTGCACAATAAATATAACAGGCACTATGGTAAATGATAAATAAGACACCAATTCATGCTCTCCAGGAACTCACAGTGTAGGGATAAATAGACATACAAATAGACGATTAAACACCAGTATGTAGAGTGCAGTGGTATAAAAAAGCACCAAATAGTACAACAAGAAGGGGCATCAAATTGTGTCTGGAAGGGGTGGTGATGAGGAAGAAGAGCTTCCTGGTGGAAGTGATGCCTAGACTAATTTTAAAGGATGAATGGGAGTATTCATCTGGGGATTTGGGGTGCTGGAAGTGGGATGTCTTAGACAGGGAGGGAAGCCATGAGTAAAGACTTTCTTATTAATCTCTATTGCCTTCAATCTCAACTTGCTCATGGGTTGTGATTCTCACATTAGCTCCTTTTGTGTGGTTCGTCCCCAGTTGTGTGTTAAGTGACTGTCTGACCGTAGCTTGCCCTGACTCAGTGTGGATTTCATTGCATGGACCATATTTTAGCATCCTGCTTAAATAATCTTGGCCATCTTCAGGTTTTTCCTTGATTTGGGGTTTACTGCTGTCCTCTTGACATTGCCAGCTTATGGTTGTTTTTACTGACTATGCAACCAATTGAAAAATAAAACACATTTCCTTGGAAACAGGATGACAGCAACCTCTGTCCAGGTTGACAGGAAATTCAAGGCTGGATTTATGTTTCTCTATATTTTTATTTCCAACCACCTTACACATAGGAGGGGCTCAGTATATACTTGGTAAGAGAATGAACGAATGGGTGGCCCAAATAACAGGCATCTCTCTTCTTCACTGTCTGTAATTATTCCAAGAGCAGAGAACAAGGATAGCCATGCCATTGTTATAAAAATTCAGCTTCTCTGCACAGTTAGAAGGAGGAACATGTAGGATTTGAAGGAGCCTGAAGTTGGATGACCCATGATACGCATGACATGGAAACCATACAGAAAGGAGAGTGCCCAATAAATGCAGGCACCTTGAGCATAGGGGCTGCAGCCTGGAAACTCGAGTGGAAATGATGATGGAGTCAGATTAGTCTATTTTGTCTGCAGTCTCATATTTAGGACTCTGCCTTGGCTAGACAGGCAGACACTTTTATTCTGCATATGAGAGAGGCGGGAATGCTTTTTCCAGGCAATTAGCTTAAAAAAGAGTGAGGTTCCTTGGCTTTACTGAAATGCCAGAAAAGATTATGAAGTCTCTAAAGATAAGAAGAAAGCCAGGGTGGTAAATGACATTTTATTCATTAGGATGGATACTCAAGTATTTTTTGCCTCTAAGAATGTTTTGTCCTTTGTACATTGGGGTGGGGCTTCTGCAATACCATTAGCCATAATAACAGCAATAAAACCATCTTACATTTGCATGGTACTTTGCAGTTGAAACATGCTTTTATGAATGTAATTCAAATTATAGAAGAGACTTGTTGGGGCAGGATGGGAGGAGGATGTTTTCAAAGAATGATTGTTCCTGTCTTGTAGGAAATTTAACAATCAAGTCTTTGCTTATGGAGTCTGATTCAGGCTCAGAAACTACAGTTTACACAGTAGGGCTTCATGATTAGGAGAGTGAGCTTTCTTGTCTGTCCCGACCACCCCATGGCCAGTTGCCTAAACCCCACATTGTCCCTGGAAAAGCCCTCAACTCTTCTTCAGTCAACTGCACTCAGAATGGATATCACTCCTGCAGTCTTGGCTTCTGCTCCTGGTTGCTTAGTTTCTAGAGACTGTAGGCTGAAGAGCAGAGCTTCCTAAGAAGTCTGGTTGGGTGGGTGACTTGTACTTGCCCCTTGGACCACAGTTGAGATGACTCTGTCACTAAAACTGATCTTTATCACGGTCCCAACACAGGGCTGTGTTCTGCCTCTTTTTGTTGCCCTTGTCATGGTAGTCATCACTAATTTTGATGCCTGTAATTCTACCTTAGTCTCTCTGTTGTACCTACTGCAAACTACAACCACCATGGCTACCATTTTATACCTCTTTTACCACCTGCGATATGTAGGCAACTAAACAGCAACTGAGTCCTGTATACAACTTGCATTCTGTGGGGTCCTTTGGCTTCTTACATTCTTAGGACCAAGAAGACAGGATTTCATGACATAGCTATCCCACTTGATACCAGGTTTGGCTCTTGCTTTTGTAGATAAGCATCCTGGCAGAAGTGGCAAGCAACACTTTACCTCTTCATCAACCAATGCATGCTTGGTGGAGAAAACAGCTGAACCCACAGGGCAAATTTTAATTATATACTCTTTCAATATAAGAATGTTTGGCTATACTTCCAATTCCTGATCCTACCAGCAGGAAGGAATAATAATCACTGCCTCCAAAGGGCCAGGCAAATAATATGCATTTATTCTGATTCTCATAACCATCCTGCATGGATATCGTCCCCATATAATAGATTAAAAAAACTGAGGCTCAGAGAGGTGAAGTAATTTGCCCAATGTCATACCAATGGTAAGGGCCAGAACTGGCTTTTATACTCAGATCTGTCTGGCCTCAAAGCCCCATGCTCTTTCCACTCCACGTTGCTGCCTCCTGCCTTACTTTCTGCAGTTGACTCATGCTAGGTCTTAGAGGAGGTGCCCAGAACATAAGCAGGTTATCTAAAGCCATCCCATCTTTGAAAAAGTCCTTAGTGATTTTGAGTTTTAGGACTAAATATTTATTATCTTATTTAAGCCTCACAAAACCTCTATGAAGTTGAGAAGGCAGCAATTATTAAAATAGTTATTTGTGGATTGAGGAAACTGGAGCTTAGCAAGGTTAAATGATTTCCCCAAAATTACAAAGCTAAGAGTTGATGGAGAACAGGCTCATTTCTACGTTTTCTGTTTTCAATGTCCTTACATTTTAATGTAACCTCACTCTAAGTCTGATTGAAAAAATAAAATATATTTTATGGAAAATACAAAAAACCCCAAAACCCTACAGAGAATAAAATAAAAATCGTATAATTCTGACTTTCAAGGAACCTGTGTTTTCCTAGCTGCCTCTTTGTAGGCAGAATAGACTTTTCTATCGTTCCCATGCTTGCAGGAACCCCTCTCCACTCTGAGACATGATTATGCCCATCTATGAGACAATGGGGTTGGGCAAAGCACCAGGTCGGGGAAATATGAATCATCTACCTTTTCCTCTACATCAGGGGTGTCCAATCTTTTGGCTTCCCTGGGCCACATTGGAAGAATAACTGTCTTGGGCCACACATAAAATATGCTAACACTAACCATAGCTGACGAGCTAAAAAGAGAAACAAAGATCCATACAAAAATCTCATAATGTTTTAAGAAAGTTTATGAATTTGTGTTGGGCTGCATTCAGAGCCATCCTGGGCCACATGCGGTCCATGGGTCGCGAATTGGACAAGTTTTGCTCTCTGTGACTCTTACAGATTTGAGTCTGCGTCCTGACTTCAGCAATCTTCTTGCTTGTCTCTGGAGACCTGGGTTCCACTCAGGACTGTCCAGGATTGGTGGCTTTGATCCTTACTCAGGTTGGTAGTTAACAAAGACTTCTTTGGTTTATATTCATACAAGTATATCAGAAGTTGCCTCGGATAGAAGAGATCAAAGAAATACACTGGGTCAGCTTCCTTAAAATTGTTTACTTCCCTTAAAACTTAAAAAAGTTAATGATCATGAACTTCTTCACTAGATTTTCTCCCTAAGGCAAGAGACATCTTTATCATTAAGTGAGATTTTGAGGAACCAATTAGAGTGTTAAATTCTTGCTTACAATTATTGATCCTTCTACTGGGAGTAGTGCTCTGTGTGTCTTCAGCTCGTACATGAAGGAGTCAGGACTGGGACCCACTCAGAGTCACAGGGCTAGTGGAGGAGGTGGGAGAGCATCCTGCAGTGGCAAAATGAGGGTGGCCTGAGCAAGTGCCTAAGGATGGAAATAGGATTTCTAGTTTGTTCTGTTTGATTTTCTCAGAGCTACCATTTCTTTACTTGCTTTTATTTGGCTTCCTAGAATGCAGTGAAATGTTTTGATCCCTGCCTAGAAATCCTAGCTTATCAAATTCACACAAGGACTGAGGAACCCTTTGAATCAAAGGTGGAGATTTCTCAGATCCAGGATTTGATCAAAAGCAAGTTTTATGTTCTCCCTAGTCCCTCCTGCAGGCTTGGTTTCAACTCACTGAAAAGCAGAGTGATTCTCTCTTACAGATACTTCTATCTCTGCTTTTCTTTCTGTTCTTTTCTTTGTCCTCCTCCCCTATTCACCCACATTTCTCAATCTCAGTCTGAGAAGCAGAGCCATGCTTCTCAAACTTTACTGGGAAAGCTCCTCACCCAGGGATCTTGTTAAAATGTGGATTCTGATTCAAAGAGCCTGGGGTGGGGTCCGAGAACTCCACGTGGTGGTCACCTCTGTAGAGTCATGAGAGTGCTGTGGGGGCTGCAAGCTTGGCTGCAGACTGATCCACGTATATGCTTTGTGGTTTAGGGGACCTGCTGTGATGTTGCTGTGGTCTCAGGGTGACCCAAAGTTGTCAACAATGAGGAACAAAACAACTCTTTGCCCCACTTTATGTCCCTATAGAGCTCTCATGTGACTCAACACAGGCCCAGATGTTCCCTGTCCCTCATGAGGCTCACTGTGCCAACAATGTTACCATTATTGCTCCTGAGGTCTTAGCTTGCCGGGCATTCCCATGGCCTAAGGGAGGGCTGATATTAGAAATCCTTTACTTCCCCTCTTTTCCTGCTCCCTGGCTTGGTTTTCTGTAGTGAGAGAGGTTCTCCTCTCCATCTAGGGACATGAGGGCAATGTCTACATGATACTTCCAGAACATGCCAGGAGTGGAGAAAAGTTGGAATCCGTGGTGTTGTGACCACTAGGTGACTCTTGGTAATCAAGTTCAGTGTTGACTGACTTGACTGTTTTTCAACAGAGTTGAATCGTTTTGATTAGTTTTTTTCCCTTGTAATTCATTCTTCTTGGTTTCTTACCTGATTAACTGGAAGAGTTTGACTGGTATAACCTTATGGTAGCGCAGCCCTCTGTGATGCGGTTAATTGCTGTGTAAAGGTAGTTTTAACCATATTATCCTTATGCGACCAGGTTGCTCTGAGTTTCCTGTTTTGCATGGCCTCCTAGGAGCCAGGACATCGGTTTTCCAGTTTAGAAGAGTCAGTCCTTAAAATTTTTTTTTTTTTTTTTTTTTTTGAGACGGAGTCTCGCTCTGTCGCCCAGGCTGGAGTGCAGTGGCGGGATCTCGGCTCACTGAAAGCTCCGCCTCCCGGGTTCACGCCATTCTCCTGCCTCAGCCTCCCAAGTAGCTGGGACTACAGGCGCCCGCCACTACGCCCGGCTAATTTTTTGTATTTTTAGTAGAGACGGGGTTTCACCGTTTTAGCCGGGATGGTCTCGATCTCCTGACCTCGTGATCCGCCCGCCTCGGCCTCCCAAAGTGCTGGGATTACAGACGTGAGCCACCGCGCCCGGCCCAGTCCTTAAAATTTAATTGCCCTTGAAAAATGTTGCTGCCGTGTAGTTGGGAGTCAAAATAATTTCCAACCAATTATTTTTCTGTAAATTTAAGTGGATACTGATTCTGTGCTGGAAATCTGAAAGATTCTTGAGTTCTACAACAAATTCTCAATAGGAAGGCATAGAATGTGGTCTATGTATGGTAGGAGTTTTTGGGAGCAGAGGTAAGATGATTGTGTTGGTTGTCATCGTCTTTGGTGAAAGGACCTGACCTAATTCTGTGATAGCAATTGAGAGGTGGTGGGAGAAGTGAATCCTGAAATACTAGGAATAACAGGAGAAGGCCTTACCTAGGACTGCTCCACTGACCATAGGCCCTGAGAGGAGGCACCAGGGAGAAGGCTAACTTGATATGGCACAGGGACACTATTTAGTCAGTCCAAGAGCAGAGTCAGAAGCAAGGGGGTGCAGCATCATGCACCCTGCAGAAGTAAGTCCACCCTGAAATCTGCTCTGGACAGCTCTGACTGGTGCCTCTCCCACAGTCCCTGACCACAGAAGTGGTCCTAGATGCCACAGACTTCAGCCCTTTGCTGCGCTTCCTTGTTTGCCATAGTTCATTGGTTTGGGGTGGACACCTGAGCCCAGGGTGAGAATCCAAAGTCTGACAAGTGGCTTGTGACATGTTCTGCAGTGAGGCTCTGTCCAAACAGAGGTGAATGAGATGAACTCGGTTAGGGGCATTCTCTGTCTGATGGGTGCAGGTATAAGGCAGTGATGTGGAGCTGAGACTGATAGCCGCATTTGGCCAAACATAAGAAGCGTAGGCAGAGGAAGCTGCTAGGAAGGAACATTCCTCCTATTTCCTTGTGGACAGATTACCTAGAGTAGCATTCCCGGCCTCTTTCTGCCCCTCATCCACTCCTTTTGAGAGAAGGAGAAGTGGCATTTTGGCTGGAATTTAATCTTCCCTCTGCCATGCAGTGACAGGTAAGCTTAAACCCTCTGCCCCTGCAATTACTTCAGTTTAATTCCGGGGTTACATGTTAGAGAACCCCCTTGGTGGTAACCTAAGCTACATTCTGCAAACAGCTTCACCAGTAATCAAGATAATATTTTAATCTCCATCTGCCGGATCACTATATCTATCTCTTTAGTCAGTTCTGAACTTGACTTAAAAAAAAAGTGATAATTTATTGATTCCCCAAACTCTTAACAATGGTACATGAACTGGGGACCTCGGAAAGAAGATAATGTGTCCAGTTTGGGGATTAAAAATAACGGATGTAGCCTAGGCTGGTGGCTTTTCACCCTGTCAGTCTGCAGTGACCTGTATTTGGCTGTGTGGCTAGTTTTTGCTGCTGTGTAGTTGGCTTCTAGTAGGCCTGGCCTTGTAGGTGGCTTAGGCCCTGGGCTTAATTAAGGGAACCACATGGGAAAATGATCTTGGTGGCTCACTGCAGATTATGGCGGCTTTGCCTACAGGCAAAAGGATATTTTTATATAGGAAAGGGTGGTTTTCCATACAGACAGCGTTGTGTATAACGGGGCTGCTGCTTGGGCCTTAACAGATGCCCAGCTGAGAGGTCAAAAACAGCTGACCTTGAACAAGGCTGTGGCTTGTCTTAGTATTGCAGGGAAGGCTGAGAGAGGGATTTAATCATCAAAAGAGAGTCTTTGAATCTCAGTGAAGGCTTGCCTTGAAACAGGTAGAGTTCCAGGAACAATTTTTTTTGCTCCTCTTGCTGTGCTTCTACAAAGGTACCTAAATTCCATGTGGACCTTACTAGTGTGTATATGAGGTTTCCAGCTGTGAATTGTTAATGCCAGGCCTAACTCATCTGCTATTGAACTGGCTGCCTCAAATTCCATTAACTGCACTCAAGGACAAAAGGGAATGGGGGCAGAGCAATTTCCAGTGTTCTTTGTCTTTTATAATTTATTTTAAAGGCCACAGCACCTGATATTCCCAGGCAGTCTCCCATCCAAGTACTAGACAGGCCCAACCCTGCTTAACTTCTGAGATCAGGTGTGTTCAGGGTGGTATGGCCTTAGACAAGTGTTCTGTCTTAAGAGTGTCTCCTGGCCGGGTGTGGTGGCTCATGCCTGTAATCCCAGCACTTTGGGAGGCCAAGGCAGGCAGATTGCCTGAGGTCAGGAGTTGAAGACCCGTCTGGCCGACGTGGTGAAACCCTGTCTCTACTAAAAATACAAAAAAATTAGCCAGGTGAGGTGGCATGTGCTTATAATCCCAGCTACTCGGGAGGCTGAGGCAGGGGAATTGCTTGAACCAGGGAGGTGGAGGTTGCAGTGAGCCGAGATGGCACCACTGCACTCCAGCCTGGGCGGCAGAGCAAGACTCCGTCTCCAAAAAAAAAAAGTGACCCCTGTGATGCTGCCTCACTGGGAGGTCTCTAGGCTTGCTTTGTGTCTTAGTTTGCTTTCCTCCAAGAGCTGAGTTGAGACTGAGTGTAGATAGGGTGTTTTTGTTTCCTTTTTGTTTTGCTTTTGAAATGACCCCAGGAAGCTTAAGTGAGAGGATGGGGTAAGTGAGAAAGGGAAAGCAAGAAAGGGCGTATTATGGAGTTGGTTTTCACCATGGACAACAAGAACCCTCTGGGAATTGAGTAGACTGCATTAAGGTTATCTCTGGAGCATGGCAAGCTGGGCTACTTATCTGCTGTGCCCTGTTCCCCATGGATTGACAGCAGGCCCCTTGCTTGTTGGCACAAGGACTGAGTGGCCTTCTCAGGCTTTGGAGGGGGGCCTGAAGCAGACAAGCCTTGGGAAGTGTTTGAGGGGGGATACTGGCAACATGCCAGAACTGTGCCACTCAGTTGTGTTGAAATCAAATGAGCTGCAGAGGGGATGTGGCATGAGGACCCCAGAGCTTCTGCTACAATTTGTTAGTTATACAAACTCTGACCATGACTTTGGATTTCTGAGGCCCACAAAATAGTAGCAGGTTTTAGGAATAAACAAATGCCATCAGTCCTTATTATGCAGAGAATATGCCATCAAAAAGAAATAAAGTAGAAAATTATCTTGATGAAATGATTTCAAATCCAAAGACTATAAAGGCTTTGGCCTGGAATTCTCAGCTTCTAGAAATCAAATTAACTCAGGAAATCAAAGAGGAGCAAAAGGAGCTTGAGAAATATATTTCAAACTACTAACAGAATAGAAGGAAGGGAGAAAACAAAATAAAATAATGGAAGAAAATATGATTAAATTGTAATAAAAGATTTTTTTAGGAGATGTGTTGCAATCTAGAAACTAAACTAGAAAATCTGAAATAGAAATTTGTTTGTTTGTTTTTTGATGTTTTAAAGCTCGTATAGGCAGATATGAAAGGGAAAATGAGATATGCCTGGGTGTAATTATTCTTAACAGGGTTTTATAAAAGTGAAAATGGTTTTATTTATTTTAGTTTTTTAAAACTTATTTTATAAACAGTTTTTATTTACGGTTTTAATGGATACCTAATGTACATATTTATGGGGTACATGCAATATTTTGACATAAGCATGTAATGTGTAATGATCAAATTCGGGTAATTGGGATATATCCATCACCTCAAACTTTATCATTTCTTTGTGTTGAGAACATTCCAAATCTTCTAGCTATTTTGAAATGTACAATAAATTATTGTTAACTATAGTCATTCTTTTGTGCTACTGGGCATTAGAGCTTATTGCTTATGTCTAACTGTATTTTTGTGCCCATTAACCAACCTCTCTCTCTCTCTCCTACCCTTTCCAGCCTCTGGTAAACATCATTCTACTCTTTCTGAGATCAGTTTTTTTAGCTCCCACATGTAAGTAAGAACATGTGATACTTGTCTTTATGTGCCTGGCTTGTTTCAGTTAACATAATGTTCTACATAATGTTTGTCCATGTTGCTGCAAGTGATATGATTTCATTTTTTTGTAGCTGAGTAATATTCCATTGTGTATATATACCACATTTGCTTTATCCAGACATCCACTGATGGACATTTAGGTTGATTCAATATCTTGGCTATTGTGAGCAGTGCTGTGATAAACATGGGTGTGTAGATATCTCTTTGATATACATATACTGATTTCCTTTCTTTTGGATATGTACTCAGCATTGGATTGCTGGATCATACGGTAGTTCTAGTTTTAGTTTTTGAGGAACCTCCATACTATTTTTCATAGTG
The DNA here is from genome assembly GCF_000001405.40 of Homo sapiens. NCBI lineage: Eukaryota > Metazoa > Chordata > Mammalia > Primates > Hominidae > Homo > Homo sapiens. The sequence continues at coordinate 109,123,113 of NC_000011.10, forward strand.
GCTGTACTACTTTCCATTCCCACCAACAGCGTACGAGAGTTAAGAGGAAACTATTTTAGATGTTACTAAATCAGAAATAGTGACTGGGGTCCAACAAAAGTAAGAGAAGCAAAGTCTTAAGGAAAAAGCCTGGAATTACTTCTCAAAAGATGCTGGAAGCCAAGCATGACTGAAAAACAGTCTCTTAGAGCTTGCAGATTGGGTCAGCTATACCAGGGGATTATGGAACATTTGAGAGAATATTAGGAAAAGGCATGATTTGGAAAGCTCCAACGTGGCACAGCCATCATGTGCACGTTGAGGGAACATACCCAAGAAACATGTGGAATTCATACATAAAGAGAAGGCACAGGGAAAGTAGGAATATTAAATAGATAATAATAGATAAAATCCAGGCCTGTGTTGACCTGATGGAGACCCTATCCTGAATGGGATTATCCAACTACACGAGATTTTAAAGGTGGGAAGGTTGGTTTGTACAGTGGATGACCATGGTAGACCCAGAGTGTTTTGATTAAGAACGTGCAAGAGAAAATCTGAAGAATTTTCTGAAATCTTGTCTGTGCCAGAAATTGAAGGGAAAGTAAAACGAAAGAAGACAGGAAGAATCTAGGAATAATTTAGCACTAGCTGTGTTAGACTAGAAAGGAATGCCTTTAAGAAGCGGGTTTAACCATTGGAAACTCAATGGAGGCTTCTTGAAAGGAATAGGGGAAGAACAGATGGAAATGGAGCAGAAAGGCAGTGCTAGGTATTCTTCACAAATTTCTCCAGATCTTCCATCCATCTTTCCAGGCCCCGGCCTGTACCTCTGGAGGTGCAGCCTGCTCTCTCATGCAGACTGCTTTGCTCTCCAGATCTGGTTGAGTGTGGCCCAGCAGGGATCCCAGAGTGGGAGGAGGGGAGGCTGAGGTATTCATTCCCTGGCTCCCTCCCTGCCAAGCTGCAGTTTGGCAGCGACTGCATTTTTCTTCTATGTCTACAGTTCCCTCCTCTTACAGCTTCAGTGTAAGGCTAGTAATAGTTTCCGAGGTGCTACTCTTACCGGTTACCTTAACCTGCCTACAAATCCTCAAGCATAGGACTCTAAAGAAAAAGCAAGATTGAGAGGTTTTTAAATATGCAGAGAAGCAAAGAAGCAAAGCACCTCAAATAACATCTGTGGGCTGATGCTGTCATCACTGCAGATCTCTAAACCTCGCGGTAACAGAATTATTCCTCTCGTGAATGTCTCAAATGTCACTCTTGGAGAGAATGTATACAAGGGTAGATTTCCCATTAGGTACAGTAAATCATGTCAAAATTAACCTGGCAATGGAAGCTTTCTCTCCGTTGAGTTGAAGGGCTTGAAAGGCACAGATGGGGTCCTGCTAACCTTGGCAGAGACTGTCTGGTGCCCTGATGAGGTTGAATTGAGAGATCTTTGCCTCTTTCTCATCTTCCCTTCATAGCCCTGAGTCTGCTGTGGTCTGAGGTAACACTGACTACTCAGATCTCGGGATGTAGGAATGAAGGAATTAGCGGCTGTAGGGTCTATATTTAACAGTATGAGACTTGTGCTGTGATAGTTTACGTGTCTTGTTAACTCTTTTGATTCCTTTGAAGTGGAACATATGCAAAGCCTGTCATTTAACCTAACTTGGGAGGGTCTGAAAAAACTAAATTCACACAGTGGACAAGAACCCAGGCAGCAGCTACTGAAAAACTCAAAATCTACCCAGGCATTGTATAACATTCCTACCTGAGACTGAGCAGAATTAAAATCTAGGGAGATTAATTATGGATTTTAAATTATTTGGATTTTGGATTTTAAAAGGCAAGATAATCTGATTTCAAATTTAAACTTGCAAAAAGATTCATTTTTTTAACAGTAATTTTTTTCTCTGAAAATTCATAATTTAAGATAATTTATATTTAACTTTGGGGGCACTTACTGTTGGTATCCTATTAATGGTGTACAGTATTTGTATGTTGTTATTTAATAGCATTACAGAATCTCTGATGAGCTGCATTAAATTTCATGGCTGGGCAAATTTGTGATAGGAAATGGAATACAGACTGAATTTTTCAGCTGCAATTGAATTGATGAACTGCATCAAACCATTGCAGAGCTTTTAGAGGACAAAAAGCTAGAGTGGCCCCAGAAGAATCCACAAGCAAGCAAGAAGTGGCATTGGGAGATTGAACTTGTGAAGATGGGACCAATTTCTGATCTCCTCCCACTCATTTGTTCGGACATGGGATGAATGCAGTGGTTCTCAACTATGGCAGCTCTTTGGAATCTTCTGGGAAGCTTTTAAAAATGCCCATACCCAGGTCACATTTAGACTTATTAAAAAATAACTAATGAGTATTAGATTGTAAGGAATATTTCCCCATCTTCCTGTTTCCAAGTGAGACAACCATTTCTTTTGCCCCAATTATGGCAATCCTTCTCAGAGGGAGCATGGAAAAAACTACGTTTATCCTGAGCAAGATTAAGACAATAATAATAATCACTCACTGTATACCTGATATGTGCCAGAAATGTAAGATATTATTGTTGTCATTTTACAGATGGAAAAACAGGGGTAGTAAGTTACCACACTGCAGAACACTTCTAAATGCCAAGCACTCTGCTAAGATATAGAAAGCAGATATATGCATGTACATAGACTTGTAGAGTATATGTGTATCCATATATAATTTCACCATAATCCTAGGAAGTTCCACTGACATATTTTGTTGTATGGATCTATTTAGTACTTGAATTTGGATAAAAGTAATTTACATTATTTTATAATAATGAGAGATATTTACAACTTACGTGGAGAAATTGAGGCAGATTGTACATTGCTATTAATAGTGCCAGTGAGTAGGGGAGGAATATGCCACCCCCCCCCGCCCGCCCCCCGTCCTCTTGTTTCCAGGTGGGATGACTTTGTAGATTAACAATCCTGGCTATTTTCTCATCTTGCTTAATGTCTCCAATGGTAGTAGAACAAAATTATGACTGAGGAGCTTGGGAAAAGTAACTAGTCATACATTTTTGCCTCTTCTTTCTCTCTTTGAATCCTTCTTCTGAAAGAAGTGTTTATTCTTTTCTGGCTATGAGGTTAATTTAGTATTAAGAGCATTTTGCTTTTGGGTGAGGCTTATACTATCCAGCTCTGCCAGTGTCTGGGTACATAGGATTAATTCAGGGCTGATATATTAGAAAGGCCACTTGGCCCAGAATTTAGTTATGTTGTCCAAACAGCATTATCAGTTAACAGGGAAAAAAAAGTCGATATTTTTAAAAAAGTGAATTTTTTTTTACCTTTGTTTTCCTGCCTTCTGTGTTTTTTTTCTCAATTTGTTTTAACCTTAAGAGAAGAACAGAATAAACCAGGGCCTGGGTGAACTGATACATGTGGGTGCCACAGGTGGGCTTATAATTGAGTGATCCTTTAAATCAATATGTTAAAAATACTAGTTTAACATTTAAATAAGGAAATAGAACAAATATATATATTTTTATATTTTTTGCTAATGAAATTTCTATGCCTCTTCCTTTATGTCCAAAATTATTTGTGCTGTGATAATTATAGGTGTCCCATTAACTCTTTTTATGCTTAAAATGTGGGGCATATGCACAGCTTGTCATATGTATTGCACCAAATGTAACCTAACATTTTAACTTATTTATTTTATCTTTCATTTCTCAGTTTTTATATCACTCATGATTGGATGGCTTTAGTCACTCAGACTCACTAAAGATAGAAGTAATTTGCATAGAAATACTTGCTAAGTCTTATTCAAAATATTTTGAAAGTTTTGAAAGTGGTTTTTTTTTTTTTCCTGCCTATGTGTGTAGGCAAGCTATTTCTCATTTCTATTAGAAATGATAGAAATGGTGAACACAGAGAGGTCAGCACCGGCGAGGGATACCTTTTAAAATTTTCACTTGAGGGTACTGCTCACCTCTATGTGAGGTGAACCAATATTCATTTTGCCCATATGTAGTTGTGTGTGGAAACTGATACCACAATTCCTGCACATATTCCCTGACCTGTCTCTTACACACTGATCACACTGGACACCTACATTCTGGCTCCTCCCTTAATCAGGGGCTGAGTGTGATGCAAGAAGAGAGAGTGCTAGCCAAAATGTCAGAGAGCCCAGGCTTAAAGTTAGTGGTGCTTTGATTAATCCGTAGAGTAGCTAGTTTTGATGGTGGTGACTGGGATCAGAAGTGGTGGGTTAGAGCTTGTATGCATGTCTATTTTAACTAAAGATCCCAAGGGCTTACCAAGTAGATAAACATGGGGTGAGTATTTACGTAAATGTGACAATTTTTGACTTCACAAATAGTGGCAATAATATATTATGTATTAGGATTATATATTAATATACATTTATATATATGCATCTAGGATTCCCAGTGCAGGAGTGAGGTAAAGTAAAATATTTCCGTCACTGAGGTTCAGTGTACTTAAAAAGCTTTAATAAAGTAATTAAACACTATTTATGTGTATGTCCCATTGATATCATTATATCAATTGTATTATAAATTTACTATGGAAATTTTACATTAATATGTAACTGGCTTATTGATAACAATAAAGTTCCCCTTTTATGTCTAATTTCTTCAGACAAAATCAGAAATTAATATATGTAAGGATGATTGTTAAGTGAAGGAACACTGGATTATTTGGCTCACTTGGGACCTGACTGAGTTAATCACCCTAGGATCTCTTAGTCTTCATATTGCAATCTACTGCTGCTTCTTTAGCCCACCTCTAGTCAGGTGCAAAAAGTAACCTCAAAGCACTTTAGAAGTTGGGTTTGCTGGTGTTGTAGGTCAAGTCTCTGTCTGATCTATAATTAGGAGGCCCCTTCTCAATCTAGATCTTTCTTTCTTATGAAGTTTGTATTACTCTTTTCATTGATGGTACTTTGTGCAACTTACCTCCTTCCTCAATCTTGGGAGACCCACAAGGGCCTAAAATTATTACTTTATTTCTAATGATTTTATCAATTAGGATCTTCACTCAGTATAATAAAGGATCATGCCTATTTCATTTCTGCATCCCCAGCATAATTTCTAGCACATACTATATATTCAATCAATACTTGTTGAATTAAGGAACACATTTCTGGAACTTTTACCCACTAACATGCTTCACTGAAACACATTAAGAAGCCTGGAAGATATAGTTTATTGAAATCTTAGCAGCAGGTATCTTATTTTAAAATGCCAAATGACCTGTGAATCAAATCAACAGGATTTTGATATTCTTTAGAAGGTTTCCAAATTTGATGAAAATCTATCATATTTTTGAGTGTGGCTTTTGTTTAGACAGATAATGCAAAACAAAAAGTAATTAAATTGGCTAAAGATTTCATTTTGTTCAGCAAATCAGCTTTTTAGTCATTAAGAGTTGACAATATTGTGATGGTACATTTGGATAAATGAAAATACATGTGGCAGATCTTGCCTGGTTTACATGTTAAAAATCTGACAAGTTTAATAAAGAATAATTAAATATAAATTTTAGGAAAAGAAACAAGAAGCATGAATACTTACATTTGTTACGATTAGGATTTTTCCCCCATTCTGTTCTTCAGACTAAGTTAATTTCTAGGGCTATGTCTACAAGTTGACTGATCTTTTCTTTTTTTCTTTTTTTTGAGTTGGAGTCTCGCTCTGTTGCCCAGGCTGAAGTGCAGTGGCATGATCTTGGGTCACTGCAACCTCTGCCTCCTGGGTTCAGGCAATTCTCCTGCCTCAGCCTCCCGAGTAGCTGGGATTACAGGTGCTCACCACCATGCCCAGCTAATTTTTTTTTGTATTTTTTTTTTAGTAGAGACAGGGAATTCACCATGTTGGCCAGGCTGGTCTCAAACTCCTGACCTCGTGATCAGCCCGCCTTGGCCTCCCAAAGTGCTGGGATTACGGGCATGGGCCACTGTGCCCGGCCAACTGATCTTTTCTCCTGTCATTTACAATCTGTTGTTGAGCTCATCGAGTGAACATTTCATTTTAGATATTATAATTTAGAATATTTATAATTTAGAATATAATTAGAATATTTTATTTCAGATATAATTTATAATTCAGAATATGTATATTTTAGAATATAATTCAGAATATTTCACTTCTGATGTTAAAATTTAGAATATGTTTTATTCATTTTAATAGTTTTCATTTTTTTAAGATTCTCAATCTATTTACTCATTATGACTATATTTTTAGTGCCCTTGAACGTATTTATAATAGCTGTTTTAAATTCATTGTCTGAAAATTCCAACACTTAGGTTTTCTAAGGGTCTGTATTCATTAGTAGTGTTTTCTCCCCTTGATTAGGGTCCATTTTCCTGCTTTCTATGTCTAAAATTGTTTTATTGTATTCTAAAGACAACATAATCCAGGCTCTTACAATGATACTTAGAAAGACAACCTATGTTATCTTTCTTTAAAAGGTGCTGAGATAGATAATTTTTGTCTGGCTCTTCTTGATCTTCTCTAAGGCTTGGTTTTCAGTTTTCTTACAGTAGGGCCATTCAATAAACCTTTCTTAAAATGATAAACGTGTTCTCTGTCTCTGCTTTGTAATATGGTTACCATCAGTCACATTTAGATACTAAACATTTGAAACATGGCTAATGAGACTGAGGAAATGAATTTTAAATTTAAGTTAAATTTGAATTGAAAATACCGTATATGTTTACTGCTACTTTATTGGCCAGTATTGTCTGGATTAACCTTTACTGTAAGGCATGGTATTTACTCCTATACTTTTCTGGAGTCATAGTGAATGTCTGGGGTGTTGACAAGTCTCTCGGTTCTGATTGGGCCAGAACTCCAGTATCCCCCAGAATTATATCACCTCTAGTACCTTTGCTCCATGTTTAAGTCTGTAACCACCACCCTGCTAGGCTTTGTGGAACTTCGCCCTGCATGTTTGCAGCACAGCCCTTGGCTAAGGATCTGTGGATGATCTCCATGCAAAATTATTCTTCCGATTTATTTTAGTTAGGATTTAGAATTTTTAGTATATTTTGGTTTTGACTATTTCATTGTCCTTTTAAGGCCCCTAAAGATGACCATGAAATTGTGATCTTTAGGAATTAAGGCAGATCGTGATGGTGGCTTTTTGACTCCCTCTTCTCTGTTCCCAAAGTGCTTCCTTCACCCCCTTATAGAATCTCTTACCACATTCCTCTAGGGAGTTATATATGTATCTGTCTCCCAACCTAGTCTGTGAGCTATTTAAGGTTGAGGACTGTGTCTTTTTCACTTTTGTGTCTTCAGCATCTAGAACCTGATGGGTGCATAGTGATCTATTTGTCAAATTATAGAAGAATTAGCAGAAGGCAGGAGAAACTGAACTTTTAATGGGCCACACAAACCAGCATGGCAAAAGCAAATAAGTTGTCAAGTGAGCTGCCCACGGGAAAGAGGCAGTCAGGCGGACACCAGGAGTTGTCTAGGAAGTTCTGCCCCATCACTGCGTACTCAAAGTCTTTGTAAAGAATTTGGGAATTGAAAACGACTCTGTGATTCCCAACATCAACCCCTATTCCACTGGGGATGTGCAGACGACTTTCATTATTTTTTTATTTTTTATTTTTTTTTGAGACAGTGTCTTGCTCTGTCACCCAGGCTTGAGTGCAGTGATGTAATCACAGATCACTACAGCCTCAAATCCCTGGGCTCAAGGGAGCCTTCTGCCCCAGCTTCCCAAGTAGCTGGGACTATCAGTGCATACCACCATGCACGGCTAATTTTTAAAAAAATATTTGTTAGAGTTTTGCTATGTTGCTTAGGCTGGTCTTGAACTCCTGGCCTCAAATAATCCTCTTGCTTCAGCCTCTTGAGTATGCAGACCTTTGGCAGCAAAGTGGGAAAGGCACACTTGCAAATATGTCTTAATGCCCATGGTAATGATAACAGCTGGCATACTTTGAGTAATTGCCACGTGTCAGGCATTCTATAAGTAGTTTACATATATTAGCCCCTGAAAAAACTCCCTGAGGTAGGTGTTGTTATGTATCTCTGCATAACAGATGAGGTGATGAAAGTGTAGACAGGATAAAAGCTTGAGAAGCTTACAAAAGCTAACAGTTGTCAGAAAAGGGATGCAAATGCAGGCAGTGTGGTTCCAGAGCTCATGATCTTAGTGTCTACATGGTATTGCCTCTCATTATTTCTTTTTAGATTGTTAGTTTGATTTGAAGAAGAACAATGAGTACCTATAGCACTGTTTATCAGCATTTCCAGAATCACTATTTTCAGAAAATACATCTACTGTATGTAAAGCTCTGTTAGATATCAGGGATAAAAAGATGTACAATATAGAGTCCTAGTCTAAGAAATATGAAGTCTTGATGGACGAATAAAACATAGAGCTAAAAATTGAACAATGACATAAAACAAAATGTGAAAGGCAATGAAAGATTATACAGCTAGTGTCAAAATTTATTATTCCATAGGATGCTTTGGTAAAATGATCACATGATGCATAGATGGAGGGATGGATGTATAGATGGATGAATGGATGGTTAAAGGCTTGGAAACTGAAGTATGTAGAGATTAACTGACTTACTCAAGCCCTTAACCATCCATCCATCCATCCATCCATCCATCCATGTAGGTTCCATATAATTTTTGGCTATGTACTCTTTAATTGTCTTTTGATGTAACAACAATTTTATAATTTATCTATAGGGAATAGAATTGTAATTACTTTTCCCAGTTAACCAAATCCCACTAAGCACGAACTAAATGTATCACAGCTCAACTTCGCCTTGGCTAAATCCCCAGAATGACTTACTTTGACTCCAACACTTGAGTGGAGGTTAGACTGGAAAGAGATAGTGATCTTAACTGATTGATGTTAAATCATTTTAATTATGCAATATTGTAGAAACATATGTTATGGACTGAATTATGTCACCCCAAAATTCATGTGTTGAAGCCCTAATCCCTAATTAGGGAACTATTTTTGGAGATACGGCCTTCAAAGGTGTGATTAAGTTAAACTGAGGCTGGTAGGGTGGGACCCTGAAGAGGGAGAGATATCAAGGATATTCATGCACAGAGAAAAGGCCACCTGAGAACATAGTGAGAAGGTGGCCACCTTCAAGCCACGGAGACAGACCTCAGGAGCAACAAACCTGCCAACAACACAATCTCGAAATTCTAGCCACTAGAACTGTGAGAAAATAAATTTCTATTGTTTTTAGGGCGCCCTGTCTCTGGTATTTTGTTATGGGAGTCCTAGCAAACCAGTACAACATTTGAACACAGTGTTAGAGCCCTTCCAGGGTCTTAGAAGGGACACATGCAAGCGAAGGGCTCTCAATCTTCATTTTCATTAGCTTTATGATAAATCCGCCCCTTTATGTGGCTCCTAAGGTAGTGCCTGGGACTGTAAAAAGTCTGGACAAGGAAGGAAAGAAGGGAGGGAAGGAGGGAGGAAAGGAGGAAGGAAGGAAGAAAGAAGCAATGAGCTCAGTGTCACAACAAGCCTTTGAAAGCATCTTTTCGTGATTACATGTGGGCATGGTAATGTCAGGGCAGCTTTTCCAACCGCATCTGGTAGAGAAGAGGAAGCAGAGACATTCAGAGAAGGGAAACAGCGTGAGATGAAGCCTGAGTGCTGGGCAGGCTTGAAGAGACATGAATTTGCAGCAGAGGTCAGATTACACAGGAATTTGTAATCTCAGTGTGGTGCTCTTTCCACCACCTCACAGCAGCTGCTTACTTGTGAAACAGGTATTTGTGCAGCTCTTTAACGCTTAGGAACTTCTATTAGAAGACACTGTGGTAGCAGATTGTATTTTCCAAAGTGGTCACTGTAGGATCTCTCATCATGCATGCCCTTCTTATAATATTTTGTTGACACTGCCCGTTGAGGGCTGGGGTACAAGGGTGAGGTGGTGGTTGGCTCCCAAAATGTTTGTATACAATGATGCTGAACATAGCAAAAAAATCTCCTTTATAGATAGAATTTTTTTTTTTATTTCTGTTTTAGGCATTTGTTTTTATGACATCTTTACCTTAGCACATGTATAGTCATGGATGCAGGCAAGGCCAGCTTTGCTTTTACTTTTTAAAAAATATTTATTGGTGAGAGTTAGGAAAACAAACTAGAGTAAAAATGTAGAATGTGACAGGAGGGTTTTTTCTGGTAGGATGATTCAAATGGCCTTTTTGAAGAGGAGACATCTGAGTAGAGAATTGAGTAAGAGAGGGTGCTGTGGTTTGAGTGTTTGTGTCCCTTCAACATTCATGTTGAAAACTTAATCGTCAGTGCAACAGTATTAAGACGTGGGGCCTTCAGGAAGTTATTAGGCCGTGAGGGTTCTGCCTTAATGGATGGGATTAATACCTTATAAAAACAGCCTCAGGGAACTGGCTAGGTCTTTTTGCCCTTCTGTTCCTTTTGTCACGTGAGGATACAGTGTCTGTCCCCTCTGGAGGAAGCAGTGCTCAAGGTGCCATCTTGGAAGCAGAGACCAGGCAGTCACTAGACATTAAACCTCCCAGTACCTTGATCTTGGACTTCCCAGACTCCAGACTGTGAGCAATAAATTTATGCTGTATACAAAGGCCAGGTCTGAGATATTTTGTTATAGCTGCACAAACAGACTATAGGAAAACATGAAATACTTAGGGGAATAGAATTCCAGGCAAAGAGAACAGGTACAAGGACCTGAAAAGGATTGCATGCATTTTTGCCTTCTGCAGGGAACTGCTATATTAAATGTTTTGGAGGAAAGATGCTCCCAGGATTGAATCTGGGTCCAGCTGCTCTATTGTTGTTGCTATTTGCCAGCTGAGCCCTCTTTGGATTCCTAGAGTAAGGTACATGGCTGACTATCCTGGGGCAGAGATGAACAAATGCATCCTGGAGCCTAAGCATTTTCATCATTTGGCTCACACACATATTAGACCATTGCAAGAAGGACTTACTTCTCTTCTGGAGAGTCTTTTGCAACATGGTGGGCTGTTTTTGTCTCTAAATAAACCACTGAGTTTTCCATCTTTACTGAAGCCTCAGTCCTAGGAGTCTCTAGAATCTTACTTTCTAGCAATTACCTTTTACTTGAAAATATAGGGCTTTACTTTTATGGATTACTGCTCCTAGCAGCAGACAGTCTCTTTGTGTTTAATTACCTGTTCACTGAATTTATTTGCTAAGATGTCAAGTGGGAGACAGTTTCAGCATTCTGGAAAGAGTATGGGTTCTCTGAGGTCAAAGTCATCCACCACTTAATAGCTATATGGCCTCAGGCAAATGATGTCTCTGGGTCTCAGCTTATCCATCTGTGAATGGTTACAGGTCCTTCTTGATGATGGTAAATACTTCTTACTTCCATGTGGCAAATCCTAAATAGCTCTTAATCTTTAACAATCCTTCACATGTAACAATTAGGTGTTAAATTACAGTAATTTACGTGGCAGATAGGGTAAGAGACATTCAAGTTCACGGTGAGCTTGCTCTTTAGATAGCTGGCTTATCTTGCTCTGTTGGCACACACACTAATTTTAATGATCGTTCACTCAGTTTTCCTGTTGGCAGTTAAACACTAGTTGCTGGCTCTTGAGAGGATCCTCAATCCTATTATGGGGTACAGAGGTTGGGTGAAGAAACAGTGTTCAAGTACTCTAACAAATGGCTCTCAAACACTGACCACTAAGAGATATGATTGGATCAGAGGCACTTGGAAACTTAGAAACTTGGCGTGGAGGGCATTGTCAGATTTTCTAAAGTATGGGGTCCAGGGTTTATGGGTGAGGGTCTCAATAATCATGAACAGTTACTGGAAAAGTGTTACTAGGGGATGTAATAAATAAATATATAATAAATAAATAATAACCATGACCCACAGAACATGGGTGTTCTGTAGGGTGAACATGAAACAATTTTTCACATCCAATATTTCAATTATTCTTCCTAAAAATTTTGTGTGGAAGGGAGAACAAATATTATTCTTTTCACTCTTTCATTCAGCTGCCGTTTATCAAACACCTATTGTGTCTTAGCAGGAATAGCCTCTTTCTCACATATACATGATCTCATTGAATCCTCAAGACAACCTTGGAGAGAGTTCTCAGGATTTCCATTTCGCGCCTGAGATACTCTCAGGAAGCTAAAGTGTCCCCAGATTAGGAAGTATCAAAGCAGGGATGATATTCAGCAAGTACACACCAATGTGGCTATACTTTAATTTCAATTTTTGTGGGTACATATTAGGTGTATATATTTATGGGGTACCTGAGAAGTATTGATACAGGCATACAATGCATAATAATCACATCAGGTAAAATGGGGCATTCATCCCCTCAAGGATTTATCCTTTGTGTTACTTACAAACAATCCAATTATACTCCTTTAGCTATTTGAAAATTTGCAATTAAATTATTACTGACTATAGTCACCCTATTGTGGTAGCAAATGCTAGGCTTTATTTATTCTTTCTAACTATTTTTTAATACCCATTAACAATCCCCACTTCCCCCACCCTACACTACCCTTCCCATCCTCTGGTAACCATCCTTCTACTCTATTTCCATAATTCAATTATTTTGATTTTTAGATCCCACAGATAAGTGAGATCATGCAATGTTTCTCTTTCTGTGCCTGGCTTATTTCACTTAACATAACGACCTCCAGTTCCAACCATGTTGTTGCAGATGACAGGATCTCACTTTTTTATGGCTGAGTAGTACTCTATTGTGTATATGTACCACAGTTTCTTTATCCATTCATCTGTCAATGAACACTTAGGTTGCTTCCAAATCTTGGCTATTGTTAATAGTGCTGCAACAAAACATGGCAGTGCAGATATCTTTTCAATATGCTGATTTCCTTTCTTTTGGGTATATACTTGCAGTGGGGTTGCCGAATCATATGGTAACTCTGTTCTTAGTTTTTTGAGGAACTTCCATACTGTTCTCCATAGTAGCTGTGATGGTTAATACTGAGCGTCAACTTGATTGGATTGAAGGATAAAAAATACTGATCCTGGGTGTGTCTGTGAGGGTGTTGCCAAAGGAGATTAACATTTGAGTCAGTGGGCTGGGAAAGGCAGATCCACCCTTAATCTGGGTGGGTACAACCTAATCAGCTGCCAGCAAATACAAAGTAGGCAGAAAAACCTGAAAAGGAGAAACTGGCCTAGCCTCGCAGCCTACATCTTTCTCTTGTGCTGGATGCTTCCTGCCCTTAAACATCAAACTCCAAGTTCTTCAGTTTTTGGACTCAGACTGGCTCTTCCTGCTCCTCAGCTTGCAGATAGCCTATTGTGGGACCTTGTGATTGTGTAAGTGAATACTTAAAATTAACTCCCCTTTACATATACATCTGTGTATATATATGTCTGTGTATATATGTATATATATGTGTGTATATGTATGTATGTGTATATGTGTATATATGTGTATATATATGTATGTATATATGTATATGTATATATGTGTATATATGTATATATGTATATGTGTATATATGTATATAATAAACTCCCCTTTATACATATTATACACACACCCACATATATATAATAGGATATATATACATATGATAGGAGATTTTATATACAGTGTATCCTATTAGTTCTGTCCCTCTAGAGAATCCTAATACAGTAGCTGTAGTAATGGACATTCTTACCACCAGTGTATGTGGGTTCCCTTTTCTCCACATTCTCATCAGCATTTGTTACTGCCTGTCTTTTGGATATAAGCCATTTTAACTGTGGTGAGACGGTATCTCATTGTAGTTTTGAATTGCATTTCTCTGATGATAAATGTTGTTGAGCCCCTTTTCATATGTCTGTTTGCCATTTCTTTTGAGAAATGTCTATTCAAATCTTTTGCCCATTTTAAAATCTGATTATTAGATTGTTTACTACAGAATTGTTTGAGCTCCCTATATAGTCTGGTTATTAATCCCTTGTCAGATGGGTAGTTTGCCAATATTTTCTACCATTCCGTGGATTGTCTCTTTACTTTGTTGATAGTTTTCTTTGCTGTACAGAAGTTTTTTTAACTTGATTAGATCCCATTTGTCCATTTTTACTTTGGTTGCCTGTGTTTGTGGGGTATTGCTCAAGAAATTTTTGGTCAGACCAGTGTCTTAGAGAGTTTCCCCAATATTGTAGTAGTTCCATAGTTTGAGGTCTTAGATTTAAGTCTATAATCCATTTTAATTTGATTTTTGTATATGGAGAGAGAGAGAGGTCTAGTTGCATTCTTCTGCATATGGATATCCAGTTTTCCCAGTACCATTTATTGAAGAAACTATATTTTCCCAGGCATGTGGGTTTGTTTCTGGCTTCTGTGTTCTGTTCCATTGGTCTGTGTGTCTGGTTTTTTTTTTTTTTTTTTTTTTTTCACCAGTACCATGCTGTTTTGGTTACTGTAGTTCGGTAGCATAATTTGAAGTTAGGTAATGTGATTCTTCTAGTTTTTGGATCTTTTGTGGTTCCATATAAATCTTAGGACTATTTTTTCTATTTATATGATGAATGTCATTGGTATCCTGATAGGGATTGCATTGAATCTGTAGATTGCTTTGGGTAGTATGGACATTTTAACAATATTGATTCTATTCATAAACATGCAGTATCTTTTTATTTTTTGTATTCCTTTCAATTTATTTTTTCAGTGTTGTATAGTATTCATTATAGAGATCTTCCACTTTGTTAATTCCTAGCTATTTAATTTTGTGGCTTTTGTACATGGGATTACTTTTTCAAAACTTATTTTTCACATTATTCATTTTGGCATATAGAAATGCTACTGATTTTTGTATGTTGATTTTTTATCCTGTAGCTTTACTGAATTTGTTTATCAGTTCTAATAGTTTTTGGAGGAGTCTTGAGATTTTTCAAAGTATAAGATCATGTCATTTGCAAACAAGGTTATATGAATTCTTCATTTCCAATTTGATGCCCTTTATTTACTTCTCATGTCTGACTGCTCTAGCTAGGACTTCCAACACTATGTTGAATAACAGTGGTGAAAGTGAGCATCCTTGTCATGTTCCAGATCTTAGAAGAAAGGCTTTCAGTTTTTCCCCATTCAATATGATACTAGCTGTGGATTTGTCATATATGCCTTTTATTATGTTGAGGTATATTTCTCCTATATCCAAGTTTTTGAGGTTGTTATCATGAAGACAGGTTGAATTTTATCAAATGCTTTTTCAGCATGGATTGAAATGATCATATGGTTTTTGTCCTTCATTCTGTTGATATGATGTATCACATTGATTGCTTTAGGTATGTTGAACCATTCTTACATTCCTGGCATAAATCCTGCTTGGCCATGATGAATCATCTTTTTAATGTATTGTGAAATTCATTTTGCTAATATTTTATTAAGGATTTTTGCCTCAATATTTGTCAGAGATACTGGACTTTAGTGTACTTTTTTTTTTTGATGTCTTTGTTTTTGGTATCAGGGTAATACTTCATAGGATGAGTTTGGAAGTATTTCCTCCTCTTTTATTTCTTGGAATAGTTTGAGTAGGATTGGTGTTTGTTCTTAAAGGCTTGCTAGAATTCATTAGTGAGGCCATCAGGTCCCAGGTTTTTCTTCACTAAGAGACTTTTTATTATGGCCTTAATCGCATTACCTGTTATTCATCTGTTCAGGTTTTGGCTTTCTTCCTGGATCAATCTTGGTAGGTTGTATGTGTCTAGGAATTTGTCTATCTCTTCTAGATTTTCCAATTTGTTGGCAAATAGTTGCTCATAGTAACCACTAATCAGCCTTTGAATTTCTGTGGTATCACTTGTAATGTGTTCTCTTTCATCTCTGGTTTTATTTCCTTGGATCTTCTCTCTTTTTTCTTAGTCGCACTAAAGGTTGGTCAATTTTGTTTAATTTTTCAAAAAAAAAAACCTTTTTGTTTCATTGATCTTTTGTATTTTTTCATCGTTTCAATTTCATTTATTTCTGCTCAGATCTTTATTATTTCCTTTCTTCCAATAACTTTGAGTTTGGTTTGTTCTTTTCTAGTTCTTTCAGATGCATCATGAAGTCATTTATTTGAAGTTTTTCTTCTTTTTTGATGTAGACATTTACAGGTATAAACTTCCACTTTAATGATGCTTTTTCTGTATCCCATAGGTTTTGCTATGTTGAATTTCCATTATCATTTGTTTCAAGAATTTTTTCAATTTTCATTGACCCACTGGTCATTCAAGAGCATATTGTTCAATTTCCATGTATTCATATAGTTTTCAAAATTCCTCTTGTTATTGATTTCTAGTTTTATCCCATTGTGGTCAGAGAAAATTCTTGATATTATTTCAATTTTTTGAATGTTTTAAGACTTGTTTTGTAACCTAACATATGGTCTATCCTTGAGAATTATCCATGTGGTGAGGAGAAGAATGTGAGGATGAAAGTTCTGTAAATATTTATGAGATTCATTTGGTCAATAGAGCAGATTAAGTATGATGTTTCTTTGTTAATTTCCTGTCTAGGAGATCTGTCCAGTTCTGAAAATGGGGTATTGAAGTCTCTAGCTATTATTGTGTTGGTGTTTATCTCTCTTTTTAGCTCTAATAATGTTTGCTTTATATGTCTGGGTGCTCCAGTGTTGGGTGCATATGTATTTACAATTGTTATATACTTTTGCTAAATTGACCTCTTTGTCGTTATATAGTGACCATCTTTGTCTCTTCTCATAGTTTTTGTCTTGAAATCTATTTTGTCTGATAAAAGTATAGCTACTGCTTCTCTTTTGTGGTTTCTATTGGCATGGAATATCTTTTTCTATCCCTTTATTTTCAGTTTATTTGTGTCGTTATAGATGAAATGTATTTCTTGTAGGCAACAGGTCATTGGATCTTGTTTGTTTTTAATCCATTTAACCCCTCTGCTTTTTGACTGGAGAGTTTAGTTCACTTACATTCAATGTTGTTATTGGTAAGTAAGGACTTACTCCTGCCATTTTGTTAGTCATTTATTTTTCTTTCTTTCTTTCTTTCTTTCTTTCTTTCTTTCTTTCTTTCTTTCTTTCTTTCTTTCTTTCTTTCCTTCTTTCTTTCTTTCCTTCTTTCTCTTTCTTTCTTTCTCTTTCTTTCCTTTTCTTTCTTTCTCTCTCTCTTTTTCTTTCTTTCTCTTTCTCTTTTTCCCTCTCTGCCCGCCTCCCTCCCTTCCTTCCCTCCCTTCTTCCCTTCCTTCCTTCCTCCCTTCCTTCCTCCCTCTCCTTCCTTCTCTCCCTTTTGTCCCTTTTTTCCCTTTTTCCTTCCTTCCTTCCTTCCTTCCTAGGTGACTTTCTCTGATAATGTGATTTAGTTTCTTGCTTTCTATTTTTTGTATATACATTGTCTGCTTTTTGCTTTGAGGGTACCATGAGGCTTGCAAATAGTATCTTATAACCCATTATTTTAAGCTGATAATGACACTTTTTTGTCAATAAAGAACAAGCACAAAAGAAAAAGAAAACTACAAAACTAATAAAGACTCTACCTCCCTGTGGCCCAGCTGATACCTGAAACCAGCAAGTCTCAGAGTTTCAAGCAAGGCCCTCAACATAGCACCTGGGTATCACTGCTGGTTATTCAAGGGCTCAAGGATTTTTCTGTTACCAGGTAATGAATCTTGCCAGGACTGGGTCCTTTTCTTCAAGGTAGTGGGTTCCCTTCAGGCCCATTTTGTATCTAGAAATGTCTGGGAGCTAGGGGCTTGGAACAGGGGTCTCAGCACCCTGACTGGGGCACTATCCTGCCATGGCTCAGTTGGTATCCAAGATGCAAGACAAAGTCCTTCCCATTCTTCCCTCTCCTCTCCTCAAGCAGAGGAAAGAGGCCTCTTTTGGGGCCATAAGCTGTGTAGCCTGAGGCTAGAGGAGGGGTAATGCCAGCATTCGTTTAGCCACGCTGGCTGGTGGCTAACTTGCATGCCCCCACAGTCCACTGGCTCTGAGCCCAGTTTAGCAGTAGGACTTGCTTAGAGTTTGCAGTCCTTGTGGCCTAGACTACCTTTCAAGTTTATTTAGAGGCCCAGAGCACTTTAGCCTTAAGTTATGAGGCTTGCAGGAAGTTAAGTTCAAATTGCTGGGACTGGCAATTCTCCTCCGGCTAGGTCTGGTTTAAATGCTTCCTCTGTGGGTGGGCATCAGCTGAGTTTGGTATGGTTTTGTTTTCTGCTATAACAAGGCTGCACTGAGTTCAATGCCTCACAATTTCTGTTCTCTCCTTTCCCCAGGGCACAGGAATACTCTGCACCACACTGCTGCTGTGGGCCTGTGGGGAGGGGTGGTGTTGGTGATTCAAGACTTTTTTTTCTACCTCTTCAGTGCCTCTTTCAGTGATAAGAAGTTAAAACCAAGTACTGTGAGTGCTCACCTGATTTTTGGTTCTTATGGAGGTGCTTTTTTTTGTGTGTAGGTAGTTGTTAAATTGATATCCTTGTGGGGAGGATGACTGGTGGAGCTTTCTATACTACCATTTTGCTCTGAACCCAGCTCTATCTCATACTTTTTATTTAAACATTAAAATACTTTAGAACCTTTGGTAAATAGCCACTGGAACCCCTCAAGCATTCCCATTCCTCTTCTCTGGTCCCTTCTTTCTGACCCCCAGAGATCTCCCCAGAATTTAACAACCAACCAGTTAATGCCTGGCATAGCAGGGAGCTGCCAGGACCCTGCATTATAGCCAGTATTGGTTCCAACTGATCAGTATGTCTGCCATACTAGTCAGTATTTGAATATCACCCCTGAAAAGGGGAAATTCAAATATGGAGAGATTAAGTAGATTGTCCGTAGTCACAGTTAGGACTCAAACCCATCTTTTGACTGTTAAGTTGAGTTTTGTTTGCTTGTTTGTTTCACAATACTACCCCATCTTTCAGTGAATGGAATTATACGTAGTGGGTCTTTAGATTTTACATTTTCTCTTTAAACAAAAATTTAAGCTTTATATAGCTTATTTATCAACAGACAATTTAATATACACTCCCAGCTTTAGTAGTGAAAAACTGAATGCTTTTATCAGACAAAAGCAAATAAGAAAAGAATCATCTCCAGACAGTTTGATTCCGACATTCTCAGAATTTGTAGGAGCATTTATGAGGGTGAAAACTAACACACTCTTTATAACGAGTATACTTCTATTCTCATGCATGTCTGATTTGATCCTTTCAACCATCATGTGGACAGAAACACCAACTAGCAGGAGTGTCTCTGAAATTTCTGAGCATTGGAGTGGCTTTACTGATGCCAAGCAGAACCTTTCTGAATGTAGAATTAGGATTAGAGGAAAGAATGCCAAGTCTGGGCAAAGGAAGTGCCTAAAGACAATGCCTAATAGTTACTAAGTCTCAGAAGTAAAAAAGCCTTATAAAGTTTTTAATTCATTTGGGCAAAATGCTTTAAGTGGTAACCATGAACTAGGCTATGGGAGGCTCTGAGGATACAGAGCCAAAAATCAGTTTCTACTCATAATAGATTCAAAAGATAATTGAGAAATAGACCAGTAAAAGTATGTAACTATATACTCTAGTATAGCAGTTTTGGGAACAGAAAGTGAGAGCTAACTATAGAAGAAAAAAGTATTGTCTCGTAGCCCTAAGCACCCTCCTATGGTTGGAATGATCCTTCTGCTTTCCAACATAAAAGTCTAACACTGGATTTTTCCAGGATAAGAGATTTAGTGGGTGGGTGCAGTGACAGAATAAAGAGGTCAGATTATACCAAGTGTTAGCCAAAGAGTGGTTAAGTGTTGGATAACAATGTCTAAGCTGGCTAGGGAAGGATGTGAAGCTGAGAGTTTGGGAGAAAGTGAGGGTTAAATGGCCTGGATGTCTTAATAAAGTCAAAGGTCAGCTGCAGGAAAAATGAGAAATGTTGGCATTCAGGAGTGCAATAGAGGAAAAGATTCAGGGAACACCATGGTAGACAGCTGAGGTGTGGTAGGCTGTTGAAGCAGCTGTGCTTCCGTGGACAACACAGGCTTCAGCTGAGGAATAGTCTGTGAAGAGACTGAGAATATTGTGGAATACAGGAGAGAGGATTAGGAGGAGGGAGACTGGAAGAAGACTGGAATATTATGGTTGCAACTGGAGTGAAGATAGCATAGAGCAGTATGAGAATTAAAGTAAGAAGGCATAAATGATTGGATGGTTGGCAATTTGGAGCAGTAGTCAAGGATGGAAAGGACCCAGAGCTGGCCTCAGCTTTCCAAATGAAGCACCCATTGAGGTTGCTTCAGTGCTCAAGGGATGCATGGATTCGGAATGTAAAGCACATGTCAGGGGATGTTTTTGTTTCAGGTTCCAAATGGAATATGGAACAGAGTGCCAATGTATGTCCATATACATTCTTGTCTACCCAGGCAAGAAAGGATTGCTCTGTTCTCAGAATCCTTACCTTGATTTGAAGAACTAATATTTCTGGGATAAGCTAGCTGAGGCCTATGTAGATTCTTCTCTAGAGGTATACTATCCCAAGTGTGCAGACAATGGAATTAGTTCACAGCATCTTGCCCTCATGTAGGAAGCATCATCAACCATCAACTTAGCAAGCTCGCCTCCCTGCGTTGTTATTGAAAGGATGTGGTTTCTGGGACAGTCCAATTATATGCAGATTCATTTTTATTACAATTTACTTCAAAAATCTAAAAGCTGAAGAAAATGGCTTTTCTGTTAAGAATCCAGGCCTTTGGAGGAGAACATTCTGTTGACTTTAATTTATATTTTTGACCATTACTTGCTTGGTAGGAGGGGCAGTAGTCTGTTCTGTAATAATGCTTTTTTCATTTAGTCCTTCTTTGGAATTCTTTATGTCCCTGATCCTCATAAAAGTGCAGGCTCTAATATCTTACCACTGTGAAGGCTTCTTAACTGCTTCCCTTCCTCCAAAATCTGCCTTCTCCAATCTATCCTAAAGATTATTATATCATATTTTCCCTAAAACATTATGTTTAAAATGTCAATATTCTTTGTAAGCTATCATTGGCTCCCCATTTCCTAAGTGAAATTAACTAGACTTCAACAGCTTTCAAAGTCTTCCACGATATGACCAAACACCTTCCCAACTCAAACTTAGGTTTATCCTTTGTAGGAGCCTACTTTTCTAGCCAAATTGATCTGTTGACTGTCTGTTGTTCAGGTCTATTAACTCACCTTTACTTCATTTTTATCCCTTTGCATGGAATAGCAACCCATTTTCAACTGCTTATTTTCTGCTTTCTGAATCCAGTCTGTACCAATGAAGTTCTATTGTATTGACTATAAATGCTGTGGGAGTTCACTTGAGGTGAATGTTGTCATCCAGTCATTCGAACAACATTTGTTGTGCTTATACTGTGTCTTACCCAATGGTTTAGATACTGTTAAGCAACAACAATAATTGCAGTTAAAAACGTGTGCTATGTATTCTTCTAAGTGTTTTTATAATAATTGCTTATTTAACCCAAATTAATTTAACTCAAATAATATTACTTTAATGTAAATGTGAACCAGGTACAGACTACTCTCTCAAGGCTCTCAGTCTTTTTGGGGAAGATAGAAAGTGAAAGGCAATCATGGTAGAGTTTGGTAACAGGGTTAAAAGGTGCTGTGAGATTACATACAGTATTAACTTTCTATTACTGTGTGACAAATTACCACAAATTTAGTGGCTTAAAACAACATGAATTTATTATCTCTTAGTTTCTATAGGTCTGAAGTCTGGGCACGGCATCTCTATATTTTCTGCTCATGGTCTCACAGGGCTGAAATCAACATGTCACCCAGACTGCATCTCATCTGGGGCTTGAGGTTCTCTTCCAAAGCTCACTGGTTGCTGGCAGAATTTATTTCCTTGAGGTTGTAGTAGAATTGAAGTATATATTTTCTTGCTAGGTGTTGGGTGTAATTTTCTTTCATCTCCTGGAGGCCTGTATCAGGTCCTTTCCATGTGTCTCCATGCATCCTCAATCCAGCAATAGCCCATCAAACCTCCTTCATGCCTCAAGTTTTTTACTTTCTCTTCTGCAACCAGGTAGAGAAAACTCTGCTTTTAAAAGGCTCATGTGATTAGGCCAGACCCACATATATAATTTCTCTTCTGTTAACTCAAAATCAACTGATTGGTAACTGTAATTACATTGACAATATCCCTTTTGCCAAGTAATATAACATAATAACAGTAGTAGTGTCTCATCATATTCATAGGGGAGAGAAATATACATGGAAGAGGGTCGTTGAGGGTCATCTTAAAATTCTGCCAGTGAACACATAGGATGAGCACTTTACCTAATTTTGGGATTGAAATGGAGATGAGTAGAGCAGGAGGAAAACATTTCAAAGAGAGTGATCTCCAAACAGAGAACTAAGTGATTTATAGAAATTAGCCAGGTCCCCGCCCGGCCGCCGCCCTGTCTCTGGGAGATGGGGGGGCGCCTCTGCCCGGCCGCCCCGTCTGGGAAGTGAGGATCCCCTCTGCCCGGCTGCCAGCCCGTCTGGGAGGTGTACCCAATAGCTCATTGAGAATAGGCCATGATGACGATGGCGGTTTTGTCGAATAGGAAAGGGGGAAATGTGGGGAAAAGAAAGAGAGATCAGATTGTTACTGTGTCTGTGTAGAAAGAAGTAGACATAGGAGACTCCATTTTGTTCTGTACTAAGAAAAATTCTTCTGCCTTGGGATGCTGTTAATCTATAACCTTACCCCCAACCCCGTGCTCTCTGAAACATGTGCTGTGTCCACTAAGGGTTAAATGGATTAAGGGCGGTGCAAGATGTGCTTTGTTAAACAGATGCTTGAAGGCAGCATACTCGTTAAGAGTCATCACCACTCCCTAATCTGAAGTACCCAGGGACACAAACACTGCGGAAGGCGGCAGGGCCCTCTGCCTAGGAAAACCAGAGACATTTGTTCACATGTTTATCTGCTGACTTTCCCTCCACTATTTTCCTATGACCCTGCCAAATCCCCCTCTCCGAGAAACACCCAAGAATGATCAATAAATACTAAAAAAAGACATTAGCCAGGTAAAGAAGGAAATAAGTGAAATGGGGAGGAGAGGGCTCCAAATGTGGGAGGGGTGATACTTGATACAAACCAATGTTCTTTTTTGTTCCTGATCCTTCTTTTTTCCTCACTTAAGTCTTTCGTTTATTTTGTGTGCATGAGTTTTTGTTTCTGATATTTTTCTCTGTACTGTAACCTGTCCATTTGTTTTAGGTGGAAGCTAGGGCAGGCAGCCTGGGCTTAGTGCTTTAGGGAAGAGATATGGCAATATTCAGCTTTTGTGTCCATAGCAGAATTTTTAAACTTGTGGTAGAGTCAGTAGATAAAAGCAAAAATTTTTTTCAATCTCAAAAATCAAAATCCTGAAGGACTCAGACTTAGAAATTGGAATTGGAAGACTAAGAATCTGTCAGAGCCAGTTTTTCCAAATGAGAAGATATGCATTCTTCCGGAGAGAAGACAAGAGAATTGATGAGAAGGCAATAGAGTTAGAAACTGGTGTGGGTATCTGACAGGGAGTCATATACCCTGAACAGAGCCCCGCCTGATTGAGGACAATAGAGTCACCAGATAGATTGAAGAATCTGAGAACAGAAGGGAGCTGGGTCCTCCTTCCCTGTTTGGAGTCTTAGGAAATCATCAATCTTAGCAGAGTTAGAAGACATTAGTGTGGAGATAACTGTGTGGGGTGTCTAGACAAAGAGGTCTGAAATAGCCTCATTCAGTTTTCTACCACTCTAGAGAGGTATTTTCCAGCATTCCTGACCAGGCTTAAAGACAAGATGCAAAAGAAGATGCTGGGTTAGTCTTTAGAACCAGAGACTACATGGACCAAAGCCTGAAAGCAGATGGCAGATGTAGGTGAGGAAAGTTGCTGATGAGTGGTCAATGGGGGTGTGGCAGTCCATTTTTGCATTGCTATAAAGAAGTACCTGAGACTGGGTCATTTATAAAGAAAAGATGTTTAGTTGGCTCACTGTTCTGTAGGCTGTACAGGATGTATGATGCTTACATCTGCTCAGCTTCTGGTGAGGGCCTCAGGGAGCTTTTGCTCATGACAGAAGGTGAAGCAGGAGCAGGCACGTCACATGGCGAGAGTGGGAGCAAGAGAGAGCGGAGGGGGGAGGTCCCAGACTCTTTTAAACAACCCAATCTCATGCAAACTAACTGAACAAGAACTCACTTATCACCCAAGGGATGGTGCTAGGCCATTCATGAGGGATCTGTCCCCATAATCCAATCACCTCCTACCAGGTCCCACTCCAACACTGGGAATTACGTTTCAACATGACGTTTAGAGGGGACAAATATCCAAAGCATATCAGGAGGATGCCCATCTCAGTAGGTGTCAGCAGGGAGAGTGGACAGTGCCAAAGTCATACCCAAACCTAAATATTCTCTAAGTTTCCCTGGGATTTAGATGAAATCACTGGAAGAAGAGGAAACTAAAAATCCAGAACTGACAGAGAAAACTTTGATCTGAACAAGAAAAATCTAATGTGACTAAGATTAAATTGCTATCTCTAGTTGAAATGGGAGCTTGAGCTAGAAATCACTTTTAATTCCAAAAAAAAAAAAAAAAAAGAAATCTACATTTCTAGATAGCCGAGTTTGTGTCCTGGGAAATTTGTATCTACTGTGTAATTTGGAAAATGGTGAAATTTTTGTGACCAAGGAGCCTGCAGAGGGAGATACTTGAGCTGGATTTTATAGGATTTGCAGCATGGACAGGAGTAAGTCCAATGTGAGTGGGGGAAGTGCATGTAGAACATAAGCAAAGGGAGAGAGGTGGCAATGGGGGCAAAGTGAGGATGAAGACTAATTGTAAATTCATGCACATAATTCATTCAGGAGAGCACATGGTTGGACATGGAGGGTGGAGCCAGTATATGGAGAGCCTTGCTGGGCCAGGAAGAGGTGGTGCAGAATAGTTTTGTAGGATTTTAAGCTTAATAGAGAGGGTAAAGTGATACAACATTTATTGAGTGTTTTCTGAAAGCCAGGCACTTTGCAAATAAAACACCATTTATTTATAATAACCTTCAAGGTATTTATGACCCTCAATTTACAGATGAATATACTGAGGTTCAGAGATGTTACATTATTTATGTAGATTCAAATAGCTGATGATTGGCAGAGCAGGATTTAAACTCTTGTTCTTGGCTTCAAAGCCTAGGAATTTCCCACCATACACCAGGCTCTCACTGGTAGATTTCTGAACAAGAGAGAGGCGTGAAAAATCAGTATTTTTGAAAGATTGGCCTGGCACAATTGTGAATGATGGACATGGAGAGGGAAGACTCTGGAGAGCAGAAACTGGAACCTTAATTTTGGGAGCAAACGATACAGGCTGGACTTGGGAAATGCTAATGGAAAAGAGAAAAAGGACATAGCCAAAAAATGTTTGGAAGAAAGAACCTGTATTAGATGGATTTGGTCATTGAGATAGCTTTTTTTTTTTTTTTTAAAGTCTTAATGATTTTTCTCTCCAGTTTCCAGTGGTTTCAACTACATTCTCTATAAACCTGCAGCCATTTAAAAAAATCATAAAACATTAAAAAGGAGTAATAGCCCAAGGCTTTCACTTTTGACAGGTTTATTCAAGGACATCTAGTTCTCATAATTAGTTTCCAGAAGGTGTGAGCTCTACCTACAGTGTTTCAAAGAAATAGTTTAACTTTCTCCAGGTTGTGTGATAGGAAAATTCATTTAGCCACTGTTGCAGCTTTCCACACATCCAGAGCTACACAGACTGTTTTTCTGTAACATACGGAGAAAGAACAATGAAGGCACAGTCCTCTGAGATGTCTGAAATTCATGCCCACGTTTCCATGGAATTTCTGGTAACAAGACATCTGGAACCTTGCTATCAGCAGTCTGCCACAAGCAACTGGTCCCTATTTCTGAGGTAGGTCTGCACAACAGAGGCTCCTGATGTTTCATGAGAGGAGTTAATTTTCTTTTCATAAGGCCTTGCTGTCACCTGCAGTTACATGAACTAAGATAAAAGTCCAGGTTCTGGATAATACTTCAGGTTCATTGGTTGCAAGCAATAAAAACAGATGCAGGCCAGTTTAAGCCAAAAAAAAAAAAAAAAAAAAAAAATCATGGGAAGATTCCAGGGTATTTTATGGGACTGAAAGGAAGCCAAAATGTCAGTGAAATTGGGCAGCTTTGGGAATCTCAGCAGCAGGACTTGGTGGACCTCTGTAGATTTCTGAAATTGATGTAGTCCGGCTCTGAGGACTGAGATGTCTCTAATTCAAATTCCCAGGAAATAATTTGGTTGACCCAGTTAGATGTGGGGCACCCCCTGTGTATGACAGGCCATTTCCAGAATGGGGACTCAGACCCAGTTAGGCAGGAATCCCATGACATGCCTACAATAATGGCCTTGGAGTAGGATAGATCCGGGTTAAATCCCAGCTGTTCTGCATTCATTCATTCATAAATATTTATTGGGAGTCTATTGTGTTCTATACATATTTTATACTTATGGGTGTTTAATAAATATGGGTTTCCCCTTTCTGAGAGGAGCGTAGAATATAGAGACATTCCCTGGTGTATGTGGGTTCTGATAGTCAAGTTCCTTAATAAAGAAATGGTTTATAAACATCCACCCTCACCCTCACCCTCACCGCTTCTATTAAGAATTAAGGCAAGCTACAGAGGACCCCTGATGGAGAAGGGTTATTTAGAGCAGTAAATGGCTAGGTGAACTACTGGATAAGACTTCAAGACTGAGTTTATAAGTGTGAATTTGTACAATTTTGCAGGAGAGTAAATAGTACCAAAGCCTTAAAAATGTATATTTTTTGACCCAGAAATTTTATTTCTAGGCATTTATCCAATGGAAATAATCTGACAAGTATAGAAATAAAATGTTCAACATAGCAGGCTTAGAATTTGGAAATACTATGAATGTCCAACAAAACAGGATTGGTTGAGTTTTATCATAATAAAATATATGTAATGGACAACCTACATTTTATTAATATCATGTAAAAGACTATTGAAAGATGCTAAGCAATGCAAAGAGCTTGTAAAACTGTATAATTCTTTTTTGTTGAAGAAGCAAGGAAAAGTATATATATAGATGATGTAATCTATATATAAATATATATAATCTATAATATAATATTGATTATATAATCTATGTATATAGATACATAAAGGTCTAGAATCTCTAGATATTTACGTATAAATACAATCTATATTATTTATATAATATAATCTATATATTGTATATAAATATCTAGAGAAAACTACTGAATTTTTTATTAGAGATATAGGGGTTTACACTTTTTACTTTTTATTGCTTGTTTGTATTTTCAAATTTTTAATAATAAAAATTACTATTTTTATAATTTGGAAATAAAAAATTATTAATATTTAAAAAGATCTCGGTGGTGCCAATTTGCTAGCTGGGGAAACTCTGCAATGAAGGACATTGTATTGTTTAGCTTCCTATTTTAATTAATCCACCAGAGCCTGCTTCACTTGCTGTTGTCAGAATCTTTAAGGAAAAGCTGATCTTTTCTTTTTCCCTGCCCCCTCCTAACAAAAGGAGCATTAAAATAGTTTTTCCTAGGCCACTATAGAACATCTCCAGTTGAGAAGTGACTTAGGGCCATTAAAAGGCAGTATTAACAGAAGGCTTGTGAGGGACTTGCAGATAAAAGTAAACAAGTGACATGGAAGTGCTGGGTCCTGCTGGGGCCGCAGGGTTCTTGTCCTCCTGTCCTGCAGTTAGGGCAGCCAGGAGAAGCCTGTGATTTATGTCTCTGCTATCTGCGCCTGTTATATTAAGTGGATCTTGGGGTAGATCATGCCTCTCCTTGAGCCATGAAAGCAGAACAATTCTAGTCTGCTTCTTCCCTTGGGCTGTTTTTATCTTACAAAGTTTAAAAGGAAGGAAAAAAATGGACACCCTTAGAATATCTACCAAGTACTTTTTTTTTTTTTGAGGATAAACTCTTCATTCTCTGCTGTTTAACTTGAAATTATAATAAAATGTTTCCTAGATATTATGTTGAAATAAATGACATGACTGTTAACCTCCCCAAGTCCATGCTTAGGCAGCTCAAATGCTGATGTCTTTTCTATTGATTGGTTGGCAAGGGCTTTCTTGAATTAAAGGCTTTATGGAGTAAAACCCAGCTGTATGTTTTGAATGTTAATTTCTGACCACTCTGCATCTCTGTATCTTGGTTTACTCATCTGTATGATGGAGGTCAAAATACGTATCTTAGTATTTTGAAGTTTAGGTATCATAAATGTAGTACACCTACCATGTGCTCTGGTACATTAGGATGCACTAAAACCTGATAACAATATCACAAATTAGGACTATACATCACAGTCATGGAAATTCAAATCAAAATGGCTTATTTAATAAGGGAAATTTATTGGCTGATATATCTGAAAAGATAAGGGGTAGGAGTAGCTTCAGGTGAGATCTTTCCTCTCTCCTCTCTTTCTCTCCTCTCTCCTCTCTCTCCTCTCTCTCTCCTCTCTCCTCTCTCTCTCTCCTCTCTCCTCTCTCTCTCTCCTCTCTCCTCTCTCTCTCTCCTCTCTCCTCTCTCTCTCTCCTCTCTCCTCTCTCTCTCTCCTCTCTCCTCTGTCTCTCTCCTCTCTCTCTCTCCTCTCTCCTCTCCCCTCCTCCTCCCCTCCCCCTCCCCTCTCCCCTCCCCTCCTTATTTTTCCATAGGTTATTGGGGTACAGGTGGTATTTGGTTACATAAGTAAGTTCTTTAGTGGTGCTTTGTGATATTTTGGTGCATCCATCTCTCGAACAGTATACACTGTACCCTATTTGTAATCTTTTATCCCTTGCCCCTCTCCCACCCTTCTCCCCAAGACCCCAAAGTCCATTGTATCATTCTTGTGGCTTTGCATCTTCATCACTTAGCTCTCACATATCGGTAAGAACATACAGTGTTTAGTTTTCCATTCCTGAGTTACTTCACTTAGAATGATAGTCTCCAATCTCATCCAGATCACTGCAAATGCTGTTAATTCATTCCTTTTTATGGCTGAGTAGTGTTCCATTGTATATATATATACCACAGTTTCTTTATCCACTCATTGGTTGATGGGCATTTGGGTTGGTTCCATGATTTTGCAAATGCAAACTGTGCTGCTATAAACATGAGTGTGCAAGTATCTTTTTCATATGATGACTTCTCTTCCTCTGGGTAGATACCCAGTAGTGGGATTGCTGGAACAAATGGTAGTTCCACTTCTAGTTCTTTAAGGAATCTCCACACTGTTTTTCATAGTGGCTGTACTAGTTTGTATTCCCACCAGCAGTGAAGAAGTGTTCCCTGATCACCGCATCCATGCCAACATCAATTGTTTTTTAATTTTTTGATTATGGCCATTCTTGCAGGAGTGAGCTGGTATTGCATTGTGGTTTAGATTTGCATTGCTTGCAGGTGAGATTTGATTCACCTTTTTTTTTTTTTTTTTTTTTTTTGAGATGGAGTCTCGCTCTGTCACCCAGGCTGGAGTGCAGTAGCCCGATCTCAGCTCACTACAACCTCTGCCTCCTGGGCTCAAGCAACTCTCCTGCCTCAGCCTCTTGAGTAGCTGGGACTTCAAGCGCCCACCACCATGCCCGGCTAATTTTTGTATTTTTAGTAGAGACCATGTTGGCCAGGCTGGTCTTGAGCTCCTGACCTCAAGTGATCTGCCTGCCTCAGCCTTCCAAAGTGTTGGGATTACTGGTATGAGCCACCGCGCCCAGCCTGATACACTCAATAGTGGCACCAAGGAAAAGTTTTCTTTTATCTCCCATCCCACCTGCTTTCCCTATCTGCTCTGCTGTGCTCTGCTCTCTGTTCCTCTTGATGCTCTAGGATCTTCTCTTTTGATTGTAATAGTTCTAGATGGCAGATTGTTACTTTCTATCATATAGAGGAAAAAAGAAAAAGTCTCTTATGGTATTTCTAGTTGCAGAGAGAAGAGGTTTTACTTTACCTGAAGCTGCAGCAACATATTTTCATGTTTCACTGGCTCTGACTTTCATTTCATTTCATACCAAACATTTTAGCCTGGGAAATGGATATGTTAATCAGCTTGGGTCAATCAAATTCCATCCATAGTGTTCAGGTTGAGTTGGATCCAACCCAAGCTACACAGCTGAGAATGGAGAAAAGGTGGCTTTATAAAGGAAATGTGGTACTCCTAGAAGGACAAGGGATAGATGGTAAACTGCAAACAACAGATGTTTATCCCTATGGTTTTAATTTGTGTTTCCCTGATAAATAATGATAGTGAGCAATTTTCATGTGTTTATTGGCTTTTCCTCTTTTTTAAAGTGACCAATTCTTTTGCTCATTAAAAAAAATTATTTCCTTACTGATTTGTAGGAGTTCTTTTTGCATTTTAGATATAAACACTTTGCCAGTGATATGTGTGGCAAATATCTTCTCCCATCTGGGGCTTGCCTTGTCACTCTCTTAATGGCATCTTCTGATGAACAGAAGTTTTTAATTTGAATAAATTTCAATTTATCAATGTCATCCCTTTGACATATACTTTTAATGCCCTGGTTAAAAACCCTTTTCCAACCCCAAACTATCATTGATGTTATTTTTATTGTTTATTTTACCCTTCACATCTAGGTCTGCGATCCATCTGGAATTAAATGCAGTATATGAAACAGGTTGGGCCTGAAAATGTTTTTTTGGAGAGAAAGTTTTAAATTACAAATGCAATAGCTGATATGTATTCATGTTTTTTGTTTGTTTGTTTTAGTTTTGGTAGTTGTTGTGTCTTTCCAAAGATGTGTTAATTTCACTTAAATTGTTAAATTTATTGGCATTAAGTTTTAGTAGTATCACTAAAGGATAAGGAAATATCCTTAAACATTAAAGCATTATTCTTTTAGTGTTTATAGTAGGGCTTGGCAAACCTTTTTCTGTAAAGGGCCAGGCAGTACATCTTTTAAACTTAATGAGCCATACAGTCTCTGTCACAATTATTCAACTCCTCTCTTGTCATGTGAAAGCTGCCACAGATAATAGGTAAATGAATGAGCATGGCTGTGTTCCAATGAAACTTTACTTGTGGATCCCAAAATTTAGATTTCATATAATTTTCAGGTTTCATACAATATTGTTTTTCTTTTGATATTTTTCTCAGTTATTAAAAAAAGTAAAAACCATTCTTGGCTTGTAGGATGTACAAAAACAGGTGGAGACTGGATTTGTCCCATGGACCATAGTTTGATACCTGTTTTATAGTGTCTAGAGTATTAGCTTCTGTTTCATTCTCTAATTGAAAATTGGTGCTTTCTCTCATTTTTTCTTGATTATTTTTGCTGGAGCTTTTCAATTTTATTGATCTTTTTAAGAAGACATTTTTGGCTTTGCTGCTTTTCTCTACAATTTGCCTATCTTCTATTTTACTAATTTCTGTTCTTAACTTTATTATTTCTTCTACTTATTTTATATTTAATTTGATTTTTTCTTCTTCTTATGGTAAGATCTTAGGTCATCAACTTTAACATTCCTTTCCTTTTTAAAACAAGAATTTCAACTTATATATTGCTCCCTCTAAGCATTATTTTAAATGTACCTCACACATTTTG
Organism: Homo sapiens; assembly: GCF_000001405.40. Lineage (NCBI taxonomy): Eukaryota > Metazoa > Chordata > Mammalia > Primates > Hominidae > Homo > Homo sapiens. The sequence goes on from NC_000011.10 coordinate 109,154,655, forward strand.
TTAGACTATATTGATACATTAATTCAGTTTATAGCATTTTAAAATTTGCCTTGTGACTTCTTCAAATTAAGGCTTATTTAGAAGTGTGTTGCTTAATTTTCAAATATTTGATATTTTTGTTATTTTTTTATCATTGGTTTCTAATTCTGTTGTGCTTAGAGAATATATTTTATAAGATTTTAATCTTCTGAAATCTGAGACTTCTTTAATAGTATGAAATATAGCCTCTCTTGGTGAACATCCCATGCACACTTGAACGAAATATTTACTTTATACTTGTTGGGTTAGATATCAATTTGGTCAAGTTGGCAAATAATTTTGTTCAAATATTCTATAACTTTCTTGAATTTTTTCCCATTCTGTCAGCAAATTTCCAACTGTGATTGTGGATTTGTTTGTTTTTCTGTTTGGTCCTGTTAAATGTTTGCTTTATGTATTTTGAAGCCCTCTTGTTAAGTACATCATCGCGCCCTTTTTCATTAAGGAGTATTCCTCTTCACTTTTGGGAATATATCCAAAAGAAAGGAAAGCAAGAACTTGAAGGAGATACTTGTACACCTGTGTTAGTAGCAGCATTATTTACAATAGCCAAAAGGTGAAAGCAACTCAAGCGTCCACTGACAGGTGAATGGAAAAACAGAATGTGATATATACATACAATGGGATATTATTCAGCCTTAGAAAGGAAGGACATTCAGATGCATGCTACAACATAGATGAACATTGAGGACATGCTAGGTGAAATAAGCCTATCACAAAAGACAAATACTGCATGATTTCAGTTACATGAGGTATAGAAACAGAAAGCAGCATGGTAGTTTTCAGGGGTTACAGGAAGGAGGAAATGAGAAGGTAGTGTTTACTGGGTACAGAGTTTCAGTTTGGAAAGATGAAAAAAGTTCTAGAGATAAATGATGGTGATGACTGCACAACAATATAAAGATACTTAATGCCATAGAACTGTACACTTAAAAATAGTTAACATTGTAAATTTTATGTATATTTTACAATTTTGTAAAAGTGCAAGAACCTTACAATGATATATTCTATTTATTTCTATACTGTCTTATGGTTGTCATAGATTTTACTTCTACATATGTTAAAAATTCTGCATAGTACAATGTTATCAATTTTGCCTTATAAAACATTAAGAGAAAAAGCTACAGTTTTTTATTTACCCATGTATTGGACATTTCTGGCACTCTTCTGTAGATCTGAGTTTCCATTTGTATTATTTCTCTTTAGTTTGAAGAGAAACTAGTTTAGTTTGCATCTCTTTAATTTGGCTTTAGCATTTCCTGTAGTGTAGATGAACTGGCAACAAATTCTTTCAGCTTTTGTTTATCTGAAAATGTATTTATTAACCGTCTTTTTAGAAGGCTATTTTGCCAGATCTAAAACTCTTAATTAACATTTTTTAATACTTTAAAGAAGTCATTCCATTTTATTTTCCCTCCATTGTATTTGATGAAAGGTAACTTCTTACTATCATTGTTCTTCTATACATAATGTGCCAGTGTTCTGACTGCTTCGAAGATTTTTTTTTTTATTTTTGGATTTTGACAACTTGGATATGATGTATCCAGGTAGGGTTTTATTTTTGTATTTATTTTGCTTGAATTTTGCCAGACGTTTTGGATCCATAGGTTGATTTCTGTTACCAAATTTGTGACATTTTCAACTATAATTTGTTCAAATAGCTTTTCTACCTCATTTTTTTCTCCTCTCCTTCATAGTGTCCAATTACATGTATGTTAGACCACTTCATATTTTTCCAAATGTAACTGAAGCTCTGGCAATTAGAAAAAGTTTTTGTTTCCTCTCTGTTTCTTCTATTCACTAAATAGAATCAATTTCTATTGATTTACTTTTGAGTTTATTTACTCTTTATTCTGCATAGTCTAATCTGCTTTAGGCTCATTTGGTGAAATTTTCATTTCAAATATTAAAATTTTTGATTTGAGAATTTTTATTTGGTTCTTTTAAAAAATAACTTCGGTTTCTTTGTTTAGGTTACCTGTTAGCTCATTATACTTATCTTTTTCTTTAAATCCTTGTACACATTTCTAATAGTTGTTTTAAACTTCTTCTCTGGTTATGCTAATATCTTGGTTATCTTTGGTCCCTTTTTTTGACTTCTAGTCTCTTAATTATGGGTCCCTTTACATGTCTAGTATTTTTAATTATATGCTGTGCATTGTGGATACTATATTGAAAGGAGTCTGGATTATGCTGTCTTCTTTTAAAGGATGTTGAATTTTGTTCTGGTGGGCAATTAAATTATTGGAGGAATTCCTTGATTCTGTCGAGCTTGGTTTTGGGCTTTGTTAGGGTGAGTTCATTTTTGTGTTGTCTTTAGTCTTAGAGCATAACCCTTATTCTAGGGTGTGGTCTTTACTCCTAAGGAATGGTCCTTCTAGGCTCCCAAATGATGTTCTAGGATTTTGAATGTTTTCACAACAAAGAACAATAAATGCTTATGGTGATAGATATGGTAATTAACATGATTTGATCATTATACAATGTATACATGTATGGAGATAGTCATTTTTATACATTGAGAAGACATGGGTAATGCATGAACCTAGCCAGTGCTGGCTTGATTGCCTCTATTACCTATTTCCTTTGAGCCAATCTGTGTGATATATCTTTAAATGTAAAATTTCAGAGAATAGAGACATATCTTAACCTGAGCTTGCTTCAAAAGGGAGCTCATGAGTATGTTTTAATGATAAGATCAAGAAACAGCATGAAAAATAATCTACTGCTAAGTATGGCTGGTGGCAAATTATTGTTAATAAACTAGCTGCCTTTTTTGAGTGCTGGCTCACTATCGTATGTCTGTTCTGCACTCACCATGGCGCTCATGTAGGTTGTATTACATTAAGTTAAATTCATCAAACATTTATTGGAGGCCTATTGTGCACAGGCAGATAGTCTGTGGGATACAAAATGGATCTTGAAAACTGACTGCAAGAAGAAAGTATCTTGGTTTCGTTCAGACTTTCAGTATTCACAAAGTTAATTCATGGTGTAACAATTCATATACCCAACAACAGAGAAAAATTAGAGAAAAATATAGATTTCTTACTATTCCATGTAGCTACTTGAAACAAATTATTATCTTAACAGCTGGCATCAGACTTTCTCTTAAGGAGGAAATTGTCTGTTTAGGGAAATATCTTGATAAGATGTTTCAACAAAAAGTGAGACATTGAAGTGATGGTTTAGTGGGGGGTAAAACAACAAAAGACATGAAAAGCTTTTCATTAGCTGTGAAGAGAACATTGTTGGAACGGGGAGGCCAAAAAGGAGGTGCAATGTGAGAGTGCCCTAGGATGGTTCAGAACAAAGATGTCTAATTTCAGTGTTAGGTGTTTGTGTTGTGGTGAAAGAAACTCTCTTTATATCCCTCCCACAAACCTTTAGTTAACTTTGCCATACACGCAAAGGCTGTGTTTGTGTGTGTGTGGCGGGGGGGATGGGAGGTGGGGGAGAAAGAGTGGAATTGGGGTAGAGGGAGAGAGAGAGAGCAAGAGCGATAGAAAGAGATGGAAAGGGACAGTATTCCACATCTGTAATGACACAACACTCAGGATGGGGAAAAAAACAGGATCATTAGGTGAGTCAATCTCTAAACTGAATGAATTCTGCAAAACTGTGGTAGAGGTGACTAAGAGAATGTGGATATCCACACCTTGGACCTTGAACGTAGAGATATTGCTGGGAAATCATAGTATTATGCATCAGTCTTGTCTATATCCTGAGTGTCCCCATGACCCTGATCATGTCAAAGCTGCAAGATACTGCCTTAAAAAATCTTGTTATTTTATTTGTCCTTTTATTATTTATTTTCTATATTATGTCTTCCCCATCCTCCCCATCCCATCCCTTGAATCTAAGCCTCTCGAGTAGGATCTTGCCTGTCTTGTTTACTGCTGTAACCCTAAAGCTTGGCACACTACCTAGTACAACAGTAGGCACTTGGTATGATTTGGCTCTGTGTCCTCACCCAAATCTTATGTTGGATTATAATTCCCAGTGTTGGAGGATGTATTAGTCTATTTTCATGCTGCTGATAAAGACATCCCCGAGATGTGATGATAAAGAGGTTTAACTGGCCTTACAGTTCCACGTGGCTGGGGAGGCCTCAGAATCATGGTGGGAGGCAAAAGGCACTTCTTACATGGCAGCTGCAAGAGAAAATGAGGAAAAAGCAAAGCAGAAACCCCTGAAAAACTCATCAGATCTCATGAGACTTATTGACTATCACGAGAATAGCATGGGAAAGACTGACCCCCATGATTCAATTACCTCCCCCTAGGTCCCTCCCACAACATGTGGGAATTCTGGGAGATACAATTCAAGTTGAGATTTGGGTGGGAACACAGCCAAACCATATCATTCCGCCCCTGGCCCCTCCAAATCTCATGTCCTCACATTTCAAAAGCAATCATGCCTTCCCAACAGTCCCCCAAAGTCTTAACTCATTTTAGCATTAACCCAAAAGTCCACAGTCCAAAGTCTCATCTGAGACAGGGCAAGTCCCTTCCCCCTATGAGCCTATAAAATTAAAAGCAAGCTAGTTACTTCCTAGATACAATGGGGGTACAGGTATTGGGTAAATACAGCAGTTCCAAATACAAATGGGAGAAACTGGCCAAAACAAAGGGGTTACAGGGCCCATGCAAGTCCAGAATTCAGTGGGGCAGTCAAATTTTAAAGCTCCAAAATGATCTCCTTTGACTCCAGGTCTCACATCTAGGTCACACTGATGCAAGAGGTGGGTCTTGGACAGCTCTGCCCCTGTGGCTTTGCAGTGTACAGCATCTCTTCTGGCTGCTTTCAAGGGCTCGTGTTGCCTGTCTGTGGCTTTTCCAGGCCCATGGTATAAGCTCTTGGTGGATCTAACATGCTGGGGTCTGGAGGACAGTAGCCCTCTTCTCACAGCTCCACTAGGCAGTGTCCCAGTAGGGACTCTGTGTGGGGGCTCTGACTTCACATTTCTCTTCTGCGTTGCCCTAGCAGAGGTTCTCCATGAGGGCCCACCCCTGAAGCAAACTTTTGCCTGGGCATCCAGGCATTTCTATACACCTTCTGAAATCTAGGCAGAAGTTCCCAAACCTCAATTCTTGACTTCTGTGCACCTGCAGGCTCAACACCATACGGAAGCTGCCAAGGCTTGCAGCTTCCACCCTCTGAAGCCACAGCCTGAGTTATACGTTGGTCCCTTTCAGCCAAGGCTGGAGTAGCTGGGACACAGGTGGGACACAGGCTGGAGCAGCTGCACACAGCACAGGAACCCTGGGCCTGGCCCACAAAGCCACTTTTTCCTCCTGGGCCTTCAGACCTGCAATGGGAGGGGCTGCTGTGAAGGTCTCTGACATGGCCTGGAGACATTTTCCCCAAGTTCCTGGGGATTAACATTAGGCTCCTTTCTACTTGTGCAAATTTCTGCAGCTGGCTTGAATTTCTCCCCAGAAAATGGGTTTTTCTTTTCTCTTGCATTGTCAAGCTGCAAATTTTCCAAACTTTTATGCTCTGCTTCCCTTATAAAACTGAAGGCCTTTAACAGCACCCAAGTCACCTCTTGAATGCTTTGCTGCTTAGAAATTTCTTCCGCCAGATACCCTAAATCATCTCTCTCCAGTTCAAAGTTCCACAAATCTCTAGGACAGGGGCAAAATGCCACCAGTCTCTTTGCTAAACATAACAAGAGTCACCTTTGCTCCAGTTCCCAACAAATTCCTCATCTCCATCTGAGACTACCTCAGCCTGGATTTCATTGTTGATATCACTATTAGCATTTTGTTGAAAGCCATTCAACAAGTCTCTAGAAGTTCCAAACTTTCTCACATTTTCTTGACATCTTCTGAGCCCTCCAACCTATTCCAACCTCTGCCTGTTACCTGGTCCCAAAGTCCCTCCCACATTTTTGGATATCTTTTCAGCAGCACCCCACTCTACTGGTACCAATTTACTATATTAGTCCATTTTCATGCTGCTGATAAAGACATACCCGAGACTGGGATGAAAAAGCGATTTAAATGGACTTACAGTTCCACATGGGTGGGGAGACATCAGAATCATGGTGGGAGGTGAAAGGCACTTCTTACATGGCAGCAGCAAGAGAAAATGAGGAAGAAGCAAAAGTGGAAACCCCTGATAAACCTATAATATCTCATGAGACTTATTCACTGTAATTAGAATAGCAAGGGAAAGACTGGCCCCCATGATTCAGTTACCTCCTCCTGGGTCCCTCCCACAACATGTGGGAATTCTGGGAGATACAATTCAAGTTGAGATATGGGTAGGGACACAGCCAAACTGTATCAGAGGAGGAGCCTGGTGGGAGGTGACCGAATCATGGGGTTGGATTTCCACCTTGCTGTTCTCATGATAGAATTCTCAAGAGATCTGGTTGTTTGAAAGTGGGTAGCATGTCCCCCTTCTCTCTTTCTCTTTCCTGCCAGCCATGTGAATATTTGCCTGCTTCCCCTTCACCTACCACCATGATTGTAAGCTTCCCGAGGCCTCCCCAGAAGCAGAAGCCTGTACAGCCCACAGAACCTTGAGCACAATTAAACCTCTTTTCCTTATAGATTACCCAGTCTCAGGAAGTTCTTTATAGTAGTGTGAGAATTGACTAATACAGTACTTGATGGATATTTGCTGAATGAAGGGATCTTTAAACTACCTGGATTACATACAGCTCACACTAACGTTGTTCTTTGAAATTTTAGTGTACTTTTGGTCAATACCATATAGTTTTGTCCTTTATTGGACTATATTTCTTTTCAAGTGTATTAGTCCCAGTAATTTTAAAAGTTATTTTGTAGTAAAAAATAAGGTAGCTACTTTCATCTTTATTAATTAGAAAATGCTTCATTTATCCCTCTCTATCTCTTAACCCCTCCCTATGTCTATCTTAACATCAGCCTGACAAATTCTGTTCCCACTAAAATAGTGGGATGGCTGGAAATAATTTATATAAATAAATAGGGATGTCATCCTAAAAAGAATCAGTAGGCGAGGTGGGGTACTTGTGGGATTTGGATGTGAGCTCCCATGTCAAGAGAGTACAGTTCATACTTTTTTTTCCTTTCCCTCTTTGTCGAATATGAAAAGATTCTTGGTGGAAACAGTCAAGGACCCTGCAAAGATTATATCCACATAGGAATGCTATAGTTCACCCATAGCCATTTTGAATTGGAAGTGAAGGCTCATATTTGAGAATTTCCATGGACATTTTTCTCTCAGTGGTGAACATTGTCCTGTTGATGATTAATATTTTTGTATGAAGTTTGATCCCCCAGTTTTTGACACTGAGATGCTGTTCATTGAACCTCCACTTTTGTCTCTCCTCAGCATTATTTGCTATTTCAGATCTCCCTCAGGAATAGGACTGTCAGATAAAATACAGGACTCTGAGTTAAATTTGAATTTCAGATACACAAGAAATAATTTTTTTAGTGGAAGTATATCTTGTAAAATTTGGGACATACTTACACTAAAATTATTTAGTATATATCTAAAATTCAAATTTAACTGAGCAAATGAAAAAGACCTTATGATTTCATTTGCTAAATTTGGCAACCCTATTTAGGGAGAAAAATCATTTTGGGCTAAGATGTTGAAATTCACATTTTAGGACATCTGTAGGTTATATGACAATATAAACTATCTCATGCTGGGAAGAAAGCATGGAACCACTGCAGTATGTTACCCTGGCAAGACCTAAACTGCTCTTCCAGGATTTTTCTTTTCAAAGCATGTGCCAAAATAATTTCCTAGATTGGAGTAATAAACTTCAGATCTTTTAATACCATGTACTGTAATTAGCTGGATAATAATCTGTAATTATTCAGGGAAAGTGAGCCCATGTATAAATTATTAGAGTTATAAACTTCGCTCTTTTAGTGGAGGAACTTTTGGCCTTTTCTAATTAACTGTGGCATTCAGAACCCTTTGATAAGTATTTAGCCCTCTCTGTCAGGCTGTCAGCCTCCTGTCCTTACCATCCTCCTTAGCCTCTCTCAACATTTTTTTGGAAAGGCCTGGCAGGTGATGGCACAGAGCCCAGACCAGGTATACAGAAAGCTGTGTGAGTTCCATGAAGAAGGCCAGGAAGACACTTCTACAATAGTTAGGGATACAGATGCCCACAGACAATGTGGCCTGGACACTGGGAACCCTTCAGGTGGAAAGTAGAGGAAGTTGTGTATGAAGGGTCCTTTGGCGCCAATCACCTCCCATGGATATTTCCAATAAGATATGCCTTCTACACACAGCACCTGCATCCAGGCACAGCAATTGTCAGAACTATGAAGTTAGAAAAGTTTATCATTACATCTCCCCTTGTTCTTTCTCCCTGAATCTTCTTATCCTATAATGACCCCTATATGCTTAATTGCCAATAGCTTGCTCACTTATCACTCTCCAAAGAAACTGTATTTTATTTAATTTTTAATTTTTCAGTTCTGGGGTACATATACAAGATATGTAGGTTTGGTACACAGGTAAATGTGTGCCATAGTGGTTTGTTGCAGCTATCAACCCATCACCCAGGTATTGAGCCCGGCATGCATTAGCTATTTTCCTAATGCTCCCCATCCCCCAACCTCACCCCCTGACAGGCCCCCAGTGTGTGTTGTTCCCCTCCCTGTGTCCATATGTTCTTACTGTTCAGCTCCCACTTATAAGTGAGGACATGTGGTGTTTGGTTTTCAAAGAAATTGTATTTTAAAAGAGGGTGTCTGGAAAGGATTTTTTGTGCCTTTATCTAAGAAGCAAATCTCTAATAGTGAAATTTCACACACTGTGGAGACGGTTGGGAAGATATTCTAGGAAGCTGGGACTTTCTGGTATTCCTTGATTCATGGCACATGAAAAACTGGTATAAGGCAAGTCATGTCTGGATCTTGATGTTAAATATCTCAGGGGAAATTTGGGGAGGGCTTAATGTAGTGACAAATTTTCCCCACATTTTGCCTCTGAGCTGCCATCAGGTGAATTCTCGATCCTCTGACTGAGGAGTCAGACACCCAGGAATCTGAGAATCTTTCAAATCTCCTCTGAGTCTAACAGACTTTGTATGTTCATTGTTAAAGGATCCCGAGAGTCTGCTTTATGCATTCAACCTGAGAGGGAAAAATCATCACAACAATTTTTATATTTACTGAGTGCCAAGTACGTGCAAGGTAACTTGGCTATTTTTTAAAATCTTCATAATATCCCTAAAAAATATCATTGGGCTTATTTACATATTAGCAGACTGAGGCTTCTTGAGATTAATGATTTGCCCAAGTTAGTGAGTGATGGAGCCAGAATTTGAATCCAGGTGTGTCTACATCTATTACGTGGACTGTCATCACTACGTTATTCTGTTAACAGCAGCACAAGGAGTGATACCTGACAAAGAACTGGCCTCTGTTTAAATTTTAGAGTTTGGAGGAAACATAGAGTTCATATAGTCCAAATTCTTACGTTTTAAAAGTTAAGAATCTGAGGCCAGGGCTTCTAAATGACTTGCATAATATCCCTCAAGTGGTTAGGGGCGAAATTGGAATTATAGCCCATATTTCCTATAAGTACTTTTTTCACCAACAACTCCATAACTTTGTGCCCTATGTTTCATTCACAAGATGGGTTTTGGTTCAGATTTGGCTAATTGTCGATCCTCATAAAGAGCCTTCCGACCAGCATGGCTGTCTGTGTAGCTTCTCACGGGATCAGGAATCAGGATTGCCTCGTTTTCTTTTTGCATGTCCCAGTCCCATACCAGGAACAATAAATAATTTGGTATAGTTGTTGTTGTTTTTATTGTTGATGTCGATGATGATGATGGGTGCCACCTTTTGGAAGCTTTGGATGAAAGAGACATAAATGCATCCTCTAGGTAATATGCACATAAAATAAAGCATAGACAGTAAAAAAAAAACCACAGTGCCTAATACCTGATGGATCAATTTGTTGGTAAAAATCAAATTCATTTTGAGGACCACATTTTTGATATTTGTTAATTTTTCTTGCCTGTAACCTGATTTATCTTAGGCCCTGGTTTATGTTGATATATATTGACTAGTGATATTTTTCACAAATGTCATTTCAACTAGACCCCACAACTGTTAGGATGAGCAAAACAATTTTTTTCACAACTGTTAGGATGAGCAAAACAATTATTATTACTTTTTTTTTTTTTTTTTTTTTGCTTTTAGGGCTCTATCAAGTACTGCTGCTTAGAACTCAAAGTCCCATTCAGCATTTAAAACCTAACAGGAATACTGAAATAACATGCATTTTCATTGATTGATGTCTACAAATAGTTACTGTCTTCCTGCTACAGTTTGCACATTGAGTAGGACATAGAGATATATAAAATGCAGTCCATTCTTGCAAGATATTTATAATATAATTGGCAAACATGTCTGAAAATCTATACAATAAAATGAGGCCATATAAGTCACAATTGCATGGTCTACATGATAAGATCAGAGGAGAGAGGTCACTTTGATCTGGTTTGAGCAGCAGAGACTTTCTGATATAGATAGAATAGTGGCTGGAGCTGAAGTTCTTTTAGAATAGTAAAGTGATGCTGAGTCAGCCAATGTGTTCGCTGCACTTTGACAGACAAGTGTGGGACCTAAAATGGTCTCAGTGAGTTGTAGCTGAGTGGTTAAGGCAACGAGCTAGAAATTCGTTGGTTTCTCTCTGTGCAGGTTTGAATCCTGCTAATTATGAGATGTTTTCCTTGTCAGTAAATTTACTTGCCTCATTGATATATCAGTTTGACAACCTAAAATTACCCGGAAAGGAGCTCCCTAATCATTTTTTACCACGATGGTGCAGACTTCTTGACTAAGCTTGCCCTGCTCCAGCACTCACTCAAATCTCTACTGCCAAAATGGCCTTGGTGAGTTGGAGAAAAGGTCAGGCATTGACGAACCAAGTTCAAGAAGGCAGTACATACAGAAAGGTGTGGTTCATTGATCCTTGCAACAAATTTTTCTTGAGCACCTACTCTGTGTATAGGATACAGTGGTGAGTAGAAGCAGATATAACCTGACGGAGATGTTGGGTGCAGCACATGCCTTTCAGGTTCTGTGCTTATCTAAGTCTATTATTTACATTTCAGATAATGAGGAAACTTTCCTTTCCTAGAGACAGAAAAAGGTGGTTGGTGCTTTTGGACAGAGAAAGGGCAAAGGATTAGAGAGTGGAGCATCTGACAGTAAATCACAGTGTGGCACTGCATTATTATTATTATTGTTTTCATTATTGTTTTAAAGGGAAGTCTAATATTGGCTTTGCATAAAGCATGTCTTACTAGGTAAGTGGTCACGTAATATGAAGGTAAATAATTTTTGTCATTCTCAGAGTCCAGGAATTTTGTTCTTCCATGGACTAAGACCACACAAAATAAAACAAAAGATTCAGGGTCTACTTTTTCCTATCCTGTCTTATGCCACTTTTCCTTCACTTCCAGCCTCCTCCTTATCCAGGCCTTCTGTAAGAAATAAATGGAAATATAGAGACCTGTAAGATGCCCTCCTCTAAAAGACCTGTACCCATTCAGATTCTCCACCATTTTTATTCTGCTGTAATTTCAAGCTGTCACATTTCTTTCCTGAATCTGGGCAGCACAATATCCTCAATATTAGTGCCTTCCTGACTTCCAGCCAGAGAGCTGGTCTGTTTTAACAGTAACTGCCATATTCATGCATAAGGGTTGAAGCTGAAACCCATTGTCTATGCAGACAGGGAAACTCACAGAAAAATTGCTGTGAGAAGTGATTGTTTGCAATTTGGTTGAAAAACAGCTTTGCTGACTTGGGTGCACTGTAAGATAATTTAGCTCTGAAGTACAAGCAATAATAACTGAGTCCTTTCTGAGGACCCTCATAAGTGAAAACCACAGCCGCAGTAGCTGAGCTGACTATGAGTTCAGAAAATGCCACCGGGAGCAGTTTTTAACCTCTGAGAAGCTGTTACATAAGCCTTGTAAATGTGCTGTTTTCATTTTTACTCTACAGGTGCACACAGCCCATCCATCCCCTCCCCTGTGCAGCTTAGGGTTTGGGAGAGATTCTGTCACTCAGCCTATTCTCTTACTTTTATGGCTAATGCATTTTAGGTGTAGGGACATGTCTTTGAGCTAATTCATAATAAAGGATGAAAGTCACTAGCAGGCTGAAAAAAGAATCTCTCTAGAACAAGTATTTTTTTCCTTTGATAAATATATCATTTGCCATGGATTATACTTAATTCTTATAAACAATAAGATATTTTGACCTTTAAAGAATATCTATCACCTTTTCTCAGAGAGTTTATGCCCTTTAGATAGAGAATTAAGGTACATATGTTCTAATGTCAGCTTTGTCACTGATGACTTTTGTGATCTTGGGCAAGCCTCTTGGTGATGGGATGGTGGTCAGTTTCCTCATCTGTATGCATCCTTGGCTGCCAGGACCCTAGACCAACCTGTGTTAGGCTCAGCCAAGGGCCACTCAAACCTTGAGCCTAAGCACAGGTTGGTCTTGTGTCCTGGCAGCCAAGCCCATCTTCCCTTGGGTCTATTTTCATGAAATGACAGACATGAGGACCTTTCCTCCCACTTTTCAGGCAAGAGAGAAAGGACATTTCTGTAAAGGTACAAGGCAAGGGACACAAGAAAATCTTAAGAGAGTAAAGAGGTAGATAATTTGGATCAATTTTGAGCCCTTATAGCAAAAGATGTTAGAGTCGGATCAATTTTGAGTCCCTATAGCAAGAGAAGTTAGAGTCAGAAGCTGAAGAAGCAGCTTCTGTGAGAGTCTCAGTGAGTCTCTGGGCATGGGCAAATCTGCTTTAGGGCTCAGTTGGCACAGAACAGCCCAGAAGTGGAAAGAGGGCTCTCGGCTTTCATCAATTACATGCAGCAGCTCAGAAGTGAAGAGGATTCCAATTAAAGCCTTTTTCTAAACTAAAGACTAGTTTAGTGGGGTCAACTAGTCTTTAAAGAAGGTGCCAAGAAAGGAGGTTCTGAGAAGTTGATCTTGAATCCACACAGTTTTGGGCACTGAGAAGCCAAAGAGACAACTCTATCATCCCTGGCTAGACTCCTTGACCACCAAGTGTCATTTCTACAGTTCCAAGCCTTGGCACACCGTCAGAGAAATACATTTTTATAGTGCAGAAAATGGTGAGGAAATTCGATGACCCTCCTATAGGCCAGAAAATACAGGCTTTCCTGGAGTTCTATTTTGTTGTCTTAAAAAATGAAACCTTTAAACTTTGGCTGAAACATGCCCTCCTGAGAGGCACACTTTGGAAGGACATACAATAGGGATGTTGTGAGATAGTTTACATGACTTTTTGCTGGAATCTGTCCATCTGCTCTGGCAGACAATGCTGGTAGTGCTGTGATGGAGAGCGTGGGTACACTTAATAGTTACCCAGAAATATGGCAAACTGTAGGCTGCAAGTTAAGTTTCTCAAGCCTGACACAATGGAAGGGGAATGAACTGTGGCTACCTGTGTGTGCTATTGTTCTTACAGAAAGCCACAGTGCATTGCTTTTCACTCTGTTCCACAGAACCCTAACTTTTCCTCAGTGCCTATTTAGAGGACATTTCAGTGGACCTAGTGAATGGGGAAGGATGGTGAGAGGCAGGAGGCCAAGGAGACGGGACCTGTGCTTTAAGCAGAGCAGCTCTTCTTTGCACATTGGGCCACTTCCTTGACTTTAATTAAACAAAGCACTCCTTACCTAAATCACAGCCACTGTGATAGAGGCTATGATTAGAAGGAAGTGGGTAGTTTACAAGTGCCTCTAAAACTCATTGCTAGGAAAGCTTTCATGCAGGCTCAGGCTGCTGTGATAACATAAATAGGTTTCTGTTCCCTGGGCTTCATGGGCATAATGTGAGAGAAAAAAAAGAAGACGACCTTCAAACCATTTGGAATAGTCACCAAGCCCTTGCCAGGGATGAGGAGACAGTGCAATTGGCTGACTTCACATTTCAGAGCGTTGTCCAGGGAGACTGCAAAGGCCACCAAACTTGGAGGTGGCATCATCCACCCCTAACGTGTGAGTGTTTCTGAAACAAGGGCCAGGGACTTCCTGAAGCAGAAAATCCGCCATTTCATTATTGTTGGCAGAGGATGACCACTTCCTGGAAGACTGCAAGTTCAGAGAGCCTATAATCAGTGATAAAGAAACAAATTCTGCTTGGAGCAGAGGAACTATACACCCCACTCCTCCTTTCTATTCGACCTTATCCCAATTCTCCAAAAGAAAGGTTCAGGTAAGGGAGAATATTCCCTAGTTGTATCTTATATTTGAGGGCTAAAGAACCTCTTGAAAAAGAGGCATCAGAGGTAACTCCATTCTCTAAGTCACTCAAATCAGGAGCCTTGGAAGCCTCCTGGACTCTCTCATCTCACATTCATCCATCAGCTACTTTGATTGAGTCTTTCCTCAATAGAAATTTAGAATCCCACTATCTTCACTACTTCTCTAATACTCTGGTCAGTCTCCTTTTCTCTAATTTGGATTCCTGCAGTTGTTTCCTCACTGGTATTCCCACTTCCACAGTCTCTTCTCAGTAAAGAAGCCAGGGTAATTTTATTATAGTGGAAGAAATTCAGTCATCATGCTTTCCTGCTTAAAACTCACAACACCCCATTTCACTCACAGTAGAAATCAGTATCTTTATAATGGCCTGTGGGACCCATCTACATGATGTGGTTGTTATTCCTCTGAACTTATCTCCTACCCTCTTCATCTCTCACTGGGCTCCAGCCATACTGGCTTTCTCAATGTTACATGAATATTCTGGATCACTCCTGTTTTAGGATCTTTGCATTGTCCGTTCCTTCTGCTTGAAATGGTCTTCCCACAGGGAGTTCTCTGGACACCAGAATGTTAATTTCGTCACGTTCTTCAAGCTTACCTTTTCAATGAGGTCTTTCCTAACTATGCAATTTAAAATTTTACCTATCCCCTGTTTACATGCTTGCCACTACTTTTACTTTGTTCTACTTCTTTTCCCCCAAAGCCCTGGTCACTTTCTAGCATACTATACAGTTAATTTATTTATTAAATTTATTTTGTGCCTTTCCCTGGGAGATTACAAACTCTATTAGGGCAGAGATCCTTGTCTGTTTTCTTTACTACTATATGCAAAGTGTCAACTAGGCATGGTGGCTCACGCCTGTAATCCCAGCACTTTGGGAGGCTGAGGTGGGCGAATCATGAGGTCAAGAGATTGAGACAATCCTGGCCAACATGGTGAAATCCCGTCTCTACTAAAAATACAAAAATGAGCTGGGCGTGGTGCTGCCTGCCTGTAATCCCAGCTACTCAGGAGGCTGAGGCAGGAGAATCACTTGAACTGGGGAGGCGGAGGTTGCAATGAGCCGAGATTGTGCCATTGCACTCCAGCCTAGGTAACAAGAGCAAAATACTGTCTTAAAAGAAAAAAGCTTTTCTCAACAACCTTTGCTTTCTGGTCAGAAAATTATGGATTCAGAAAGTTAGATAGCTTGTTTTATCTCTTCCCACTCAATAAGGCTCTTGCAATAAGTATTCAGCACTTATTATGTGCTTATAGAATACTGTTAATGCTCCCAGAGTTAAATTTTAATAATAATCCTCAAGGAGAAGAAAAGGGCAAAACAAAACAAAAACCCCAAAAACAAAAAAACAAGTGATGAGGACTAATTCCATCATCCTAAAGAGAAGAGCTATTTTCGGTATGTGGGGTATGTGTAAGGTAGCAGTTGCAGCTAACATGAATGTTCTGGTTGGTGTTGGCTAATATTTCTAGTTGTTAATGAATAAACCGGATAAAATGCATTATAGCATTCAACTCAGTCTCACATCTCCTTTAGTAAATGAGGGTTTCTCAGGCCTGAGTGGGACCTGGAACATAGAGACCCAATGTGGTTGGGACCTTTTGAGGTCCTGTTCATCTCCTGCTGATACCCCCTGACATAGGTGTATCTCCTGTTTCCTAATCTACTGGTTTGAATAAGAACATGTGTGTTTGGGAGAGAAGGATGAGTTGTATCTATATTAACTGGAATTATTGTTAAGAAAGTTCATTTTTCTATGATTTTAACTTGATACATAATATTTGCACATGTTTTTATGGTGCACATGTGATGTTTTGTTACATGCATAGAAGGTATAATAATCAAGTCATGGTATTTAGGGTACCCATTACCTTGAGTCTTTATCATTTCTATGTGTTGGGAACATTTCCAGTCCTCTCCTCTAGCTATTTTGAAATATAAAATATATTGTTAACTATAATTACCCAGCCTTACTATCGAACATTAGAATTTCTTCCTTCTATGTTTGTATCTATTGACCAACCTCTCTTGATAAGATAGCTATAAATACATGAAAATATGAATTGTTTAAAAACCACATGGTTGTGAAGTTTTGGCCGAGCACAGTGGCTCATGCCTGTAATCCCAGCATTTTGGGAGACCGAGCAGGCAGATCACTTGAGGTCAGGAGTTCAAGACCAACCTGGCCAACATGGTGAAACCCCATCTCTACTAAAAATACAAAAATTAGCTGGGTGTGGTGGCACGTGTCTGTAATCCCAGCTACTTGAAAGGCTGAGGTGGGAGAATGGCTTGAACCTGGGAGGCAGAGGTTGCGGTGAACCGAGATGGTGCCACTGCACTCCAGCCTGGGCGACAGAACAAGATTCCATTTCAAACAAACAAAACAAAACAAAAAGCAAACCACATGGTTGTGAAGTTTCTATTTGAACCCCATTTTATAGTTCCTACCAACTTGCCACATTCCTGCCTTATTGCTCTCCAGAACACGTTTCACCATCCCCTATCTACCTGTACAGAACATCTTCAAAAAATTGAAATAGAAGTAAGCAAGGAGAGGGGAACATATGGTCTATTCTTTATGTTAATATTTGCAAAAGAGAGTAAAATGAGCTTCACAATAACTGAGCCCTTCCTTGGAATTATACCTCACTCAATAAATGTGCAGATAAACATTTTGTTGGCAATCAGCAAAGCTGAGGCAGTACACACATGTCAGAAATCAAATGCATAAGACAGGCACTGAAATCATTCCTGAGCTTAGGGCAAGGCAAGTTCCCATGGTTGATTTCTATTGCCTCCAAGCTTTCAGACAGGAGAGAGAAGACCAAAATTCCTAAGGCACAGGTTGACCATCCCACCAGGGCCTGGAGAGTTTCTTTTCTGTGTTCCACACACTCTGCGCTCATGGATTGGATCCTGGGAAATTGATTTCATCTCTTCCCCAGCTTCTTGTTGATAATGGTCTTTTCATCTGAGCATTGGGTGAGTGATTGCAGTGACCCAGTTTGTTGTAATAACATGTGCATAACTGTATTGTGTGTTTTTACACTGCCTTAGGATATGGTAATGACTTTATTAGAACACAAGCGCTATTTTCTGAATTCTCTGCTGTGTGATTTGAGAATATTACCATCCTGTGTATGGACTTGCCTCAAGTACTACAGTTAAAAAAAAAAAAAGCTTCCACTAAAATGTAATAACTCCAAAATGGAATGATGCTTTCTGAATCTGCTCCTTTTTACTTCTGATCTTGATGACTTTTACTTATTAATGTGTACCTGTAAGAATTGCTCAGAGGCACTGAAGGTGTAAAATGTACAGAAAGCCGACTTTTACTGAATGCAATCTCTTTTGGTGGGTATCGGTCAAATGAATCCTCTTAACCTCATTTGGTCAGATTGAAAAGGCCTTCCTGTCTCCTATTCCGTATCTTAGTGGTTTGATGGCTTTTGTGGATAAAAAACACAGACTGATATTATCTTAACACAATTTCAGGAGTCCCCAGCATATTGGCAAAGACAGTAATGATTTAAAACCCCTCAGCTGCTGTATGACTAGCAATACTTATTCTGGGCCCCTTCTTCTAAGGTATCCTTTCTCTTTTGGGCCAGGCTCAGACTAGTGATTTGACAGCTGGCTTATTAGTTGCAGGATTTGAGTTGAAGGTTTAAATTGTTTATTGGTGACCTCTGGGTTCCAGTTACCTGCATCTTCACATCTTTCAACAGAGCAATTGTGACCCCACAGGCTCTCAATCAGTGGTGGTAGTTGTGGATCTTTCTTTCTTCCTTCCCCCTGTATCTCCCTCACAGTCTATGTGGTCTGGGTAAAAACATACCATGAGAAACTTTGAGAGAAACAAAAAGCAAGCAAGTTTTTTAGTGTGTTAGGCAAATAGCACACCAAAGTGTGCAAATGGTTGAAAATGAGATTTGGGGTTCAAATTCCGAAGCCATGGAGTAGTTGTAATTCATCCCAGAATGTGTTTTTTACCTTCTGTGGCTTTAGTCCAGTGGTATATTCTGTCCTGGGGGCATGAGGAGTGCTTCTGGACTTCTGGTTATTTTAGATATTTCTATCCCTCACTTGTCCTCCCTTCTATCTCCTGGTTTCTGAAGTTGAAGATTTTTTGGATGGTCTGGTCCTTTGGGTCCTGCTGGGTGAAGTGTGGCAACTTGTGATATCAGGTGAGATTTGCCCAGAGGGAAGTGGAACTTTTCAGGGCAACTTGCTATGGGCAGACCATGTGTCTTAGGAGTAGAGCCTGTGTCTAGGCACATGTCAATAAGGGAAGAGGGAGAGGTTACACTGGGGTGTTGGGAGCATGGTGGTCAGTTATATCAGAATTAGGGGAAGAAGGTTGGGAGTTATATTCTTATATAGTGAAAGTTGAAAGTGGAAATTATCATCTTGGGCTACTGTTCTTGCTGTAAAGAAGCCCATTGACATCTGGGCTGATCAAGACCAGAGCAGACCTCCAAATCTGTATCCCAAGGCTGTGTTATTCCTTTGCTCATTCACTTGTTCACTCATTTGTTTATCCATTCCATCCATTCTACTAATCCATTCATTCCAGGCTTTCACTTTGGCACTTTTGATACAGAGAAAAATGCCATAGTTTCCCCCTGGCCCCACCCTTGTATTTAATGGGAGAGACAGAGGGCACAGATGGGTTGGTGATGACAGCATGGTGTGGTGTTGTGTTAAAGGAAAGCACAGTGCTGCATGGGGACACAGAAGGGGGGCATTCCACACAACCTTGGAAGTGAGGCCTTACCTGAGTCTTAGAGGATGAGGAAGGATAGCCTGGTAAAGAAGGAAGAAAAGGGTCTTCTGGGCAGTGGGGCTGTATCCTATGGTGAGGTCAAAGATGCTTTTTCAAAACTTTTTTTTTCTCCATCTTCAGACTGACAGGAGGAGGCCTGGTGTTGGCTGGGATAGTGTTTCTTGCATGTTCACTGAACTCATCTGACAACTTAGAATCTTTTTTGCTCTGGGTGATTATTTAATTCTCTGGAAAATACCTGCAGCCCACTGCTCAATTGATTTCAGGGAAGATGGAGATGTGTGTGCTATATGGATAGAGCCTTCTCTAGGAATCCTGGTTTTCTCTTTAAAGAACTCATAACAAACTTTATAATGAAATTGTTCTGGTTAAAAAGAATCCCTACTAGCTGATAAAAGCTTGAATAGTCTTTGGGATTTCCCTCTAAGATTTATTTTCGACTGAGAGAACTGAGGTCGGAAGATGACAGTTTACAATGGTGGTTGAAAGGGAATTGTTAAA
The DNA here is from genome assembly GCF_000001405.40 of Homo sapiens. Classification (NCBI taxonomy): domain Eukaryota; kingdom Metazoa; phylum Chordata; class Mammalia; order Primates; family Hominidae; genus Homo; species Homo sapiens. The sequence continues at coordinate 109,174,282 of NC_000011.10, forward strand.
GAAATGTTCTAGCAAAATGGAGTCAAACTCACTAGCCTGGTGCTATTCTTTGAAGTGAAGACCCAGCTTTGATCCTTTCAGACTGCAAGACTGTACCAACAGAGATTCACAACATCCAGTGTCTTATCATTTATCTTGCTCCCAAAGTAGACCATTCTTCCTTCTGCTTAGCCACATCTTGTATTTTCACTTCTGGCTTTCTCAACATGCCAGAGAGAGTAAGAGGTATTACTAACACCACAAACAACAGATGCTCTTTCTGACAATTGGAAAAATTGCCAAAGGTAAAAGAAGCCTTTTCCAATATCACACTAAGGTATTGGAATGCTTTTTTCTTCCTTTTAATGAAACAAAAAAGAGAAAAAGAGGCCCTAGGGTTACACACTGCCAACTCTCAGCAAGCCCAGGATTTTAGCCATGAGAAAGCTATATTTCTTCTAAACTTGAAACTTGTGTTTTCACGAGGGTTAGTATTAAACACTAAGTGACAAGAGGGGGCAGTTGGGTGACAAGTGCCCAACTGAGGCCTGCTCTGAAAGTTCAGAGGTTCTGATTTTCAGACAGAGATGATTACTTCCTCAGATATCTGACGTATGTTTAGCCATGAGGAAACGGTCCAGATCAGAGAAACCTTTCTAATGAGCTGGGGGTAGCTACGTCCTGGTGGTGGTTTGAACAAAGAATTAAATGAACAGATGAGGGAGCTTTAAGTACATACAGAAGATTGGACCTATGACCTTGATCTCATGCACTTGAAGTTATTAAAAGGTTTATGGTGGGAATGGTAAAGTAGGGACATTAGCAGGAAGCATACTCATTGGTATCAAAAAGATTTGGATTTCAGATCTGTGTCTCCCACTTATGACCTGTTTGGTTTTAGACAAGATACTTAACCTCTCTGATTGTTCATTTTCTCTTATATAAAATGGAGATAATTAATTTCAAGATGAATATTAAAGACTAATTAACTAATATGAAGATAAAAAGAAGGAATGTATGAAAGTGCCTAGTATGGTACCTGACATTCAACAGAGAACACTTGAAATAATAGAAAAGATGAACCACAAGGCAAGACATGTGGGTAAGACAAGACCTGAAGCACAGGCGAGTGTCTTCACTTATGCCTAGGACAATGGAAAACCTTTGTAGGACCATACAGTTGAGCTCCCTCACTTCAAGGTCAATAACAATAAAATAAAAATAACAACAACAATAATGAACTTGGGTCATAGTAGGATCCTGATGCTGTTAAATGGTATGACCAGTGACCCAGTGACACAAATGCTGTCCTACATCCATTTCTCTTTTTCCCTGTTTAGGTCCTGAGCTTGAAGCCTAATAAGTACTGCCCTTCTTTCAGAACTTAGGGTCTGAAATCTTATTAGAAATATGTAGGAAGTAGAGAAGTAGAACTAGCTAGTTTGTTTGTAGAACAGTCCCTGGACTCAACTCATCTACCCTGCAGAGAGCAGGCAAAGCCAGCTCTCTGGGCAGTGTATTCACCCACCAATGTGCATGCCAGAGAAGAAAGGTCACAGATCACAGAGTGATTCCTGCCCATTAGGAAGCCATGACCCAGTATACCCCCTACAGCAACTTCATCACTGGGAAACAGGGTAAGGGGAGGGGACTGAGAGTTTCTCCTCCCTATAGTAAGAATGGTAGCTAGCATTTACTGAATACCCATAGGCAGGCCTGTCTAGCTCCGAATCTCATGCTCTTAACTTCTCTGCTAGGAGGCACCAAAAAGGAAGGCAGTGCAACTTCTCAGATCTAAAAGACAAGAACATATGGCCAGGCATGGTGGCTCACACCTGTAATCCCAGCACTTTGGGCGGCTGAGGCAGGTGGATCACTTGAGTTCAGGAGTTCAAGACCAGCGTGACCAACATGGCGAAACCCTGTCTCTACCAAAAAATACAAAAACTAGCTGGGCATGGTAGTGCATGCCTATAATCACAGCTACTTGGGAAGCTGAGTCAGGAGAATCACTTGAACTTAGGAGGCAGAGGTTGCAGTGAGCCAAGATCGCACCACTGCACTCCTGCCTGGGGGACAAGAGTAAAACTGTCTCAAAAAAAAACCAAAAACAAACAAACAAAAAAAAACAAGAACATGAATCCTTCATTTTGAAAATTATCCTAGATACAGCATATATCAATGCCTTCTTTTCTCCTTATCATTTACGTTTACAGAGTGTCCTTACTCATACCACACTTAACCTTGAGTGTTCCTGTTCCTGCTCAAGCTTTTTACACTTTGTCCAGCTTGGTAGATAAGTTACTTTATTTTCATCTTGGAAATCCACACTGAGAAATTTGCATCAGTTATCCTCTTCTTTATTAAAAATTGGCTTATATTGCAAGGTAAGCATTGTGTTCTCAGTGTACAGAATCAATTTCATTTACATGTTAATAGAGTTTGGTCTGGATGATGCGATAAGATCTTTTTTAAGCAAACACAGGCACCCTGTTAGAATGCACCAGGGAGTCTAGTAAAACAGAATAAATCTAGCTATTTCATTAGATGCTTCTAATTTTATACTCATGATTCTAGAAAACTTTGCCATCCATGTCTTGTCTGAGGAGACATAGGACAAAAAACCTAGCTGGATCACAGTGAATATATCTCTTGTAATGGGACCTCTGATTCTCTTCTGTGTACCTTCAGAAGAAGCCTGATGACTTGATGGAAGGGTTTTATAAACAGGAAAGCCTTACCCTAATATTACTATTATTTCATTGATAGTTCAGCTCTATTCAGGGAATGTTTATTAATTGTTTTTATGTGCCTGGCATATTCTGGATATTTTGGAGAGTTAAAAATAATCACAGGACTTAGTTGTTTCTCTCAAAGAGGTCATAATTTACTGGGGATATCAGGGATTAATGAAAGAAATAAGCCAGAAAATTTAAGTGGTAATTAAATGTAGAAAATTTTAAAAAATATGTTTTGGAGAATAAACATATCAGGGATGCAGTTTTCAACCACAGTATCATTATACACTTGTGTCACACTAAATTGTGAGGTTTGTTGCGAGTAATTTTTTAGTAATAATAATTGAAGACCTGCAATTTGTGAATTATTTATTTTTCCTATGCATTACAATGAAGTCAGTGTAATTCCTAAAAGTATTACTTGTTTGCATGCTGAAATGCCTTCTTTTTTTTTTTTTTTTTTTTTGGGTATTCATGCATTTATTTTTTTTTTATTTTTTATTTTTTTTGTTATACTCTAAGTTTTAGGGTACATGTGCACATTGTGCAGGTTAGTTACATATGTATACATGTGCCATGCTGGTGCGCTGCACCCACTAACGTGTCATCTAGCATTAGGTATATCTCCCAATGCTATCCCTCCCCCCTCCCCGGACCCCACCACAGTCCCCAGAGTGTGATATTCCCCTTCCTGTGTCCATGTGATCTCATTGTTCAATTCCCACCTATGAGTGAGAATATGCGGTGTTTGGTTTTTTGTTCTTGCGATAGTTTACTGAGAATGATGATTTCCAATTTCATCCATGTCCCTACAAAGGACATGAACTCATCATTTTTTATGGCTGCATAGTATTCCATGGTGTATATGTGCCACATTTTCTTAATCCAGTCTATCATTGTTGGACATTTGGGTTGGTTCCAAGTCTTTGCTATTGTGAATAGTGCCGCAATAAACATACGTGTGCATGTGTCTTTATAGCAGCATGATTTATAGTCCTTTGGGTATATACCCAGTAATGGGATGGCTGGGTCAAATGGTATTTCTAGTTCTAGATCCCTGAGGAATCGCCACACTGACTTCCACAATGGTTGAACTAGTTTACAGTCCCACCAACAGTGTAAAAGTGTTCCTATTTCTCCACATCCTCTCCAGCACCTGTTGTTTCCTGACTTTTTAATGATTGCCATTCTAACTGGTGTGAGATGATATCTCATAGTGGTTTTGATTTGCATTTCTCTGATGGCCAGTGATGATGAGCATTTCTTCATGTGTTTTTTGGCTGCATAAATGTCTTCTTTTGAGAAGTGTCTGTTCATGTCCTTCGCCCACTTTTTGATGGGGTTGTTTGTTTTTTTCTTGTAAATTTGTTTGAGTTCATTGTAGATTCTGGATATTAGCCCTTTGTCAGATGAGTAGGTTGCGAAAATTTTCTCCCATGTTGTAGGTTGCCTGTTCACTCTGATGGTAGTTTCTTTTGCTGTGCAGAAGCTCTTTAGTTTAATTAGATCCCATTTCTCAATTTTGGCTTTTGTTGCCATTGCTTTTGGTGTTTTGGACATGAAGTCCTTGCCCACGCCTATGTCCTGAATGGTAATGCCTAGGTTTTCTTCTAGGGTTTTTATGGTTTTAGGTCTAACGTTTAAATCTTTAATCCATCTTGAATTGATTTTTGTATAAGGTGTAAGGAAGGGATCCAGTTTCAGCTTTCTACATATGGCTAGCCAGTTTTCCCAGCACCATTTATTAAATAGGGAATCCTTTCCCCATTGCTTGTTTTTCTCAGGTTTGTCAAAGATCAGATAGTTGTAGATATGCGGCATTATTTCTGAGGGCTCTGTTCTCTTCCATTGATCTATATCTCTGTTTTGGTACCAGTACCATGCTGTTTTGGTTACTGTAGCCTTATAGTATAGTTTGAAGTCAGGTAGTGTGATGCCTCCAGCTTTGTTCTTTTGGCTTAGGATTGACTTGGCGATGCGGGCTCTTTTTTGGTTCCATATGAACTTTAAAGTAGTTTTTTCCAATTCTGTGAAGAAAGTCATTGGTAGCTTGATGGGGATGGCATTGAATCTGTAAATTACCTTGGGCAGTATGGCCATTTTCACAATATTGATTCTTCCTACCCATGAGCATGGAATGTTCTTCCATTTGTTTGTGTCCTCTTTTATTTCCTTGAGCAGTGGTTTGTAGTTCTCCTTGAAGAGGTCCTTCACATCCCTTGTAAGTTGGATTCCTAGGTATTTTATTCTCTTTGAAGCAATTGTGAATGGGAGTTCACTCATGATTTGGCTCTCTGTTTGTCTGTTGTTGGTGTATAAGAATGCTTGTGATTTTTGTACATTGATTTTGTATCCTGAGACTTTGCTGAAGTTGCTTATCAGCTTAAGGAGATTTTGGGCTGAGACGATGGGGTTTTCTAGATAAACAATCATGTCGTCTGCAAACAGGGACAATTTGACTTCCTCTTTTCCTAATTGAATACCCTTTATTTCCTTCTCCTGCCTGATTTCCCTGGCCAGAACTTCCAACACTATGTTGAATAGGAGTGGTGAGAGAGGGCATCCCTGTCTTGTGCCAGTTTTCAAAGGGAATGCTTCCAGTTTTTGCCCATTCAGTATGATATTGGCTGTGGGTTTGTCATAGATAGCTCTTATTATTTTGAAATACGTCCCATCAATACCTAATTTATTGAGAGTTTTTAGCATGAAGGGTTGTTGAATTTTGTCAAAGGCTTTTTCTGCATCTATTGAGATAATTATGTGGTTTTTGTCTTTGGCTCTGTTTATATGCTGGATTACATTTATTGATTTGCGTATATTGAACCAGCCTTGCATCCCAGGGATGAAGCCCACTTGATCATGGTGGATAAGCTTTTTGATGTGCTGCTGGATTCGGTTTGCCAGTATTTTATTGAGGATTTTTGCATCAATGTTCATCAAGGATATTGGTCTAAAATTCTCTTTTTTGGTTGTGTCTCTGCCCGGCTTTGGTATCAGAATGATGCTGGCCTCATAAAATGAGTTAGGGAGGATTCCCTCTTTTTCTATTGATTGGAATAGTTTCAGAAGGAATGGTACCAGTTCCTCCTTGTACCTCTGGTAGAATTCGGCTGTGAATCCATCTGGTCCTGGACTCTTTTTGGTTGGTAAACTATTGATTATTGCCACAATTTCAGAGCCTGTTATTGTTCTATTCAGAGATTCAACTTCTTCCTGGTTTAGTCTTGGGAGAGTGTATGTGTCGAGGAATTTATCCATTTCTTCTAGATTTTCTAGTTTATTTGCGTAGAGGTGTTTGTAGTATTCTCTGATGGTAGTTTGTATTTCTGTGGGATCGGTGGTGATATCCCCTTTATCATTTTTTATTGTGTCTATTTGATTCTTCTCTCTTTTTTTCTTTATTAGTCTTGCTAGCGGTCTATCAATTTTGTTGATCCTTTCAAAAAACCAGCTCCTGGATTCATTGATTTTTTGAAGGGTTTTTTGTGTCTCTATTTCCTTCAGTTCTGCTCTGATTTTAGTTATTTCTTGCCTTCTGCTAGCTTTTGAATGTGTTTGCTCTTGCTTTTCTAGTTCTTTTAATTGTGATGTTAGGGTGTCAATTTTGGATCTTTCCTGCTTTCTCTTGTAGGCATTTAGTGCTATAAATTTCCCTCTACACACTGCTTTGAATGTGTCCCAGAGATTCTGGTATGTGGTGTCTTTGTTCTCGTTGGTTTCAAAGAACATCTTTATTTCTGCCTTCATTTCGTTATGTACCCAGTAGTCATTCAGGAGCAGGTTGTTCAGTTTCCATGTAGTTGAGCGGCTTTGAGTGAGATTCTTAATCCTGAGTTCTAGTTTGATTGCACTGTGGTCTGAGAGATAGTTTGTTATAATTTCTGTTCTTTTACATTTGCTGAGGAGAGCTTTACTTCCAAGTATGTGGTCAATTTTGGAATAGGTGTGGTGTGGTGCTGAAAAAAATGTATATTCTGTTGATTTGGGGTGGAGAGTTCTGTAGATGTCTATTAGGTCTGCTTGGTGCAGAGCTGAGTTCAATTCCTGGGTATCCTTGTTGACTTTCTGTCTTGTTGATCTGTCTAATGTTGACAGTGGGGTGTTAAAGTCTCCCATTATGAATGTGTGGGAGTCTAAGTCTCTTTGTAGGTCACTCAGGACTTGCTTTATGAATCTGGGTGCTCCTGTATTGGGTGCATAAATATTTAGGATAGTTAGCTCCTCTTGTTGAATTGATCCCTTTACCATTATGTAATGGCCTTCTTTGTCTCTTTTGATCTTTGTTGGTTTAAAGTCTGCTTTATCAGAGACTAGGATTGCAACCCCTGCCTTTTTTTGTTTTCCATTGGCTTGGTAGATCTTCCTCCATCCTTTTATTTTGAGCCTATGTGTGTCTCTGCACATGAGATGGGTTTCCTGAATACAGCACACTGATGGGTCTTGACTCTTTATCCAACTTGCCAGTCTGTGTCTTTTAATTGCAGAATTTAGTCCATTTATATTTAAAGTTAATATTGTTATGTGTGAATTTGATCCTGTCATTATGATGTTAGCTGGTGATTTTGCTCATTAGTTGATGCAGTTTCTTCCTAGTCTCGATGGTCTTTACATTTTGGCATGATTTTGCAGCGGCTGGTACCGGTTGTTCCTTTCCATGTTTAGCGCTTCCTTCAGGAGCTCTTTTAGGGCAGGCCTGGTGGTGACAAAATCTCTCAGCATTTGCTTGTCTATAAAGTATTTTATTTCTCCTTCACTTATGAAGCTTAGTTTGGCTGGATATGAAATTCTGGGTTGAAAATTCTTTTCTTTAAGAATGTTGAATATTGGCCCCCACTCTCTTCTGGCTTGTAGGGTTTTTGCCGAGAGATCCGCTGTTAGTCTGATGGGCTTTCCTTTGAGGGTAACCCGACCTTTCTCTCTGGCTGCCCTTAACATTTTTTCCTTCATTTCAACTTTGGTGAATCTGACAATTATGTGTCTTGGAGTTGCTCTTCTCGAGGAGTATCTTTGTGGCGTTCTCTGTATTTCCTGAATCTGAACGTTGGCCTGCCTTGCTAGATTGGGGAAGTTCTCCTGGATAATATCCTGCAGAGTGTTTTCCAACTTGGTTCCATTCTCCCCATCACTTTCAGGTACACCAATCAGACGTAGATTTGGTCTTTTCACATAGTCCCATATTTCTTGGAGGCTTTGCTCATTTCTTTTTATTCTTTTTTCTCTAAACTTCCCTTCTCGCTTCATTTCATTCATTTCATCTTCCATTGCTGATACCCTTTCTTCCAGTTGATTGCATCGGCTCCTGAGGCTTCTGCATTCTTCACGTAGTTCTCGAGCCTTGGTTTTCAGCTCCATCAGCTCCTTTAAGCACTTCTCTGTATTGGTTATTCTAGTTATACATTCTTCTAAATTTTTTTCAAAGTTTTCAACTTCTTTGCCTTTGGTTTGAATGTCCTCCCGTAGCTCAGAGTAATTTGATCGTCTGAAGCCTTCTTCTCTCAGCTCGTCAAAATCATTCTCCATCCAGCTTTGTTCTGTTGCTGGTGAGGAACTGCGTTCCTTTGGAGGAGGAGAGGCGCTCTGCGTTTTAGAGTTTCCAGTTTTTCTGTTCTGTTTTTTCCCCATCTTTGTGGTTTTATCTACTTTTGGTCTTTGATGATGGTGATGTACAGATGGGTTTTCGGTGTAGATGTCCTTTCTGGTTGTTAGTTTTCCTTCTAACAGACAGGACCCTCAGATGCAGGTCTGTTGGAATACCCTGCTGTGTGAGGTGTCAGTGTGCCCCTGCTGGGGGGTGCCTCCCAGTTAGGCTGCTCGGGGGTCAGGGGTCAGGGACCCACTTGAGGAGGCAGTCTGCCCGTTCTCAGATCTCCAGCTGCGTGCTGGGAGAACCACTGCTCTCTTCAAAGCTGTCAGACAGGGACACTTAAGTCTGCAGAGGTTACTGCTGTCTTTTTGTTTGTCTGTGCCCTGCCCCCAGAGGTGGAGCCTACAGAGGCAGGCAGGCCTCCTTGAGCTGTGGTGGGCTCCACCCAGTTCGAGCTTCCTGGCTGCTTTGTTTACCTAAGCAAGCCTGGGCAATGGCGGGCGCCCCTCCCCCAGCCTCGTTGCCGCCTTGCAGTTTGGTCTCAGACTGCTGTGCTAGCAATCAGCGAGATTCCGTGGGCGTAGGACCCTCCGAGCCAGGTGTGGGATATAGTCTCGTGGTGCGCCGTTTCTTAAGCCGGTCTGAAAAGCGCAATATTCGGGTGGGAGTGACCCGATTTTCCAGGTGCGTCCGTCACCCCTTTCTTTGACTCGGAAAGGGAACTCCCTGACCCCTTGCGCTTCCCAGGTGAGGCAATGCCTCGCCCTGCTTCGGCTCGCGCATGGTGCGCACACACACTGGCCTGCGCCCACTGTCTGGCACTCCCTAGTGAGATGAACCCGGTACCTTAGATGGAAATGCAGAAATCACCCGTCTTCTGCGTCGCTCACGCTGGGAGCTGTAGACCAGAGCTGTTCCTATTCGGCCATCTTGGCTCCTCCCTCTGAAATGCCTTCTTGAAGGAGAGAAAATCAGATAGGTTGGATCTCGCAAGCAGTAATTAGAGTGGCTTCCTGTTTAGGAGCTTGGGCCCCAGAGTCAGATATCCTGAGCTTAAATTTGAGTGTCCTCACTTTAACCTAACATTTTCTGAGACTCCCAGGTTTGTTATGAAGATTCAAGGAGATAAACCTGTGCAGCCATGAATACCTTGCTACATAGCAACCATCAGATGTTAGCCAGTGTCATGACTAATTACAAACAACACTGTATACATGGCTATTGTTTTAAGAGACCAGAAAAGGGAGCAAGCAATGTTATCCAGAGTTAAGAAGGAAAGCCTGAGAACAGGATCAGTGCAGAGAATGGTGCAAGTTTAGGAGTTCAGTTCCACTTTTGGCTGTGTATGCTCAGCTGCTTATTGTGCTAGCCCCCACACTGTGCCTGACTTCCTATTTTTCCCCACTATTGACAAGCCCACTTAGATTTTCTATTAGTTGTCCTTGGGATTTAGCTTGATACATATGTGATTGGATTGTTTGGCTTTGGGAAGGTGTGTAATGGCTTCTCTTTTTCTCTCTACTTCGAAGGAGAAAAACTTGACTCTCAATTCATGCTGCTATGCAGGACAGGTAAACCCTAAATTGGGGGCTTAACCCGAGTGTGTTCTTGGCTTCATCACGGAAAGAATTCAAAGGCAAGCTGGTGGTGGTAGACAGTAATCTGCTGAACAGTACTGCTTCTTGCAGAGCAGGACTAACTCATAGGCATATGTGCCCAGAGTAGGCAGCTCTTGGCAACTTTATTTATACTCAGGAACCCACTTTCAATTACATGTAAATTAAGGGGTGGGTCAATGGAAATTGATGGGTGGGCTATTTAGAATTTTCTAGGAAAGGAAAAGTAATTTCCTGGTTGTTGCCATGGAAAGGGGAGGTAACTTCTGGGTCATTGCCATGGCATTTGTAAAGTGTCATGGCGCTGGTGGGAGTATATTATGCTAATGAGCAATGAGGGCAGCTAGGGATCACTTTCATTGTCATCTGCTGGTTCTTGCAGGTTTCTTTGCTTCATCTTGTCTGGACCAGGTGCTGTTTTAGTCAGCAGGGTTGTGACCAGGAAACAAGTCTTGCCAGTCTCCTTCCTCACTACTGTCTATCATTTCTGTTCCCACATCAATGCAGGTTGGTCCCACAAAGTCAGGACCCAAACCCAAATGGGAACCTTTGTGTCATCCTCCAAACCTTTTATTTGTTTTTTTTTTGTTCTTGGTCAACCCAATTCCCATTTTCAACAGCAACTCTTTCAAACCATCACCTCCCTTAAGTCTGGGACTTACACTCATTCTTCTTTTTTTAAATAAAATAATTTTATTTCAAATATTTTAAAAATACATAAAAAGTAGAAAGTAATAATGAACTTCCATAAACTTATATTTATATTCAATAATTTTAAAGATTTTGTCATCTTTGCTCTATTTCTTTTTTCTATAATGAATTATTATTATTTTATTTTATTTATTTATTTATTTATTTTTTTGAGACAGACTCTCGCTTTGTCACCCAGGCTAGAGTGCAGTGACATGATTTCGGCTCCCTGCAAGCTCCGCCTCCTGGGTTCATGCCATTCTCCTGCCTCAGCCTCCCCAGCAGCGGGGACTACAGGCACCCACCACCATGCCCGGCTAATTTTTGTGTTTTTAGTAGAGATGGGGTTTCACCATGTTAGCCAGGATGGTCTCGATCTCCTGACCTTGTGATCCACCCACCTTGGCCTCCCAAAGTGCTGGGATTATAGGCATGAACCACCGCAGCCAGCCCTCTTTAATGAATTATTTTAAAACAAATCCCAGATAGTTCATTTCACACCTATATACTTAAAAAAGCATCTCTAAAAATTATGTACATTTTCTTACATAACCACAATGCTGCTGTTACACTTTACAAAATAAAAAATAGTCTTTTCTATTACCAACTACCCGGTCAATTATCAAAATTATGTTTATAGTTTGTTTTAATTAGAACCCACACAAGTCTCACAAATTATGTTGAGTTGTAAATGAAATTTCCTTTAAGCTAGATTAGTCTCCCTCCCTCCTTTTTAATCATGCCATTGACTTATGGAAGAGAAGACAACCATTCTTAGGAATGTTCCACATTATGAATTTATCTGTAAATACATATGATTTAACTTTGATGTTGAGTTTGCATATAAGAGAAGGAAATGGTTCTTCATTTATTTAAGTATACTTCCTTTGTCTTCAGTAGTGTTTTAAAATTTCCTTATGTAAGCTTTGCACATTTCTTGCTAAGAGTATGCTTAGGTGGTTTACATTTTTAGATGGGAGACTTCTCTCCATATATTTGTTTCTCATAATATTTTCATATTTACTTATATGAAGGCTCTTGATTTCCATATGTTAATTTTGTATCCTGTTAATTTACCACATTTGCTGATTTTTTACAGTAGTTTTTATTGATTTTCTTGAGTTTTAATAACATACAAACATTACTTAAAATTAGATCTGATTTTACCTCCCAATTGCTTTATCTTGTCTAATTCCATTGGCTAATTTTTTCAGTATCATGTTAAATAGTAGCGGTAATAGTAGACAACTTTGCATTGTTTCTTACAGCAATGGAAATACTTTAGTGTTTCCCCATTAAGTAAAATGCACACTTAATTGATTTTTATTTTAGTGATGAGTGTGTACGTATTTGTGTATGATCAAAAATGTTGAATTTTTTTCCTTTTAATAATAATACCAATTTTTTAAAAAATTATACTTTAAGTTCTAGGGTACATGTGTACAATGTGCAGGTTTGTTACATATGTATACATGTGCCATGTTGGTGTGCTGCACCCATTAACTCATCATTTACATTAGGTATTTATCTTAATGCTATCCCTCCCCCCTCCCCCCACCCCATGATAGGCCCCGGTGTGTGATGTTCCCTGCCCTGTGTGCAAGTGTTCTTCACTTCCCACCTATGAGTGAGAACATGCAGTGTTTGGTTTTCTGTCCTTGTGATAGTTTGCTGAGAATGATGGTTTCCAGCTTGATCCATGTCCCTACGAAGGACATGAACTCATCCTTTTTTATGGCTGCATAGTATTCCATGGTGTATATGTGCCACATTTTCTTAATCCAGTCTATCATTGATGGGCATTTGGGTTGGTTCCAAGTTTTTGCTATTGTGAAGAGTGCCGCAATAAACATATGTGTTCGTGTCTTTATAGTGGGATGATTTATAATCCTTTGGGTATATACCCAGTAATGGGATTCCTGGGTCAAATGGTAATTCTAGTTCTAGATCCTTGAGGAATCGCCACACTGTCTTTTGCAATGACTGAACTAGTTTACACTCCCACAAACAGTGTAAAAGTGTTCCTATTTCTCCACATCCTCTCCAGCACCTGTTGTTTCCTGACTTTTTAATGATTGCCATTCTAACTGGTGTGAGATGATATCTCATTGTGGTTTTGATTTGCATTTCTCTGACAACCAGTGATGATGAGCATTTTTTCATGTGTCTATAGGCTGCATAGATGTCTTCTTTTGAGAAGCGTCTGTTCATATCCTTCACCCACTTTTTGATGGGGTTTTTTGATTTTTTCTTGTAAATTTAAGTTCTTTTTAGATTCTGGATATTAGCCCTTTGTCAGATGGGTAGATTGCAAAAATGTTCTCCCATTCTGTAGGTTGCCTGTTCACTGTGATGGTAGTTTCTTTTGCTGTGCAGAAGCTCTTTAGTTTAATTAGATCCCATTTGTCTATTTTGGCTTTTGTTGCCATTGCTTTTGGTGTTTTAGTCATGAAGTCCTTACCCATGCCTATGTCCTGAATTGGTATTGCCTAGGTTTTCTTCTAGAGTTTTTATGGTTTTAGGTCTAACATTTAAGTCTTTAATCCATCTTGAATTAATTTTTTTATAAGGTGTAAGGAAGGGATGCAGTTTCAGCTTTCTACATATGGCTAGACCGTTTTCCCAACACTGTTTATTAAATAGGGAATCTATCGGGGGAAATTCAGTGAATATTGGGTGAAATTCACCCTCGATATTTCACATACGTTCTTTTCTATTTTCCCTAAGTGTCGGCCAGTCTGAGAAATAAAGGGAAAGAGTACAAAAGAGAGAAATTTTAAAGCTGGGTGTCCAGGGGAGATATCACATGTCGGCAGGTTCCGTGATGCCCCCTGAGCCGCAAAACCAGCAAGTTTTTATTAGCGATTTTCAAAAGGGGAGGGAGTGTACGAATAGGGTGTGGGTCACAGAGATCACATGCTTCCAAGGTAATAATATATCACAAGGCAAATGGAGGCAGGGTGAGATCACAGGACCACAGGACCAGGGTGAAATTAAAATGCTAATGAAGTTTCAGGCAGGCATTGTCATTGATAACATCTTAACAGGAAATAGGGTTTGAGAGTAGACAACCGGTCTGACCAAAATTTATTAGGCGGGAATTTCCTCGTCCTAATAAGCCTGGGAGTGCTACGGGAGACTGGGGCTTATTTCATCCCTACAGCTGCAACCATAAAAGACGGCTGCCTCTGAAGCGGCCCTTTCAGAGGCGTACCCTCAGGGACTCATTTTCTTTCTCAGGGATGTTTCTTGCTGAGAAAAAGAACTCAGTGATACTTCTTCCATTTGCTTTCGAAAGAAGAGAAATATGGTTCTGTTTCGCCCGGCTCACTGGCAGTCAGAGTTTACGGTTATCTCTCTTGTTCCCTGAACATTGCTGTTACCCTTTTCTTTTTTCAAGGTGCCCAGATTTCATAATGTTCAAACACACATGCTCTACAAACAATTTGTGCAGTTAACACAATGATCACAGGGTCCTGAGGCATCATACATCCTCAGTTTACGAAGATGATGGGATTAAGAGATTAAAATAAAGACAGGCATAGGAAATCACAAGGGTATTGATTGGGGAAGTGATAAGTGTCCATGAAATCTTCACAATTTATGTTCAGAGATTGCAGTAAAGACAGGTGTAAGAAATTATAAAAGTATTAATTTGGGGAACTAATAAATGTCCATGAAATCTTCACAATCCACGTTCTTCTGCCATGACTTCAGCCAGTCCCTCTGTTTGGGATCCTTGACTTCCTGCAACAGGAATCCTTTCCCCATTTCTTTTTTCTGTCAGGTTTGTCAAAGATCAGATGGTTGTAGATGTGTGGTGTCATTTCTGAGCCCTCTGTTCTGTTCCATTGGTCTATATATCTGTTTTGGTACCAGATGTTGTTTTGGTTACTGTAGCCTTATAGTATAGTTTGAAGTCAGATAGCATGATGCCTCTAGCTTTGTTCTTTTGGCTTAGGATTGACTTGGCGATGCGGGCTCTTTTTTGGTTCCATATGAACTTTAAAGTAGTTTTTTCCAATTCTGGGAAGAAACTCATTGGTAGCTTGATGGGGATGGCATTGAATCTATAAATTACCTTGGGCAGTATGGCCATTTTCCTGATATTGATTCTTCCTATCCATGAACATGGAATGTTCTTCCATTTCTTTGTGTCCTCTTTTATTTCCTTGAGCAGTGGTTTGTAGTTCTCCTTGAAGAGGTCCTTCACATCCCTTGTAAGTTGGATTCCTAGGTATTTTATTCTCTTTGAAGCAATTGTGAATGGGAGTTCACTCATGATTTGGCTCTCTGTTTGTCTGTTATTGGTATATAGGAATGCTTGTGATTTTTGCACATTGATTTTGTATCCTGAGACTTTGCTGAAGTTGCTTCTCAGCTTAAGGAGATTTGGGGCTGAGATGATGGGGTTCTCTAAATATACAATCATGTCATCTGCAAACAGGGACAATTTTATGTCTTCTTTTCCTAATTGAATATCTTTATTTCTTTCTGCTGCCTGATTGCCCTGGCCAGAACTTCCAACACTATGTTGAATAGGAGTGGTGAGAGAGGGCATCCCTGTCTTGTGCCAGTTTTCAAAGAGAATGCTTCCAGTTTTTGCCCATTCAGTATGATATTGGCTGTGGGTTTGTCATAGATAGCTCTTACTATGTTGAGATACGTCCCATCAATACCTAGTTTATTGAGTTTTTAGCATGAAGGGCTGTTGAATTTTGTCAAAGGCCTTTTCTGCATCTATTGAGATAATCATGTGGTTTTTTCTTTGATTCTGTTTATGTGATGGATTACGTTTATTGATTTGCATATGTTGAACCAGCCTTGCATCCCAGGGATGAAGCCCACTTGATTGTGGTGGATAAGCTTTTTGATGTGCTGTGGATTTGGTTTGCCAGTATTCTATTGAGGATTTTCGCATTGATGTTCATCAGGGATATTGGTCTAAAATTCTCTTTTTTGGTTGTGTCTCTGCCAGGCTTTGGTATCAGGATGATGCTGGCCTCATAAAATGAGTTAGGGAGGATTCCCTCTTTTTCTATTGATTGGAATAGTTTCAGAAGGAATGGTACCAGCTCCTCTTTGTACCTCTGGTAGAATTCGGCTGTGAATCCGTCTGGTCCTGGAGTTTTCTGGTTGGTCGGCTATTAATTATTGCCTCAATTTCAGAGTGTGTTATTGGTCTATTCAGGGATTCAACTTCTTCCTGGTTTAGTCTTGGTAGTGTGTGTGTGTCTAGGAATTTATCCATTTCTTCTAGATTTTCTAGTTTATTTGCGTAGAGGTGTTTATAGTATTCTCTGATGGTAGTTTGTATTTCTGTGGATTGATGGTGATATCCCCTTTATCATTTTTTATTGCATCTATTTGATTCTTCTCTCTTTTCTTCTTTATTAGTCTGTCTATTTTGTTGATCTCTTCAAAAACCAGCTCCTGGATTCATTGATTTTTTTTTTTTTTTGAAGTTTTTTTTGTATCTCTATTTCCTTCAGTTCTGATCTGATCTTAGTTATTTCTTGCCTTCTGCTAGCTTTTGAATGTGTTTGCTCTTGCTTCTCTAGTTCTAATTGTGATGTTAGGGTGTCCATTTTAGATCTTTCCTGCTTTCTCTTGTGGGCATTTAGTGCTATAAGTTTCCCTCTAGACACTGCTTTAAATGTGTCCCAGAGATTCTGATATGTTGTTTCTTTGTTCTCATTGGTTTCAAAGAACATCTTTATTTTTGCCTTCATTTTGTTATGTACTGTAGTCATTAAGGAGCAGGTTGTTCAGTTTCCATGTAGTTGAGTGGTTTTGAGTGAGTTTCTTAATCCTGAGTTCTAGTTTGATTGCACTGGGGTCTGAGAGACAGTTTGTTGTGATTTCTATTCTTTTAGATTTGCTCAGGAGTGCCAACTATGTGGTCAATTTTGGAATAAGTGTGATGTGGTGCTGAAAAGAATGTATATTCTGTTGATTTGGGGTGGAGAGTTCTGTAGATGTCTATTAGGTCTGCTTGGTGCAGAGCTGAGTTCAAGTCCTGGATATCCTTGTTAACCTTCCGTCTCGTGGATCTGTCTAATATTGACAGTGGGGTGTTAAAGTCTTCCATTATTATTGTATGGGAGTCTAAACCTCTTTGTAGGTCTCTAAGGATTTGCCTTATGAATCTGGGTGCTCCTGTTGGGTGCATATATATTTAGGATAGTTAGCTCTTCTTGTTGAATTGATCCATTTACAATTATGTAATGGCCTTCTTTGCCTCTTTTGATCTTTGTTGGTTTAAAGTCTGTTTTATCAGAGACTAGGATTCCAACCCCTGCCTTTTTTTGTTTTCCATTTGCTTTGTAGATCTTCTTCCATCCCTTTATTTTGAGCCTATGTGTGTCTCTGCACATGAGATGGGTTTCCTGAATACAGCACACTGATGGGTCTTGACTCGTTATCCAATTTGCCAGTCTGTGTCTTTTAATTGGTGCATTTAGCCCATTTACATTTAAGGTTAATATTGTTATGTGTGAAGTTGATCCTGTCATTATGATGTTAGCTGGTGATTTTGCTCGTTAGTTGATGCAGTTTCTTCCTAGCCTCGATGGTCTTTACATTTGGCATGTTTTTGTAGTGGCTGGTACTGGTTGTTCCTTTCCATGTTTAGTGCTTCCTTCAGGAGCTCTTGGAAGGCAGGCCTGGTGGTGACAAAATCTCTCAGCATTTGCTTGTCTTTAAAGGATTTTATTTCTTCTTCACTTATGAAGCTTAGTTTGGCTGGGTATGAAATTCTGGGTTGAAAATTCTTTTCTTTAAGGTGAATGTTGGTCCCCACTCTCTTCTGGCCTGTAGAGTTTCTGCTGAGCGATCTGCTATTAGTCTGATGGGTTTCCCTTTGTGGGTAACCCGACCTTTCTCTCTGGCTTCCCTTAACATTTTTTCCTTCATTTCAACCTTGGTGAATCTGACAATTATGTGTCTTGGGGTTGCTCTTCTCAGGAGTAACATTGTGGTGTTCTCTGTATTTCCTGAATTTGAATGTTGGCCTGTCTTGCTAGGTTGGGGAAATTCTCCTGGATTATATCCTGAAGAGTGTTTTGCAACTTGGTTCCATTCTCTCTGTCACTTTCAGGTACACCAATCAGACATAGATTTGGTCTTTTCACATAGTCCCATATTTCTTGGAGGTTTTGTTCATTTCTTTTTACTCTTTTCTCTAAACTTCTTTTCTCGCTTCATTTCATTTATTTGACCTTCAATCACTGATACCCTTTCTTCCACTTGATCGAATCAGCTACTGAAGCTTGTGCGTGTGTCACGTAGTTCTCGTGCCATGGTTTTCAGCTCCATCAGGTCATTTAAGGTCTTCTCTACACTGTTTATTCTAGTTAGCCATTTGTCTAGTCTTTTTCAAGGTTTTTAGCTTCCTTGTGATGGGATCGAAGATCCTCCTTTAGCTCAGAGAAGTTTGTTATTACTGACCTTCTGAAGCCTACTTCTGTCAACTCATCAAAGTCGTTCTCCATCCAGCTTTGTTCCATTGCTGGTGAGGAGCTGTGATCCTTTGGAGGAGAAGAGGAGCTCTGGTTTTTAGAATTTTCAGCTTTTCTGCTCTGGTTTCTCCCCATCTTTGTGGTTTTATCTACCTTTGCTCTTTGACGTTGGTGACCTACAGATGGGGTTTTGGTGTGGATGTCCTTTTTGTTGATGTTGATGCTGTTCCTTTCTGTTTGTTAGTTTTCCTTCTAACAGTCAGGACCCTCAGGTGCAGGTCAGTTGGAGTTTGCTAGAGGTCCACTCCAGACCCTGTTTGCCTGGGTATCACACTCGGAGGCTGCAGAACAGCAAACATTGCTACCTGATCCTTCCTCTGGAAGCTTTGTCTCAGGGGGCACCTGGCTCTATGAGGTGTCAGTTGGCCCCTACTGGGAGGTGTCTCCCAGTTAGGCTACACAGGGGTCAGCAACCCACTTGAGAAGGCAGTCTGTCCATTCTCAGAGCTCAAACTCCATGCTGGGAGAACCACTGCTCTCTTCAGAGCTGTCAGATGCAACATTTAAGTCTGCAGAAATATCTTCTGCCTTTTGTTCAGCTATGCCCTGCCCCCAGAGGTGGAGTCTACAGAGGCACACAGGCCTCGTTGAGCTGTGGTGGGCTCCACCCAGTTCGAGCTTTGTTTACCTACTCAAGCCTCAGCAATGGCAGATGCCCCTTCCCCAGCCCAGGCTGCCACCTCGCAGTTGGATCTTGGACTGCTGCACTAGCAGTGAGCGAGGCTCCATGGGCATGGGACCCGCTGAGCCAGACATGGGATATAATCTCTTGGTGTGCCATTTGCTAAGATTGTTGGAAAAGCGTAGTATTAGGGTGGGAATGTCCTGGTTTTCCAGGTACTTTCATGGCTTCCCTTGGCTGGGAAAGGGAAATCCCTGGACCCCTTGTGCTTCCTGGGTGAAACCTTGCCCCATCCTGCTTCAACTCACCCTCTCGGCTGCACCCACTGTCCAACCAGTCCCAGTGAGATGAACCAGGTACCTCAGTTGGAAATGCAGAAATCACCCATCTTCTGCATTGATCATGCTGGAAGCTGAAGACCGGAGCTGTTCCATTTTCAGTGTTGAATTTTTAAAAATGCTTTTTTGCCATTTTTAGAGATGGTCATATCAACTTTCACTTTTGATTGACTACTGTGATGAATTATTTTAATGGATTTCCTTATACTGAATCATTTTGCATTTCAAGAATAAACTGTATTTGATCATGGTATAATTTCTTTCAATATGACATTCTATTTTTAATATTTTACATATAACTTTTGTATCTTTTTTAGGTGAGAATGATATATAGCTTTTTAAAATATAATCTTTATGTGGATTTTGTCTTTTATGTTTTATATAAAAATTTGAATAATTTTCCTTTTCTATGATACAGAACAACTTAAGTATCAGTTGGGTCATCTGATTTCTATCTGTTTGGTAGTAATGCACTATAAAATCATCTGGGCCTGAGGTTGTTGTGAAGAATAAATTTTGAAAACTCTCTTAGCTTCTTGTGTGATAATTAACTTCTTAGAACTTTCTGTCTCAACTTTTTATTTTGACCAAAGTTACCCATTTCATCAAGGTTTTAAAATGCAGTCATGAAATTACATACATCCCCGTGTGAATTACAGGGATGCATTTTAAGAATTATGTTGTTAGGTTATTTCATTATTGTGCAACATCATACAATGTAATTATACAAACTTAGATGTATAGCCTATTGCACACTAGGTAATATGATATAGCCTATTGCTCCTAGGCTACAGACCTGTACACATCTTATGCTACTGAATATTATAGGCAATCATAACACAATGGTAAGTATTTATATATTTAAACATGGAAAAGGTACAGTAAAATTGGATATTATATTCCTATAGGACCACTGTCATATTTGTGAAACATTATGTAGCATATGACTGTATTTGCATAGAATTGTTCCAATTTAATTATATAGATTAAAAAAATTAATCTTGATGGTTATTTTTTCTTTGTCATATTCATTTTGTGTATTTTTACTTTCTACCTGTTTACTAAAGACATAAGTTAACTAGAGGTTTGTCCATTTTACTAATATTTTTTAAAGGACAAGATTATTTCCCTTCCTTTCTTCCTTCCTTCCCTCTTCTCCCTCCTCTTCTCCCTCCCTCCCTCCCTCCCTTCCTTCCTTCCGTCCGTTTGTCCTTTTCTCCGTCCTTTTTTCCTTCCTTTTTTCCTTGTTCCTTCCTTTTTTACTTCCTTCCTTCCTTCCTATACTTTAAGTTCTGGGGTACATTTGCAGAACGTGCAGGTTTGTTACAAAGGTATACCTGTGCCATGGTGGTTTGCTGCTCCCATAAACCCGTCATCTACATTAGGTATTTGTCCTAATGCTATCCATCCCCTAGCCCCCTGCCCCCTGCCCCCTGACAGGCCCCAGTGTGTGATGTTCCCCTCTCTGTGTCCATGTGTTCTCATTGATCAACTCCCACTTATGAGTGAGAACATGCAGTGTTTGGTTTTCTTTTCTTTCTCTCTCTCCTTTCTTTCTTTTTCTCTCCTTTCTTTTTCTTTCTTTCTTTGTTTCTTTCTTTCTTTTGTTTCTTTCTTTCTCTTTCCTTTATTTCTTTCTCTCCCTTCCCCCATTCCCTCCCTCCCTCCTTCTTTCTTTCTCCCTTCTCCGTCCCTCCCTTCCTTCCTTCTTCTCTTTCTTCCTTCCTTCCTTCTTCCCTTCCTTCATTCCTTCCTCTTTCTCTCTCTCTTTTCTCTCTTTCTCCAGTCTTTCTATCCTTCTTAGTGCTGTTTTCTTTTTTTACTATTTTCTCATTTATTTTTGCTTTTCTCTTTAGTAATTCTACTTTACTTCAATATTCTTTGTAATTTTCACCACTTTTGGAGTGGGGTCTGTTTTCACTTTTATTGATATAAAAAATGAAATTTATAAATTTTTATCTAAGCATTTACTTTAGCTGTATCCCCTAGATACAATATATTGTATTTTATTCTTCATTGCTTTAAGAAATTCTGCAATTAGTTTTTATATTTACTCCTTGACACAAGATGTGAGTGAAGTTTTCTTTTTTTTAATAATTCCAGGTGGAAGGACTTCTAAAAGATTTTATTATTAATTTCTAGTTTTATTGCTCTGTGGTCAGAATATACTATTTTTATTTTTTATTTATTGCATTCTGGTCGGAATGTACCATTTGTATTTTTTATGTTTTGGAATTCATTGTTTGTTTTAACTTCTCTGTGGCCTAATATATTGTTAATTTTATAAATGTTCCATGTGTACTCTGAAAGAAAGTACACCTCTATTATTGGAAAACAGTTTCCAAACATATCAATAAGATCTACATTGTTGCAGATAAATCTTATTCTACAATATAGAATATTGTTTAGATATTGCATATTATTACTAGTCACTTTATCTACTTGGTGTATCTGGTTTTGTAAGAAGCCAATATAAGAATAATTTTCTTTTATTAGGTGAGTTAAGTTCACTTGCATTTATTGACATTATGGATGTATTTGATATTGTTTTATGTTGGATTTACTTTAAACTCATGTTTTTCATTAACCTTTTTTGTTTTATTTGAAATTTATTTTTTGTTAAAACAGACACATTTTTACTTTTGCATAATACTGTTACTGACCTCTTATTTAGATATAACCCAATGATGTCCCACTATGACCAACACTGAGGTTAAGATCTATTTCTGCTTTTCTTTACTGCCTCTCCCTTATAATCCAATTTTATATTCTAGTATTATCTTAAGATTACTTTTTATAGTCTTAAGTATTCTAACCATTTCCTGTTTGATTTGTCAGCTTTAAGACACACACACACACACACACACACACACGCACACTCACACGCACACCAGTTAATACCTGTATAATAATCAGAAGGCTTACTTCCCATTTACTCTTAATTTTCTCAGTTTTGTCATTTTTAATTTTTCATAATCTTAGAGCATATACCATTTGAAACTATTGTAATACACATAACTCTATCCTTTAGTCTTATTTCTATAGATAATTATATTTAATGCTTACTCCTCAAACATTATGTTAAAATTTTTTCAATTATTTTGTGGCTGTCTGAAGCTTATTCTTAGCAAATTCCTCAAGATAGGCTCGTACAAACAATATGTCCTAAGCTCTACCATGTTTATGACCTCTATGTTGAAGGAATTTGGGATGGATTTTCAACCCTAGTTTGCATTTTCGTTCTTTGACTATTTTAAATGTGCTACATTGTTTCCTAGCATGAAATATTGCTGTTAAGATGTTTAATCTAACTTGATGATCTTTCCCTATAAATGACTTAGACTTTCCCTCCCAAGATACTAAAAAGGTTCTTTTTTGTATTTAAAGGCCAATATTTTCACTAGCAAATGACTTTGTGCTGACAATTCTGGGTCAATTTACCATGGCAACAGTGTGCTTGTTCAATATATAGATACAAGTTTTCTTTTACTCTAGGGAAAGTTTTTTGAAGTATAGTTTCAAACATTTATCTTTTATACATTTCTTTTTGTTTTTCTTTTTTCTTTTTGGTGGGGAGGACAAATTGGTGTCTCTTGGGCCTTCCTTGCTTATATTCTATGTCACTTTTTCTTGAGCCATTTAAAAAATCTTTGATATTTTGTGACTTATTTATTATTGTTGTTATTATTAATTTATTTTCTTTTGTTCTCTATTTCTCTAAACATACTTTCTTTGATGTTTATTCACTCTTGTATTCCTTTAATTTAATCTTAGGTTCTGAATTTTTTTTTTCTAATTCTTTTCTGAAATGTCAATTCCTGCTTGATGTATTCCTCTTGTCTAGTCATGTGATACCTGAGCTTTTCCAATTTTTTGATTTGTGCCGTTGTTTCCAAGCTTCAGTACTTCTCAAAATTGTGGTTACCTCATTTTGAAACATTTGGATAAAGTTGTCTGCTTCGTGGTCACATTTTAAGATGTATTTAATTATTTGTCAAAGTGTTACAAGGCTCCTTTTCAACTTCTTTTTTCCATGCAATAATTCAGTATGGGTTATTATTTCGTTGCTGTTATTATACTTGTTTAAATAACTTTAGTGTTCTTAGAGTATTATATTAGAAGGAAATACGTTTGGAAGAAGTGAGCTATGTCAATTTTTTTTTCTGGGCTTACAGTTTAAGCATTCCCTCGTATGTGGTTACCATGAAAAACACAAAATATGGCCTCTCTCTGAGCTGAGTTTGTTTGAGAAAAATGTTCTAGCTCCAGCCTTTGTGCTCTGTTCACCTTGCATTCTCTGGGGTGTGCTCACCTTTGGAAGCTGCACTTGGCTGTTAAAGTACTTTCTGGGTTTGGGTCCTCTGGGCCTCCTGTATAAACCTTCTCTCTTATTCTCAGTCTTTCTGCTGTCCTCAGTTTGGTTCCTGTTCCCAGTGGCTTTTCTTCAGGGTAGAATCAGTTTATCTGGAAATATTTGCTGAATCATTCTGAGGTTAGAGAACCACACACATCTTGTTTTTCCTGTGTCTGGGGGCAAACTTTATGCTCATTTGCAACCATAGAGCCTCTAGGGATGTTATTTTTGTCACGTTCCTAGATCTATGTGCTAAGGTTTCTCCCAGAGTAGGGTGCTTTCCTTTGCAGGTCAATTTTTGGGGCAATTTTTAAATTTCCCCAATTTGGAGAGTCAGTTGGTAATCTCCTTTTCTTCCATGCCTTCCTGGCCACACTGCTGAAAATCCCAAGCAGGCTATTGTTGTTGGTAGTTCGGTAGCACTCAACTGGCTCCTGGGCCTGTGAGGGTTTTCTGTCATGAGGTTTTCTTGATAATACCCTCTAGATATTTTCTCCCTTTGCTATCAAGGTTGATCTATTTGGTTTGTTGGTGGTGTTTTGGGACACTGAAAAACTACACCATCACCATGATCATGTTGTTCTCTTTTGCCTTCTATTAAATGAACTTGCTTCCTACTTTGACAAGAAATTGAAATCATTATATATTTCATCTCTAAACTTTCTTCCTACTTCCCCATATATAAAAATGTACCTATATCCAGATCTATTTTTTTTTTTTTTTAGACAGAGTCTCACTCTGTCGCCCAGGCTGGAGTGCAGTGGCGCAATCTTGGCTCACTGCAAGCTTTGCCTCCCGGGTTCATGCCATTCTCCTGCCTCAGCCTCCTGAGTAGCTGGGACTACAGGTGCCCACCACCATGCCTGGCAAATTTTTTTTTTTTGTATTTTTGTATTTTTAGTAGAGACGGGGTTTCACCGTGTTAGCCAGGATGGTCTCGATCTCCTGACCTCATGATCCACCCGCCTCAGCCTCCCAAAGTGCTGGGATTACAGGTGTGAGCCACCGCACCCAGCCCAGATCTATCTTTATTATCTTTTCAGACTCAAGAAAATGTTCTAAGTATAACATGTGGGCAGGCCTGACAATGCTATCTGTAGCTTTGATTATCTCTCTTCTCACTATTTCTGGGAACTTACTCTGTTGAAAATCCCCTGTTCTCTCCTTTATATTCAGCCTCTTTTTTTCCTAAATCCTCCTCCTTAGCCCATAAACATGATCATCTTAAAAAAATCTTTCTTTGACACTATCCCTTCAAGATACCATCTAACATCTCTTTTTACCTAAACGTTGATGAGTCAGTCTTTATTTCTCACCTCCCAATTACTGTAACTCACTGCAAACTGCCTTCCATTCTCTCCATTAAAAAAAAATCAAACTTGTTATAGTCATCAAGAAATTACTACTTGCAGATTCAGTGGACACCTCCAGATTTATCATATTTGACCTCACTGTTATAGAGTGTTATATATTGCCCTCCTGTACTCTTCTGTGTTGCCTGTAAATTCTCTCTGACCATTCCTTTTCATTTCTCTGGTTCCATGTCTTCCACTAATACCTTAATATTCCTGCTTTTTAGAGCTTCCTTCCTAGCTTACTTGTTTTGTAATTCTACATTTTTTTCTCATTTACTCTCAAGACTTTAATGACTACTCATAGGGTGGAAACTTCCAAGGTTTTATCTCCTGGACATTTCTCCTCTAAGCTTCAAATTTATTTATCTATGGGCTAGGCACCCGCAAACAAATGTTCGAAAGGTGTCTCAAACTCATTATGCCTCCAAATGAACTCATCTTTCTTCTCTAGGATACCCTGTCTTAGTGGTAGCAAGTCATACAAGTTAGAAACCCAAGAGTTGTTAATGATTATACTTCTCTTTCAGTTATTTCCATTTATTTATTTATTTAGAGACAGAGTCTCACTCTTTCGCCCAGGCTGGAGTACAGTGGCACAGTCTTAGCTCACTACAACCTCTGCTTCCCAGGTTCAAGTGATTCTCGTGCCTCAGCTATCTGAGTAGTTGGAATTACAGGTGTGTGCCATCACACTGGGCTAATTTTTGTATTTAGTAGACAGGGTTTCACCATGTTGGCCAGGCTGGTCTCTAACTCCTGACCTTAAGTGATCTGCCTGCCTCGGCCTCCCCAAGTGCTGGAATTACAGGCGTGAGCCACTGCACCCAGCCCATTTCCATTTATTCATACGCTAAATCCTGTTAAATTTTTCTCCAAAATGCCCTTTAAATTGGTCCTTTAAAACAAATCCCTTGTGTCACTCCACCATATCCCTTGTCTGTGTGGTCTTCTTGCTTCCAGTGTTCTTTCCCTCAATTATTAGAGCGATCTACTTGATCACGTCACTGCCCTACTTTAAACTCTTCCATGGGCCCCTGTAGCTTTCACAGTGAAGACCAAGTTCTGTGACCTGATGTAAAGGCCCTGGATGGCCTGGCCTATGGATTTTTTTTTTTTTTTTTTTTTTTTTTTTTTTTTTTTTTGAGACAGAGTCTCGCTCTGTCGCCCAGGCTGGAGTGCACTGGTGCAATCTCAGCTCACTGCAAGCTTCTCCTCCTGGGTTCACGCCATTCTCCTGCCTCAGCCTCCCGAGTAGCTGGGACTACAGGCGTCTGCCACCATGCCTGGCTAATTTTTTTTTTCTTTTTTTTGTATTTTTAGTAGAGACGGGGTTTCACTGTGTTGGCCAGGATGGTCTCGATCTCCTGACCTCGTGATCCACCTGCCTCGGCCTCCCAAAGTGCTGGGATTACAGGCGTGAGCCACTGCGCCTGGCCTGGCCTATGGATTTCTTAACAGTTTCTCCTTTTAACGCTCCTAGATGGTAGCACCCTGTTTCGCCAATACTGAATAGCTTCAGCTCTCTGAATGTACCATGTTGCTTTGGTTTTCTATGCCTTTGATTTTGCTATTCCCTTACCCCCTTTCCTTTACTTGTGTAACCTCTATTTATTCTTTAAGGTCAGATTCAGATATTAACTTCCTCATGAAGACTACCCTGACACCTGGCCATCTCTGTTCCCAAACATAAGCTGTATTATCTCTGCTCAGTGTTACTTAGTACCCATAGCTCACTGATGTCATTTCACTTCACATACTTTGTTACAGTAGACTCCCTCTATGCTTTTTTACCTCCTTCCCCACATCCTTTCTTGGGTCCCCAGAATTTACCATAATATATAATATTTAGAAGTCACTTAATATACTATTAAAAAGGCCACTCATTTGGATTTTAGCACTATGGGTATAAGTAAGAATACAGTTGTTACTTTTTTGTATTTTTGTATTATTTATCACATTAGCCAAATTTTTTGAACATAATTGGTGCTTAATAATTACTCTGTGATAGATAAAGTTGATGGATGTCTCAGCTCTTAAGAAGTATGGTCTTTAGTGAAACAGGTTACAGGGAAAACCTTCCAGGCTTGAAGTGTGAAGAAATCTGGCTTAGAGAAAAAGGTCCATGAATGATGTTACTTGGAGACCTGTAGCTCTCACTAGCTATGCCCTTGTAGGGTAATCTTCCTGACTACGAGATGGGATGAGCACCTATATAAGTGCTATGATCCCTTAAAGCTATAAAATTTGATCCTAAGTAATAGTCCAGATTGTTATTTTCAAGAAGCTATTTCAAAGAAGATGGGATGGATGGGGGTTATCCTGGTGTAATAGAATGACAGCTTAATGAAAACCTGAGACAAAATCATTAACACCTGATGAGACACGGTGGCTCACACCTGTAATCTCAGCCCTTTGGGAGGCCCAGGCGGGCAGATCACATAAGATTGGGAGTTGGAGACCAGCCTGACCAACGTATGAAACCCCTTCTCTACCAAAAATACAAAAATTACCCAGGTGTGGTGGTGCACGCCTGTAATCCCAGCTACTTGAGAGGCTGAGGCACGAGACTCACTTGAACCCAGGAGGCAGGGGTTGCAGTGAGCCGAGATGGCACCCCTGCACTCCAGCCTGGGTGATGGAGTGAGACTCTGTCTTTAAAAAAAAAAAAAAAGCACCAAATATCTTCCCTGTAGACACAGATTCATGAATTTTCACCAGATGCTGTGACCTTCGTCTCATGCCAGTTCTCCTCCACTTTTGAGCCCCCACTCATTCTGTTCCTCCCACCCACAGTGTTCTTCCTTCCCCCTCTGCCTATCCATCCTACCCACTCCCTCCAAGGCCCAGAGCACCTTCTACTTCCCTATCCGTATTTTTCCTTTTTTTTACTTCTTTTCACTAGAATTGTCATCATTACTACACTCCTGTGTTTTATTGTTCTCATATTTAATGTGACTTAAATTTATTTTTATGAGGAGATATTTTAAGCTCCTAGATGGCCAAAGTATAAGATTTAAAAAATCTTAACATCCCAGTCAGGGACTAGCACTGTGTTGGCCTCATGGTGGACCCTTACTAAATACTTGCAAGTTGATTGGTCTATGGTGCCAATGTTAGAAAGGGTGAACATTGATATGGGGTGGTTGGTGTTGTGGGGAAATTTCCAGCAGAGTTTCCTCTTGGAGAAACTTCAACTTTTAGACCAAACATAAGGTCTTTGCTGTGAATCTGAAATCTGCTACAGATGCTGTTTGTATAGTTTTTTATTTTCAGGTTGCTAGCACTGATGGATGATGATCATGTGCTCAGGGGCGTTGGAAAAGATCAATTTGGGACCTGTGAGCCCCCCGTCTTGAAACCACACAGGGCTTATCTTTGATTATTGGGTATAGCGCCTCTTACAAAGCCTTCCACTGTCGGTAAAGCTGCCTCAGCCTCAACTGGACAGATTCCTTTACACGAAACTAACTGCCCCAATTCTAATAGCTTCCAGCTGAGCTGGTCTGACTGTTGCTGCTGTTTCTCAGCAGTTCACAGCTTTACCACACCACTTGAAGTTCTGTACCAGTTCATCCTTAAAGTGTCTGCCTGCTCTCCCTTGCAGTCATGGGCAAGCTTGTCTGCATGACATACTCTACATCTGCTGGCACCAAAAGCAACCCTTCTGGAGGCCTGCCACGGAGCCAGGATACAAAGTTCATTGGCTACAACGCAGCCGGGTTGGTGCTGAGGGTGGCAGATGTGCTGGATCAAGGACCTCTCTGCTACAGGAGAGGGCAGGCACTATCGTGTGGATTTTGACTGAGGGCTCATTCCACTGTCAGGAAAACCTTGACTTCTCTCATATGGAGGGCTGAGTGTGTCTTTGTTCCAAATTTATTTAAGCAGTTACTCCTAGATGCAATGCCATGTTTTCCCAAAGACCCTTTGGCAGAAGATTCTTATCTGTACTTTTCATGAACTCCTTATAGACCGTGGTTCTTACTCCTTTTAGGTGTGATATTCAATTTTGTTAATTTGAATTTAACAAACATTTGTTAAGAGGCTGGATTGCTGAGGTTACAGCTGTGAAGAGGACAGACATACATATGTTCTCTGAGATTATTGTGAAAATTTTTCTCATGTTTTCTGAAACTAAGGTGTAATTTTTATATTTAAATCATTGATTCATTGGAATTTATTTTGGTATAAGGAATGACATGGGAATATAATTTTAAATATCTTTAGATAGCGACCCATTTGTTCATTTGTTGAATAAGCCATTTCTGCCCTTCTCCCATGCACAATGCTCCCTTTGTAATGGTAGAGTTCTTTTCCTTTGTTAGGAGTCAATTGGTTCTAAGTTAAATATTTTTACAGTTATTTCAATGGTAAAAAAAATTCATGCAGTTTCCTGTGTCTCAAAACCATCTTATGCTAATACAATCTCAATTTATACAGCAACTTTAATAATTAATATTTGGTAATCATAACATGACATAAAAATAGGTGTCATTAGTGAATTTCTCTAAAATATGGCTATATATCTCAGTCATCTCTTTCATAACAATTACATATTGTGCTCTTGAGAAAATACAATCAAAGCATTCATATGATTCTCAATGTTTATGAAATTAAATTCTAAGGCAAATAAATTAATGAAATTAAATTAAAGAGCTTATCACTACTATGTACTAGAGTATTTTCAGAGGAAAACTTAACAGAGCAAGAACCAACCACACAACTCCAAAGAGGTCTGTGTGCCGGCTATAACTTCATAGCACTCAGAAAGAATCCTAATTGACCTTCTTACATACAGATAAAGTCTTATAAGCCAAAGCAGGGGTATTACATGAAATTCTTCATAAGTTGAACTTTTGCCATTTGAATGGCTATATCACAAGATATGGCTTTACTAAATCCAGTATGTATTTGTGTCTACCTTCGGACCTACCATCCTGTTTTATTATCTGTCTCTTTTGCATTAACACTATACTTCTCTAATTATTGTAATTTAATGTGCTTTAATATCAGACAGAGCTAATCACCATTTATTTCTCATTTTCTAGAATTTTCTGTTTTATTCCTACATGTTTATTTTTCACTTGAATCTTAGAAATAATCTTGTGTAGTTATTAAAAATATCTACTGAAATTTTATTGGAATTTAATGAGATCTATAATTTCTTTACGGTGAATTGGTTTCATTTTGATATTGAGTCTTCCAGGATAAGAGCAAACTATGCTGTTACATTTTTTCACATCTTTTTTGTACCTTCACAGAATTTAACAATTTAACATAGTATAATCTTGAACATTTCTTGTTAAGTTTATTTCTACATTTTAGTACTTTTAGCTGCTATTTAAACAGGGTCTTTTCTAACTGATTTTTTTTGTATACAAGATGATCATTTTATTTTTATTTATTTATTTTTATTTTTGGAGACAGAGTCTCACTCTGTCACCCAGGCTAGAGTGCGGTAGTATGATCTCAGCTCACTGCAACCTCCGCCTCTCAGGTTCCAGCGATTCTTCTGCCTCAGCCTCCCAAGTCGCTGGGACTACAGGTGCCCACCACCACGCCTGGCTAATTTTTCTATTTTTAGTAGAGATGAGGTTTCACCATGTTGGTCAGGCTGGTCTCAAACTCCTGACCTTGTGATCTGCCCGCCTCATCCTCCCAAAGTGCTGGGATTATAGGAGTGAGCCACCGCACCCAGCCCATTAATTTTTGTATATTAATTTTGCACCAAGTGAGCTGAATTATGCTATTGTTTTAGAGTTTTTAAAGTTTTCCAGTTATATAATCATACAGTTTTAAAATTTATCACATGTAGGGATTAACCCAGCAAGGAAGTATCTTTGTATTAAGAGGTTTCCTTTTCTATCAATAATGAAGTTGAGATTGGATCAAATGCCTTCTTAGTTTCCATCAGAGATGATAATATGATTTTTCTCTTTTTATTTATTACTATGGTGAGTTATATCAAGAGAACTCCACTTACAGATGTTGGCTATTCATTCTTTGAATGTGCTGTGTATTCTATTTACTGATGCTTTATTTAGGATTATTGCATTAATATTTCATGAGTAACATTGGCTCATAGTTTTTTTTGTGCTATCTTTTGGGATTAATATTATAATTATACAATGTTACATCCTAAAAATAATGTGAAATAGTTTAAGGAGTATAATAATTATATATTACATATTTAAAAGATTGATACAATCACTTCTGAAACATATAAATACCTAACGGCTCTCTAATGAAATGTTCACTGTTCATTTTTTGTGTTTATTTTCTAATTGACTTAAATTTAGCTTCAAGTAGCTTTTTGTTTCAGGAAAAAAATAGCATGTTTTAGTTGGTTTTTGCACATTTGTATTTTTTTTCTACTGCTACTATATTTACATGAGAGTGTTGTGGCAGAAACTGCTGACTGCTCACCCAAGTCCATTTTTTTCTTCTCTTTGGGTACACAGTTCACTACATTTTTCCAGTCTGCTTTGAGGTTAGGTGTAGCTATATGGTGAAATTCTAGATAAAGAAATATAAATGGAACTGATATGTAGCCATTTTAAGCTTAACTTTGAAAACTTTCCATGCACTTACTGTGAACCAGGCAGTTTTAGGAAATTGGGACAAGGCAGTCAACAAAGACCAACTCCCTGCGCTCTCTTTTTTTTTTATTTTTATTTTTTATTATACTTTAAGTTCTGGGGTACATGTGCAGAACGTGCAGGTTTGTTACATAAGTATACATGTGCCATGGTGGTTTGCTGCACCCATGAACCTGTCATCTACATTAGGTATTTCTCCTAATGCTATCCCTCCCCCAGCCCCCAGCACCCTGACAGGGACCAGTGTGTGATATTCCCCTCCCTATGTAGATATGTTCTTATTGTTCAACTCCCACTTATGAGTGAGAACATGCAGTGTTTGGTTTTCTGTTCTTGTGTTAGTTTGTTGAGAATGATGGTTTCCAGCTTCATCCATGTCCCTGCAAAGGATGTGAATTCATCCTTTTTTATGGCTGCATAGTATTCCATGGTGTATATGTGCCACGTTTTCTTTATCCAGTCTATCATTGATGGGCATTTGGGTTGGTTCCAACTCTCTGCTATTGTGAATAGTGCTGCAGTAAGCATATGTGTGCATGTGTCTTTATAGTAGAATGATTTATAATCCTTTGGGTATATACCCAGTAATAGGATTGCTGGGTCAAATGGTATTTCTGGTTCTGGATCCTTGAGGAATCACCACACTGTCTTCCACAATGGTTGAACTAATTTACACTCCTACCAACAGTGTAAAAGTGTTCTTATTTCTCCACATCCTCTCCAGCATCTGTTGTTTCCTGACTTTTTAATGATTGCCATTCTAACTGCTTTGAGAATGTAAGGCCTACTTTGAGATTGAAGAAAGATGATATGAAGAGAAGGATAATTTGGGCAGAAAAAATAGTATGATAGAAACACAGGAGTATAAACTGTAGGCTGTTTAGAAGACAGCATGTAGGTTGGTGAGAACAGAATGTAAATGGTGATGAGGTAGGGATGGTGAGAAATGAGGGTGGTGAGATGAGCAATGACCAGATTGTGCAAAGCCATACTAAAGGGTTTTATGTAACCAGTGAAGTAATATGTTTAGGTGTGTGGTGTCAATCAAGTCACTCTGAAAGTGATCCAGAGAATTACTCCCACATTAGATCCAGATAATCTAGTCAAGCACTAGACTGGTGCTGGACAAGAAACTGGATGATCACTAAGATTACAAGTTCAAGTGTCCAGGTAAGAGTTGTTGAGAATGGGGGTGGAGGTAGTTTGAGAGAGAAGAATAATGAGGTGGAAGAAAGGTGGGGCTGAGGGTGAGTCCAGGTCCTTAGTGTGGGTGGACAGTGGTCATTCACTTGGACTGGCGTTTGGGATAGAGAGCAGGTGCATTCTAATCTGCAGGATTGAAAACATTTAAATTTTGTATGTACATATCAGTTAGATGGCTGCTTATCTAAAATTTAGGGAAAAATGTTTAAAGACATCTCTAGTTTGTGCTTGTGTATTTTCATCATAAATGGACAATTTGGACATTTTTTGGTGTTTTTCTATTGCCCTGTATTACAGGCTCAAGTTGTTTATGTATTTATTCAAGTTATTTTTATACCTTACTTTAATGAGGTTTCATGCTTCTGTTCACAAATGTTTCCAACATTTACCTGCAGGCAGAATTGAATAAGCATGATTTCCAAGTGGATAGTTTATTCACAGCTTTCTTTAGAATTTTGAAAAGGTGTCAGAGTTGTCAGTGTAAAGTGTTTCCTCATTTCTCTTAGGGTCTTTTCACACTTTTTAATAAATGCTGATATATAATTCTTACAGGAAATGAATAGTTATGAATCATAAGTGTAATAACTCAACAAAATTGTTATGCTATTTCAAAAAGGTGCCTTTTGAAGGTAAATTAGGACACTTGTCCAAATAGTGTTTATACATTTTTGGTGAAGAAGGTGTTTAAGGTACAAGAAAAGTTGTGAAGTTTCCTTGGAATTGACTCATAGATTAATAATTTGAGATTTTTTTCTTTATGCTTACTAGTTTCAAAAACATATACATACAAGAAAAGTGAATAAGTCATTTGTCATATATTTTCTATTTTTGACCTTTTCTTTTCCTATCTTTACAAATTCACATTCACTCAGAATTAATTTAAAAAATGTGGTAACTAATTATTAAAAGCAATTTACAAAGTTAAAACTATACCAACATAAAAAAAATTTCAAATTCTGGATACTTTGATATACTAAGGTTTCTATTGTCTGTTTTTAATGTTATGTCTGACATTTAAAAATATGTAGAATGCTGTTTTCCATTAGTCTAAAATACATAATTATCTGTTCTACCTGTTTTAGAACTACATGAACTTAAAAAAATTTTAATTTCATTTATAAGTTTGCATTTTTTTGATTCTTCACAGGCATTGAGTTTAAAGATTTACTGAATTATGTACTAGGTCAGCACTTCTTTGTGCTTTTTTTTTTTTTGCCAAATGTAGCTATTTTTTTAAATCTTCTTTAAACTGTTTACTTTTCATAGTATAGTTCCATAATTCCTAGGTAAGCCTTCAAGTGTGCTAGGCAAAATAAATCTTCAATTTCACTAAAACATAATTCTGATTTTGGTTGGTGACATTCTTTCTCTGCCAGGTTTTTCATATTTAGGTCTATGAATTTTTTTCCATAGCACCATCTGTCTACTCTTTGGTCTTCTTTGAAACTGCCAGCATTCTTAGGCTAATGTGCGGGGAAGCAAGGCATATTCCAGAAAAAGAATGTGTGCTCTAAGATGTTGAAGCCTAACTATGGCTAAGTGTGTCAAAAGCTGATCCTATGCTAGAAGTAGCATTCAAGCAGACTCCTGTTTCTTCATTTTCAATTTCATTCCTCCAATTCTATTTTTTTTCGGTTGCATTACTTTAAAAAACTTTCTTATTTTGAGATAATAATACTTACATGCCGTTGTAAGAAATAATACAGACAGATTGAGTATATTTAATCCACTTTCTCCCAATTCTAACATCTTGCATAATTATAGTACAGTATCACAACCAGAATATTGACATTAATACAACCCACCAATTTTATTCATATCTCTTCAGTTGTATATGTATTCATCTGCATGTGTCTGTGGGTATGTTTTTAGTTCCATACAATTTTATCGCAAGTGTAGATTTCTATATTTGCCACCACAGTCAAGATACAGAACATTTCCATCACCACAAAGATCCTTTGTGTTGCCTTCTTATAAGGACACCTCTCTCCCCTACCCCACACCCTGTTACTAACACCTAGCAATTACAAATCTGTTATCATTTCCAAAATACTGCCATTTCAAAAGTGTCATCAGTGGAATCATACAGTAAGTAATTTATTTTTTCCACTCAGCCTAATTTCCTAAATATTCATCCAGGTAGTTGCATGTATCAATAATTCATTCCTTTTTATTACTAAGTAGTATTTCACAGTATTGGATATACCATAGATTGTTTAACCATTTACCCACTGAAAAACATAAAGTTTGTTTTCAATTTGGGGCTATTAAAATAAAGCTGCTATGAACTTTTGTACATGGGTTTTTATATCAACATAAATTTGTCTGTCATAAATGCCCAAGAGTGCAATTGCTAGGTTGTATGATCATTTCGCTGTTTTATAAGAAACTGTCAAACTTTTTGCCAGAGTGGCTGGATGATTTTTTCATTCCTACCAGCAATGTATGAATAATCCAGTTTTTTTTGTATTTTGTCAGCATTTGCATTGTTACTATTTTTATCTTAGCCATTTTGTGATTTGTGTTTATTTTCCTTTTTGTCAATCTTTTTAAAAATAATCAGCTTTTTAATTTTTTAAGTTTTATTGAGATAATTAACAAATAAAAAATATATATTTAAGATGTAGAATGTGATGTTTTGACATACACATACATATGAAATGATTAACAAGTAAGCTAATTAACATTTCCGTCACCTCGCATAGTTACCTCTTGGTTGCTGTCATTATGATAATACTTAAGATCTATTCACTTAGCAAATTTCAAATAAACAAATACATTACTATTAACTGTGGTCACCATGTTTTTTATTAAGTCTCCAAAACTTACGTATCTTATAATTTAAACTTGTACTCTTTGACTTCCCCATTTCCTCTAACTCTGGGCCACTAGTAACCACCCTTTTACTTTCTGTTTCTAGGAGTTCAGCTTTTTTAGATCCCACAGGTAAGAGGGATCATGTAGAATTTGTCTCTGTCAGGCCTATTTCATTTAGTATAATGCCCTCCAGATGCATCCATGTTGTCAAAAATGACAGGATTTTCTTCTTTTTAAAGACTGAGTAATATTTTCCTCCCCCTCCCCCGTCCCCCCGTGTGTGTGTGTGTGTGTGTGTGTGTGTGTATGCAACATCTTTATTAACTCATCTGTCAATGGACACTTAGATTGTTCATCCTGGCTGTCTGGGTTAATGCTACAATGAATATGAAATGCACGTATCTCTTTGAAATAGTGATTTTCTCTCCTTTGGATATATATCCAGGAGTGGTATTGCTGGATCATATAGTAATTCTACTTTTATGGAACCTCCATACTGTTTCCCGTAATGGTTATACTAATTTATAGTTGCTACCAATAGTGTATAAGGTTTCCATTTTCTCCACATCCTCACCAATATTTGTCTTTTTTCTTTTTGATAGTAACCACCTTAACAGGTGTGAGGTGATACCTCATTGTGGTTTTCTTTTTCATTTCTTTGGCGTTAGTAATGTTGAGCATTTTTTCATATACTCATTGGTCATTTGTATGTCTTCTTTGGAAAAATGTCTGTTGAAGTCCTTTGTCCAGTTTTTGATCAGGTTATTTTTGTGCTAAGGAGTTGTCTGAGTTTTTTATATATTTTTGATATAACCACTTATTTCATATATGGTTTGCGAACATTTTTGCCTATTCTGTAGGCATTTTTGCCTTTTCATTTTGTTAATTGTGTCGTTTGCTGTGCAGAAAATTTTTAGTTCAATATAATCCCACTTGTCCATTTTTGGCTTTTGTTTCCTGTGATTTTGAGGTGATATCCAAAAAGAAAAAATCATGGCCAAGACCAAGGTCATGGACCTTTCCCTTTGTCATGTTTTTTTCTGGGAGTTTTATGGCTTCAGATTTTATGTTCAAGTATTTATTTTGAGGTGATTTTTATGTATAGTGTAAATTAAGGATCCAATTTTATTTGTTTTACATGTGGGTATTCAGTTTTCTCAACACCATTCATTGAAGACACTATTTTTTCCCCTATTGTGTATTCTTGATGCCTTGGTTGAAGATTAGTTCACCATATATGTGTGGATTTATTTCTGGATATTCTATTCTGTTTCAGTAGTCTGTGTTTCTATTTTTATGTCAGCATCATACTATTTTGATTACTATTAGCTTTTTAATATAATTTGAAGTCAGGAACTATGATATTTCCAGCTTTATTCTTCTTACTCAAGATTACTTTAGCTATTTGAGGTCTTTTGTGGATCCATACAAATTTTAGTGTTTTTTCTGTTTCTGTGAAATGTGCCCTTGGAATTTGGTAGAAACTGCATTGAGTCTGTAGATAGCTGTGGGATGCTTTAGGCATTTTAATAGTATTAATTCTTGTAATTCATGAACATCAGATGTCTTTCCATTTACTTGTGTCTTCTTCAATTTCTCTCATTAATGTTTTATAGTTTTCAGGGTATAGATCTTACATGTTGGTTAAATTTATTCATAAATGTTTTAAAAATGTGATTGTAAATGGGGTTGTTTTCTTGATTTCTTTTTTGGATAGTTCATTGTTAGCATATAGAAACACTACTGATTTTTGTGTGTTGATTTTGTATTCTGAAAATTTGCTTCATTCATTTCTTAGTTCTAATAACTTTTTTTTGTGGAGTCTTTAGATCATGTTACCTGCCAGTGGAGACAATTTTACTTCTTCTTTTCAGATTTGAATGACTTTCATTTCTTTTTCTTGTCTAGTTACTTTGGCTAGAAATTTTAGTACTGTGTTGAACAGATGTGACAAATGTGGGCATCCTTGTTTTTTTCCTGATCTTAGAGGGAAAGTTTTCAGCTTTTCACTGTTGAACACTTTGTTAGCTGTGGAATTGTTATATATAGACTTGAAAGAGAAATTTAGAAATATCTTAAAACAAAAATGAGAACATAAAATTTATGGGATGCAGCAAAAGCAGTTCTCAGATGGAAGTTTACAGCAATAAGTACCTATATAAAGAAAAGAGAAAGATTTCAAGTAAGCAATCTAAATTTACACCTTAATAAACTGGAAAACAAACCCAAGATAAATCCAAAATTAGTAGAAGAAAAAAGTAGCAAAATCAGAACAGAAATAAATTAGAGACTAGAAAAGCGATGGAAAAAAATCAACAAAACTTAGAGTTTGTTTTTTGAAAAGATAAGTAAAATTGACAAACTCTTAGCTAGAGTAACTAAAAAAAGAGAAAAAACACAAATAAAATTAGAAATAAAAGAGGACACATTACAACTGATATTATAGAAATGTAAAACACTGTAAGAGACTGCCATGAACAATTAAATGCCAGCAAGTTGGATAACCTGGAAGAAATGGACAAATTCCTAGAAACATACAACCTATCAAAACTGAATCATTAATAAATAGAACATGAACAGACCAATAATGAGAGTAAGGAGATTGAATCAATAATCAAAAATCTCCCATCAAAGAAGAGCCCAGGATCAGATGGCTTCATGACAGAATTCTATCAAACATTAAAAATGAACTAATAACAATCCTTCTCAAACTCTTCCAAAAGATTGAAGAGAAGGTACCACTTTCAAACTCATTTTATGAGGCTAGAGTTACCTTAATTCTAATGCCATATAGGGACACAACAAGAAAAAAAATTACAGGCCACTATCCCTGATAAACAGACATAAAAATCCTCAACAAAATACTAGCAAACTGAATTCTCAACCACACATTAAAAGCGTTATACACCATGATCAAATGAGATTTATTTCTGGGAAGCAACGATGGCTCAACCTACACAAATCAATGAATCTGATACACTGCATTAGTAGAATGAAGATAAAAATAACATGACCATCTCAATAGATCAAGGAAAAGTAGTTGACAAAATTCAATGTGTTTTCATAATAAAAACTCTCAACAAATAAGGCATAGAGAAATTAATTTTCTGATCATTGATGTTACCTACTTTTTTCCTGTTTTGGATTTCATTAGTTTCTGTTCATTATCCTTATTATGTTTTTCCTTTTGTCTGGTCTGTGCTTACATTGCTCCTCTTTTTCTAGTTTCTTAAGATAGAAACTTTATTGATTTGAGAACTTTTTTTCTAATGGAAACATTTACTGCTATAAATTTTCTTCTCAGCACTGCTTTAACTGGATCCTACATATTCTGAGACATGTTTTTTAATTTTTATTCAATTGTATGTATTTTTAAAAATTTCCCTTGAGATTTCCTGTTTAGCCCATGGATTACTTAGAAGTGTGTTGTTTAATTTCCAATTATTTGGAGATTTTTCTAATGTATTTCTACCATTGATTTCTAGCTTGATTCCATGACAAAGAACATACCTTATATAAATTCAAGATTTTAAAAATTTTTGATGTTTGTTTTATGGTTGAGAACTTGGGCTACCCTGGTGAATGTTCTGGACTACTTGAAAACAAAAATATTCTGCTACTTTTGTCTGAAGTGTTCTCTATATGCCAATTAGATCTTATTGGTTAGTTGTGTTGTGCAGTTCTATATTCTTGCTGATTTTCTATCTGGTGGTTCTATCATTTCCTGAGAGTAAGATAGAAAATTCTCAGCTATAATTTTGGATTTGTCTATTTCTCCTTTAAAATGTATAAGTTTTTGCTTATGTATTTTGAGGCTCTGTTGTTTGGCACATGCACACTAGGATTATGATGTTCACCTGGTGGATTGATCCTTTTATCATTATGTAATGCTCCTCTTTGTGTCTTATAATTTTCTTTTGTTTGAAGTCTACCTCATTTGACATTAATATAGTGACTTCTGCTTTTTGTATTACTGTTTGCCTGATATATCTGTTTTCAATTGTTTACTTACAACCTATCTATGTCTTTGTATTTGAAGTGAATTTCATAGACAGCATATTGTTGTATCTTTTTATCCACTTTGGCAATATGTTTTAATCAAGGTATTTAAACCACCACTTAAATTTGATATAATTATTTAGTTGTTAGGGCTTAGGTCTCCCATTTTATTATTTGTTTTTCTTTTCTGTTGGTCCTGTTTCTTCCTCCTCTTCTGTTGGTCCTGTTTCTTCCTCCTCTTTATTTTTTTTTTTTTTTTTTACCTTCCTGTGGGGTACTTGGGCAATTTTTAGGATTCCATCCTGATTTATATATAGTATTTTTTAGTATTTGCTTTGTATAGTTTCCTTAGTAGTTGCTATAGGTATTACACTATACATATATGTGTATATACACCATGTATATACACATATATGTATATTTACACACATACATGATATATATAACATTAGTGTATATATAACACTACATATACTCTATATATACACACACACTATGTCATGTAATGTAATACCTACAGAAACTACTAAGAAAACTATACAAAGCAAATACCAAATGTATGTGTATGTATATATATAATGTATATATAAATACTATAAGTATATATATAATAAATATACAAATACCATATGTATTTATAAATATGTTGGAATATATAGTGTGTACATATATATACATAGTGTGTATATATTTATATGTATATATACACACATATATGTGTATATATACATACTATATATATATTCCAACATTCCATATAGTATGTGTATGTATATACACACTACATATACATATAAAACTTATCACTGTCTACTTGCACTTAAATGTAGAAAGATTACTTCCATTTAGTTTCCTTTACCCTCCAACTTTTTAGGTATAATTGCCTTAAGTGTTTTCTATATGTACACTGAGCACTGTATCAAATGACATTATAATTTTTACTTTAATTATCAAGTAATTCAAGGAACCTATGAAAAAGACTATTATATTTGCCCCATTTTTAGTCATTCCAACACTCTTCTTTTCCTTTGAAATAATTTTCTGTTAGCAATTCCTTTCCTTGAGCAATTCTTTAAGGGAAGGCTTGCTGGTAACATATTCTCTTAGTTTATTTTCATCTGAAAATGTTTTATTAGCCCTTCATTTCTGAATAGTATTTTCATCAGGTTAAAATTTCCTTCCTTTGACAGTTCTTACCTTTTAGTACTTGGAAAATGTGTTACTTACTTCTGGCCTCCATGGTTTTATAAGGGAAAGCTGCAGTCATTTGAATTGAAATTCTCTTATTAGTAATGTGTTATTTCCCTCCAGTTGCTTTCAAGACTTGTTTCTTTGACTTTATTTTTTAGAAGTTTGATTATGCTGTGTCCCAGCATGTATTTTGCTCCATTTATTCTCTCTGGGGTTCACTCAGCATCTTGAATCTATAGGT
The DNA here is from genome assembly GCF_000001405.40 of Homo sapiens. NCBI lineage: Eukaryota > Metazoa > Chordata > Mammalia > Primates > Hominidae > Homo > Homo sapiens. The sequence goes on from NC_000011.10 coordinate 109,215,128, forward strand.
TTATGTTGTTTGTTGTTTGTTTTGTTTGCCAAATTTGGGGAATGTTCAGCCATTATTTCCACGAATTTTTTTTTAGTCTCTCTCTCTTTTTCTTCTCTTTTCCTATAATTCTGAAGATATAAATATTAGCTCATTTGTTATTGTTTCACAGCTCCCTGAGGCTCTATTTATTGATTTTTATCTATTTTATTCCTTTTGTTCAGATTGGACAAGTTCTCTATTTTTTTTTTCTTTTTTCTTTGAGATAGGGTTTCACTCTGTCACCCAGAGGAGTGCAGTGGCACGATCTAAGCTCACTGCAGCCTCAATCTCCTGGGCTCAAGTGATCTTCCCAACTCAGCCTCCCTAGTAGTTGGGACTACAGGTGTGAGTCAACATGCCCAGTTAATTTTTATACTTCTTGTAGGGACAGGGTTTTGCCATGTTTCCCAGGCTGGTCTCAAACAAAATTGGATAAATTCTAATATGTCTTGAGGTTCATTGATTCTATCCTCTTCACTCTACTACTGAGCCTATTTTATGAGCCTTTATTATGGTATTTTTAAGTTCTACAACTTCCATTTGGTTCTTTTTTTAAAAATTTTACTTTAAGTTTTGGGATACATCTGCAGAACGTGCAGGTTTGTTACATAGGTGTACGTGTGCCATGGTGGTTTGCTGCACCTATCTACCCATCATCTAGGTTTTAAGCCCCACACGCATTAGCTGTTTGTCCTGATGCTCTCCCTCCCTTTGCCCCCTAGTGCCTGACAGGCCCTGGTGTGTGTTGTTCCCCTCCCTGTGTCCATGTGTTCTCATTGTTCAACTCCCACTTACAAGTGAGAACATGTGGTGTTTGGTTTTATGTTCCTGTGTTAGTTTGCTGAGGGTAACGGCTTGCCACTTCATCCATATCCCTGCAAAAGACATCTCATTCCTTTTTATGGCTGCATCGTATTCCATGGTGTATATGTACCACATTTTCTTTATCCAGTCTATCATTGATGGCATTTGGGTTGGTTTCATGTCTTTGCTACTGTAAACAGTGCTGCAATAAACATACGTGTGCATGTGTCTTTATAGTAAAATGATTTATATTCCTTTGCATATATACCCAGTAATGAGGTTGCCACGTCAAATGGTATTTCTGGTTTTAAATCCTTGAGGAACCACCACACTGTCTTCTACAATGTTTAAACTAATTTACATTCCCAACAACAGTGTAAAAGCATTCCTATTTCTCCACAGCCTTGCCAGCACCTATTGTTTCTTGACATTTTAATAATCGCCATTCTGACTGGCATGAGACGGTATCTCATTGTGGTTTTGATTTGCATTTCTCTAATGATCAGTGATTTTTGAGCTTTTTTTTCATATGTTTGTTGTCTGCATAAATGTCTTCTTTTGAGATGTGTCTGTTCATGCCTTTTGCCCACTTTTTGATGAGGTTGGTTGTTGTTTTTCTTGTAAATTTGTTTAAACTCCTTGTAGATTCTGGATATTAGCCCTTTGTCAGATGGGTAGATTGCAAAAATTGTCTCCTATTCTGTAGGTTGCCTGTTCACTCTGATGATAGTTTCCTTTGCTGTGCAGAAGCTCTTTAGTTTAATTAGATCCCATTTGTCAGTTTTAGTTTTTGTTGCAATTGCTGTTGGCATTTTCGTCATGAAATCTTTGTCCGTGCCTATATCCTGAATGGTATTGCCTAGGTTTTCTTCTAGGGTTTTTATGGTTTGGGGCTTTACATTTAAGTCTTTACTTCATCCTGAGTTAATTTTTGTATAAGGTATATGGAAGGGGTCCAGTTTCAGTTTTCTGAATATGGCTAGCCAGTTTTCCCAGCACCGTTCATTACATAGGGAATCCTTTCCCTATTGCTTGCTTTTGTCAGGTTTGTCAAATATCAGATGGTTGTAGATGTGTGGTGTTATTTCTGAGGTCTCTGTCCTGTTCCCTTGGCCTATATGTCTGTTTTGGTACTAGTACTGTGCTGTTTTGGTTACTATAGCCTTGTAGTATAGTTTGGAGTCAGGTAGTGTGATGCCTCCAGCTTTGTTCTTTTTGCTTAGGACTGTCTTGGCTATATGGGCTGTTTTTGGGCTCCAAATGAAATTTAAAGTAGTTTTTTCTAATTCAGTGAAGAATGTCAGTGATAGTTTGATGGGAATAGGATTGAATCTACAAATTACTTCGGGCAGTATGGCCATTTTTATTATGTTGATTCTTCCTATTCATGCACGTGGAATCTTTTGCCATTTGTTTGTGTCCTCTCTTATTTCCTTGAGCAATGGTTTGTAGTCCTCCTTGAAGAGGTCCTTCACATCCCTTGTTAGCTGTATTCCTAGGTATTTTATTCTCTTTGTAACAATTGCGAATGGGAGTTCATTCGTGATTTGGCTCTCTGCTTGTCTATTGTTGGTGTATAGGAACGCTTGTGATTTTTGTACATTGATTTTGTATTCTGAGACTGCTAAAGTTGCTTATCAGCTTAAGGAGTTTTTGAGCTGAGATGATGGAGTTTTCTAAATATGGAATCATGTTATCTGCAAACAGAGACAATTTGACTTCCTCTCTTCCCCTTTGAATACCCTTTATTTCTTTCTCTTGCCTGATTGTCCTGGCCAGAACTTCCAACACTATGTTGAATAGGAGTGGTGAGAGAGGGCATCCTTGTCTTGTGCCAATTTTCAAAGGTAATACTTCAAGTTTTTTTCCCAATCAGTATGATATTGGCTGTGGGTCTGTCATAAATAGCTCTTATTATTTTGAGATATATTCCATCAATACCTAGTTTATTGAGAGTTTTTAACATGAAGGGATATTGAATTTTATCAAAGGCCTTTTCTGCATCTATTGAGATAATCATGTGGTTTTTGTCTTTGGTTGTGTTTATGTGATGGATTATGTTTATTGATTTGTGTATGTTGAACCAGCCTTGCATCCCAGGGATGAAGCCAACTTGATTATGGTGGATAAGTTTTTTGATGTGCTGCTGTATTTGGTTTGCCCGTATTTTATTGAGGATTTTTGCATCAATGTTCTTCAGGGATATTGGCCTGAAGTTTTCTTTTTTTTGTTGTAACTCTGCCAGGTTTTGATATCAGGATGATGCTGGCCTCATAAAATGAGTTAGGGAGGAGTCCCTCCTTTTCACTTGGTTGGAATAATTTCAGAAGGAATGGTACCAGCTCCTCTTTGTACCTCTGGTAGGATCTGACTGAATCCATCTGGTCCTGGGCTTTTTTTGGTTGGTAGGCCTTTAATTAGTGCCTCAATTTCAGAACTTGTTATTGGTCTATTCAGAGATTCGACTTCTTCCTGGTTTAGTCTTGGGAGGGTGTATGTGACCAGGAATTTATCCTTTTTTTTCCTAGATTTTGTAGTTTATTTGCATAGAGGTATTAATAGTATTCTCTAATGGTAGTTTGTATTTCGGTAGGGTCAGTGTGATATCCCCTTTATGATTTTTCATTGTGTCTGTTTGATTCTTCTCTCTTTTCTTCTTTACTAGTCTATATAGTGGTCTATTTTGTTAATTTATTCAAAAACCAGCTCCTGGATTCCTTAATTTTTTGAAGGGTTTTTTTTTTCCTCTATCTCATTCATTTCTGCTCCAATCTTAGTTATTTCTTGTCTTCTGCTGGCCTTTGGATTTGTTTGCTCTTGCTCCTCTAGTTCTTTTAATTGTGATGTTAGGGTGTCGATTTGAGATCTTTCTAGCTTTCTGAAGTTGGCATTTAGTGCTATAAGTTCCCTCTTAATACTGCTTTAGCTGTGTCCCAGAGATTCTAGTACATTGTCTTTTTGTTCTCATTGGTTTCAAATAACTTACTGATTTCTGCTTTAATTTCATTATTTACCAAGGAGTCATTCAGGAGCAGCTTGTTCAATTTCCATGTAGTTGTGGGGTTTTGAGTGAGTTTCTTAATCCTGAGTTCTAATTTGTTTGCATTGTGGTCTGAGAGACTGCTTGTTATGATTTCACTCTATTGAATTTGCTGAGGAATGTTTTACTTCCAATTATGTGGTGGGTTTCAGAATAAGTGCAAGGTAGCACTGAGAAGAATGTATATTCTGTTGATTTTGGGTGGAGAGTTCTGTAGATGTCTATTAGATACACTTGATCCAGAACTGAGTTCAAGTCCTGAATATGCTTGTTAATTTTCTGTCTTGTTGATATGTCTAATATTGACAGTGGGGTATTAAAGTCTCCCACTATTATTGTGTGGGAGTATAAGTCTCTTTGTAGGTCTCTAAGAACTTGTTTTATGAATCTGAGTGCTGCTGTATTGGGTGCATATATATTTAGGATAGTTAGCTCTTATTGTTGCATTGATCCCTTTACCATTATGTGATCTTTTTTGATCTTTGTTGGTTGAAAGTCTGTTTTGTCAGAGACTGGGATTACAACCCCTAATTTTTTTTTTGCTTTCCTTTTGCTTGGTAATTTTTCCTCCATCCCTTTATTTTGAACCTATGTGTGTTTTGCACATGAGGTGTGTCTCCTGAATACAGCACATTGATGGGTCTTGACTGTTTATTCAATTTGCCAATCTGTGTCTTTTAATTGGGGCATTTAGCCTATTTACATTTAAGGTTAATATTGTTATGTGTGAATTTGATCCTGTCATCATGATGCTAGCTGGTTATTTTGCACCCTAGTTGATGCCGTTTCCTCATAGTGTCATTGGTCTTTATATTTTGGTGTGTTTCTTCAATGGCTGGTACCATTTTATCCTTTTCATATTTACTGCTTCCTTCAGAAGCTCTTGCAAGGCAGGCCTGGTGGTGATGAATTCCCTCAGCATTTGTTTGTCTTTGGATTTTATTACTCCTTCACTTATGAAGCTTAGTTTGGCTGGATATGAAATTTTGGGCTGAAAATTCTTTCTTTAAGAATGTTGAATTTTGGCTCCACTGTCTTCTGGCTTGTAGGGTTTCTGAGGAAAGATCTGCTGTTAGTCTGATGGGCTTCCCTTTGTAGGTGATATGGCCTTTCTCTCTGGCTGCCCTTAACATTTTTTTGCTTCATTTCAACCTTGGAGAATCTGATGATTATGTGCCTTCGGGTTGCTCTTCTCGTGGAGTATCTTTGTGGTGTTCTCTGTATTTCCTGAATTTGAATGTTGGCCTGTCTTGCTAGGTTGAGGAAGTTCTCCTGGATGATATCCTGAAGAGTGTTTTCCAACTTGGTTCCATTCTCCCCATCTCTTTTAGGTACTCCAATCAGTTGTAGGTTTGGTCTTTTTATATAGTCCCATATTTCTCGGGGGTTTTGTTCGTTCCTTTTCATTCTTTTTTCTCTAGTCTTGTCTGCCTGTCTTATTTCAGCAAGATGGTCTTCAAACTCTGATATTCTTTTTTTTTTTTTTTGCTTGATCAATTCAGCTATTGATACTTGTGTATGCTTCATAAAGTTCTTGTGCTATGTTTTTCAGCTCCATCAGGCCATTTATGTTCCTCTCTAAACTGGTTATTCTAGTTAGCAGCTCCTGTAACCTTTTATCGAGGTTTTTAACTTCTTTATGTTGAGTTAGAACATGCTTCTTTAGTGCAGTGGAGTTTGTTATTACCTGCCATCTGAAGCCTCCTTCTGTCACTTCATCCAACTCATCCTCCACCCAGTTCTGTGCCCTTCCTGGAGAGGTGTCACAATCATTTGGAAGAGAATAGGCACTCTGGCCTTTTGGGTTTTCAGTGTTTCTTTGTTGATTATTTCTCATCTTCATGAGTTTGTCTGGTTTTGATCTTTGAGGCTGCTGACCCTTAGGTTTTTGTGAGGACTTTTTTGTTGATGCTTTTGTTGTTGCTTTCTGTTTGTTTTTCTTTCAATGTCAGGTCCCTCTTCTGTAGGGCTGCTGCAGTTTGCTGGGGGGTTCACTTCAGGCCCTATTCATCTGGTTCACTCCCATGCCTGGAGATGTCACTCAAGAAGGCTGGAGAACAGCAAACATGGGTGCCTGCTTTTTCCTCTGGGATCTCTCAGCTCAAGGGGCACCTACCTGATGCCAGTAGGAACACTTCAGTGTGGGGTGTCTGACAACCCCTGTTGGAGGGTCTCACCCAGTTGGGTGGCACGGGGAGCCAGACCAGTTTAACGAAACACTTTGGCTGTCCCTTGGTGGAGAAGGTGTGCTGCACTGGAGAGAAACCCACCTGTTTGGGCTGCCCGAATTCCTCAGAACTAGCAGGAGGAAAGACTAAGTCTGCTGGTCCACAAAGACTAGTGGGAGACCCCTCCCACTAGGGGCTGAGGCCCAGGGAGATGAGGGTTCTGTCCCTGAGCCCCTGGCCGGAGTTGGAGTTCCTACAGGGAGGCCCCGCCCAGTAAGGAGGGATGGGTCAGGGTCACAAATTTAAATTTGTATAAGGACTTTGGACAACCTTTGGCACTCTGTACTAGAGCAAAACATGAATACTCTATGTCCCAACAATTTTGCTCCTGGTTACGTACTCAAAAAAAAAAAAAAAAAGAAAAAGAAAAAGAATGCTGATATCTCCTAATGGACATGTGAAAAACTGTTCATAGCAATGCTTTATATAACGGCTCTAAACTAGAAACAACCCAAATAATAGATTTACTAAATTGTGGCATATTCATATGGAGTTATGCGCCACAACAATGAAAAATCATCAAACTACTGCTTTATGCACCAACGGAATTAATCTTACAGACGTGATGATTAGTGGAAGAGTACTAACACAAAAGAGTATGTACTATATAAAGCCACATATATGAGATTCAAGAATAAGCAAAGCCAATGGTGATAGAGGCCAGAACAGCGGTCATCTTTGCAGGAGCAGTATATTGACTGAGAACAGTCATGATGGAAACTGCTGGTGCTGAAAATGTCCCGTATCTTCATGTGCGTGTTGGTAAACAGGTACAAATATGTGCATATTTAACATCTGGGCACTTTGTTATATGTAGGTTCTACTTCAATAAAAAAGTAAATTATAAATTCTCATGTATTCTGAATGCATTGTGGGGCTGTCGAATTTGTTCCACTGATGTATTGATACTTGGGTTAACACGGTATCATTTTGAAACTGATAAAAGATTTATAATAGACTAATAGAATTTATTAGCTGATAATATCTTCCTATTTTCATTTCTCAAACACTTTCTTCTTAAGTGGAACTCCATTTTTTCCATGTAAAACTACCTCTTTTCTCATCTTTAATTCCATTGTCAGACATAAATAGAGGGTCTCAAAACTCTGCATGCACCCAGCAAGACTACTTGACCTTTCAAAACTCACAGCCTTGCACCACTGACAGCATGGGAACCATCAGGATTACTCAACATTTCCCCATCTCCGTTTACCTTGATTACTTCGTGAAGTCCTAGATTTTTGGTTTTCATTCCCAGGACTCTCTTCCCCATTCATGCTGTGGAGAGTGATGTAATCACATCAGTATCCCTGCTTAGTACTAATCACCATCTGACATAATATACATTTTGTTTATTTGTTCATCCATTCTAGATGTCAGCTCTACAAGGGCAGGAATTTGTGTTAATTTTATTCACTTCTATATCAATCAGCAGGCAGTAGGCTGGATGCAGTGCACTTGACTATAGTAAAAGAGAAAGAATTCCATCGTTCCATAAGGGAACGTCTCTCATCTATCTCAGACCCAGTGCCTAGAAAAAAACACTAGCTTTGGGTAGGTGTTTACTAACATCTGTGGAATGAAAAGATACCTCTTCTGGATAATCCTTTCCTAGACCCTGGGAGGCCTATCAGACATACTGGTTCTTGAAACAGCCCAGTGTTCATTTGGCCCTTGCAAGCTTGGCACTCTTCCTTTGGGAAGCTTCCTGGAGAAGTGGCCATGGCAGGCGGCTTCCCCAAAAGGCAGCAGCTGGCACTGGAGATCTATGTCTTCCTTTGCTTTGTAAAGTTTTTATGGCACAGCTGAGAATATTCACAGAATTCTACCCAATGTTGTCTAATTACAATTTAGAATTTTACTCAATACCGTATAATTATACTTCAGAGCTTTGCCATCTCATTATACAGCAATCTTGGTGGTTGGGAGTGAATGGTTGTGGATGATGATTCTGGTCAATTTTCTATGTGCATAACTCCTCAGTGTGTGCCAGAGAAAGCTTTCAGGCAGCTGAAGGAGCAATAGGTTTTCCCTTCTCAAGAAGCAAAATATTTTACTGTTAAAAGATGGCAAGAGAGTCAGGACAACAGATAAGATCAGCATATGAATAGAAATCAGGCATTCAAATCAGACAGACTATGTTCAAATACTAGTTCTGCTTGTCACTGGTTATGCAATTATCAATTACTCAGATAATCTTTCTTAGTTCAATTTTTGCCTCTATAAAGTCAGGATAATATTTGATATACTATTTAAGGATTGAATGAGATTAAAATGTCTAGGATAGGGCCTGTCTTAAATTAGGTACTCAACAAGTATTAATTTTATTCTTATCCTATTTTTTGACATAAGAAAATGAAGAACTCTCTCCTCTCCAAAAGCATTTACCTCCTGTGTCCATGTTCTAATTTGGCATTGCTCATAGTCAAACATATTGTGAGACACAGGGAATCTGGCATAGGCAACAATTAATGAATATTTGACTACTTCTGAGAAAATGAACATGCAAAGAAAATGAAGAGAGCCAACTAAATGCAGGCACATGTCCCTGTAAAATAATAGATAGAATTCAAAGGGAGCCACAACAACCCTTACTTCCATTTTTCCATCTTTCTATTTCAAGTAGGAACTGATTTCAGTACCATCTCTGTCTGCTGATGACATGTCACCCATTCGGTTTTCATTATCAGATTTCAAGCATCCTTAACACAAGGTCTGTGTCATTTCTATGGTTTTACATTTCCTAGACCATACAGAGCACTCTCTGGATATTTTATAGGTATGGTAACATTTTAACTTGATTTCATCTTTTGTAGTACATGAGGACTACAGTGCTCTGTAGGAACCTGGAAAGAAAGGAAATAAAGAGTTCCCTGTTGGATAAACTAAAATATTAATCCATAATAAACCAGGACAGCAAACATATGCAGTTCTGTTTTAGAGTCAGGATTACTCCTAGGAACCACAACCTGATTGAAAGCTAAGCTGCCCAAATATGCCATTAAAAATTTGAGTTAAACAACACCCTTTATTTTGACCTCATGATTATTAATCAACACTCTGATTATAGTCTATTTTCTTTTACTTTTTTTTTTTTTTTAGACGGAGTCTGGCTCTGTCGCCCAGGCTGGAGTGCAGTGGTGCAATCTCAGCTCACTGCAAGCTCTGCCTCCTGGGTTCACGCCATTCTCCTGCCTCAGCCTCCCGAGTAGCTGGGACTACAGGGGCCCGTCACCACTCCCGGGTAAAACTTTTTTTTTTTGTATTTTTAGTACAGACAGGGTTTCACCGTGTTAGCCAGGATGGTCTCGATCTCCTCAACTCGTGATCCACCTTCCTTGGCCTCCCAAAGTGCTGGGATTACAGGCGTGAGCCACTGCACCCAGCCTATAGTCTATTTTCTTCTATGGCATGCTGCAAGAATGATACACTGGTCGAGGATCCAGTGGGTGTGATATCCTTGAAAACTTTGCTTCTCCTTTAAAAATAATAAAGACTGTTCTTAGCCTTGTAAACTTTGTTACTGTGATATGCTGTGATGTACAGACAAAACTACTTTTCTGGGTCTTTAAGGCTGAAGCTCTTGACTAATGAAATTCATTTGGGAAATCCACTCTGGGAGGTCTCTAGGAAGGTGAAAGGCTAGCTCACCAAGTGACACCACAAGCTCATCACTGGCTCTTCTCTTACTACTTGAAACATCTTCACAGGGGAGTTTACCTGGAAACTCATTATATGTTTGAACAGACAATATGGTATGAAGAATTATCAATAAAAAACAATCTCAAGAGTTTTAGATCTGCAAGTGACCTCGAATTCTCACATATATATATATATATATATATATGCCAATGAATATATTATAAAGTCCTAGTTTTGAAAGAATGTAAAGATACTATCCAGTATCACCTCTACAATTAATACAGGAATCTTCCTTGTTCTATCTCTGGCGGGTTATCATTAAGTCTGTGAGTGAAGCTCATTATCTCACGAAGCAGTTTCCTTATTTTTTTTTAAATGGATGTTAAATTTATATATAATGAAATACACGGATCTGAAGTTACAATTAGAGTTTTGATAAGTACATCTGCCTCTGTAGCCATCCCTGCAAACAAGATATAGAACATTATCCTTTCATTTCTCAAACAGATGTTATTATTAAAAAGATTATTTCTTATGTTGAAGCACAATCTGACTGCAATTTCTTTATGCTAGTCCTATTTTTCTTTTCTGGAACCATGCATATTCAGCCTGATTTCTTTTTCCCTTCAAAGCCCTTCAAATATTTGAGAATTGAATATGAGAATATAAACCCTTCAGAATATAATAAGAATCACACATTCCAACATGGTGGCAGAGCATAAGTCAGTGTTTATTTATCTAGGAAGTCTGGTGAAGGGGAGCCTACTGCTTTCACTATTAATTTGTGATCATGGGAAAGTTCTTTGCCATCATAAGCTGCACTGTCTTCACCTGTTAAATGAGGACAATATTTACTAAGAGGGTTGTTGAAGAAAATAAATGACATAATGTATCTAAAATGCTTAACATATTTCCTGGCCTTTTGTAAGGTATATAGTAGAAGCTACCAGATTTTATTTTTGTGAAGTAGATTTAAACCTTTTTGAAAAATCCTTGGATAAAACTTGTTTCTAATTCTGTCTCTTTTTTGGACAGGTATTAAGGAGTATAATGTATTGAAAAGAGAACTGGAAATAGAATCAGATTATCTGGGTTTAATCCTAGGTCCTTATTTTATTAGCCTGTGACTTTAACAAAACACTCAGGCTTCCTGGCCCATGCCCACATGTCTAAAGAAACGCTAATAATACTGCCTTACCAACATCACAGCATTGTTGAATAGCTCAAGGTTAAAGTACAATGTGAATTAAAGCTTTTATTAAATTGTAATTTTCTATAGTAAGGTAAGTAGGAATAAAATGATACTGCCCATTGAGAGGCGAGGTAGGAGACAACCTAAAAGAAACTCAAACTGAATATGCTTTTGTGGAGTTACAGGTACAATTCAAATGATGATGACAACCAGAGTGTAAGATTGAAGCAGGTGATTGGTACCCAAGGGTTATTCCTGAAGCACTGTCTGCATCAGAGTGTTCTGCTCAAGAAACTCAGTGAAGGATGCTGTCTAGGTTGTAGATGAATATCTCACAATCCCTTCTATTCCTTGGATATATTTCTAGAGGATGACAGATTCTAGTTGAGTTCACAGAGTCTTTTTTTATTGGTAATTATTTGTTCTAGTTGAATCTAGCCAGTCAACATTCAGTGGCTATGAAATACTTCTAGATTTTCTCTCTGAACTCAAACCATGGATTTTAGCTACCTGGTAAACTGTTCCTATGTTCTCAGAATATCTTCCTCAATTTGTAAGTAAAATGAATGCAGGATTAACATTTAATTCTCAAGTTATAGTACCTCTAAGTGTCCCCCTCCTTGAATGCAGCATCTCAGTTTTCTCACAACTGCATTCCCTACTCTCCAACTCCAATTCTTCTGCTATTTCTGGGAAAGCCTCAGTACTAATAATGTATACCTAACATCATATGCAATGGTGACAGACTGCATACTTTCTCCCTAAGATCAGGAAGAAAGATACATACTCTCACCACTTTAATTTGACATTGTTCTAGATGTCCCAGACAGTGCGGTATGCAAGAATATGAAATGAGAGGTACCATATTGGAAATGAACAAGTAAAACTGCCCTTATTTGCAGATGACATGATTGTATATATAGAAAATCCAATAAAATGTACCAAAAAGATTGTAGAAACAGAGAGATCAGAGAGATTGTAGAATATGAGATCAACTGCAAAAATTAAGTGGATAGTTATGGGGATGCATTCTGAAAAATATGTCATTGGGTGATTTTGTCATTGTGTAAACATCATAGACTGTACTCACACAAACCTAGATGGTATAGCCTACACACATCTAGGCTATATGGTAGAGCCTATTGCTCCTTGGCTACAAACTTGGACAGCATGTTACTATACTGAATGCTGTAGGCAATTGCATCACAATGGTAAATATTTGTGTATTAAACATAGAGAAGGTACGGCAAAAATGTATAAAATATTAAAAAATGGTATACCTATATAGGACATTTGCCATGAATGGAACTTGTAGGACTCGAAGTTGCTCTGAGTGAGTCAATGAGTGAGTGGTGAGTGAATGTGAAGGCCTAGGATATTACTGTACACTATTGTAGGCTTTATAAACACTCAACACTTAGGCTATACTAAATTTATAAAATATTTTTCTTTCTTCAATAATAAATTAACCTTAGCTTATTGTAACTTTTTTACTTTATAAACTTTTTAATTTTGTTAAAACTTTTTTGACTCTTTTGTTGTAACACTTAGCTTGAAACACAAACACATTGTATGGCTGTAAAAATATTTTCTATATTTATATCCTTATTCTATAAGCTTTTTTCTAGTTTAACATTTTCATTTTATTTTTTGCTTTTTAAACTATTTTCATAAAAATGAAGACACAGACCTTAGGCTAACCCTACGCAGGGTCAAGATAATCGATTTCACTCTCTTTCATTTCATATCTTGTCCCACTAGAAGGTCTTCAGAGGCAATAACATGCATGGAATTGTCATCTCCTATGATAACAATGCTTCTAGAATTCTTCTAGAATACCTCCTGAAGGACCTGCATGAGGCTGTTTTATAGTCAACTGTATATATATATATATATATATATATGTAAGTTTCATATATATATAACTTATATAAGTTATGTATACATATATAACATATGTATATAAGTTATATATACATATATAACATGTATATAAGTTATGTATACATATATAACATATGTATATAAGTTATGTATACATATATAACATATGTATATAAGTTATGTATACATATATAACATATGTATATAAGTTATGTATACATATATAACATATGTATATAAGTTATGTATACATATATAACATATGTATATGTTATGTATACATATATAACATATGTATATGTTATGTATACATATATAACATATGTATATGTTATGTATACATATATAACATATGTATATAAGTTATGTATACATATATAACATATGTATATAAGTTATGTATACATATATAACATATGTATATAAGTTATGTATACATATATAACATATGTATATAAGTTATGTATACATATATAACATATGTATATAAGTTATGTATACATATATAACATATGTATATAAGTTATGTATACATATATAACATATGTATATAAGTTATGTATACATATATAACATATGTATATAAGTTATGTATACATATATAACATATGTATATAAGTTATGTATACATATATAACATATGTATATAAGTTATGTATACATATATAACATATGTATATAAGTTATGTATACATATATAACATATGTATATAAGTTATGTATGCATATATAACATATGTATATAAGTTATGTATGCATATATAACATATGTATATAAGTTATGTATGCATATATAACATATGTATATAAGTTATGTATGCATATATAACATATGTATATAAGTTATGTATACATATATAACATATGTATATAAGTTATGTATACATATATAACATATGTATATAAGTTATGTATACATATATAACATATGTATATAAGTTATGTATACATATATAACATATGTATATAAGTTATGTATACATATATAACATATGTATATAAGTTATGTATACATATATAACATGTATATAAGTTATGTATACATATATAACATATGTATATAAGTTATGTATACATATATAACATATGTATATAAGTTATGTATACATATATAACATATGTATATAAGTTATGTATACATATATAACATATGTATATAAGTTATGTATACATATATAACATATGTATATAAGTTATGTATACATATATAACATATGTATATAAGTTATGTATACATATATAACATATGTATATAAGTTATATATATTCTAGAAGAATAATATATATAATATATATATAACATATATATAAGAAGGAGTATACACTAAAATAATGATCAAAAGTATAGTAAAAATGTAAACCAGTTAACAGTCATTTATTATCATTATCAAGTATTATGTACTCTACATAATTGTATGTGCTAGACTTTTACACAACTATCAGTACAGTATGTTTGTTTACATCAGCATCACCACAGACACATAAGTAATGGGTTGTGCTACAATGTTATGATGGCTTTGATGTCACTAGGTGATAGGATTTTTTAGCTCCTTTATACTATTACGCGACCACTGTCATATATGTGCTCCATCATTGAAACATAATTATGCAGCACATGAGTATATTTTCATGCGCTAACAATGAGCTATAGTGTATGTTAATCATAAAGGAAAAATTTTAAAATTGAACTCTACTGAAATTAAGATCTTGTTTGTGAAAATGTGCTATTAAGAGACTATAGACACAGTCCACAGAGTGGGAGAATATGTTTACCACACACATATTTGATAAAAGACTCATATCCAGAACATGTAAAGAACTTGTATAAATCAAGAAGAAAAAGACAGAAGACCCAATTAAAAACATAGGCAAAAACAAAACAATTCAAGCAGAAACTTCCCAGTGGTTAAGAAACACATGAAAAGATGCTCAACTGTATTTGTCATCAGGGAAATACAAATTAAAACTGCTATCTTGTACTGCTACACAACCACCAGAATGACTAAGATGAAAAAGATGGTAAGCACTAGGAGGTGGCGAGGATGGCAAAAATTCGTACTCTTGTTTCTCCTGCTGGGGGAATAAATTAGTATTTTTGCTTTGGAAATATGTGTTGAAAAATGAAATGATGCATACTCTATAACCTAGCAATTCCACTCCAAAGCATAAAGTCAACAGAGATGACTGCTTTTAGCCGCCAAAAGACACATATATAATTGCTTAGAGCTGTACTATTCAAAGAGTCAAAACCTGGAAACTATCCAAGTATAATCACAAAAGAAGATTAAACAGAAATGGGGATAAAGGACATGACAAACAACAATATGAGTGAATCTCACAAACATAATATTGAGTAAAAGAAGCCAACACAAAGAAATACATACTTACATTTTTTATGCAAAGTTCAAACAGGGAAAACTCACCTGTTAGATGCCAGGATCACAATTACTCTTGAAGGAGTTGCAGCAGTGTCATTGGTTCAAATGATGGTTCAGTTTGTGAAAATTCATCCAGCTATAACATTATGATATGTACAGTTTTTTATATGCATATAGTACTTTAACAAAAAAGTAAAAAATAAGACGGTGAAATAAATCTATTTCCAGACAATATAAAACCTGAGACAATTGTTGCCAGCAGACCTGAGGTGAAAGAAATCCTGAAGTGAATTCTTCATGCAGAAGAAAATGTTCCCTAATGGAAACATGGAAATGCAGGACAGAATGAAACTTAAAAGTACAAGGTATATAGTCCTGGGTAAAAAAGAATTAAATTGTTATTATTCATAGATGACATGATTGAAAATCCACGGGCAAACTGATAGAATTAAGAAGTACATTTACAAGATCTTTTGATATAAAGTGAATATGCAAAATTCAATTTCATTCTATATACCTGCAACATGTAGAAAATAAAATTTAGGAATAATAAAATTTAAGATAGACTTACTCCTAGGTATTTGATGTTATTGATACTATCAAAATATTTGTAAAACCTCTGCACAGAAAAAAATGTATAGCATTGAGAGAAACTAAATAAATACATGGAAAGATACATAAGTTGTTCATAGATTGGAATGCTCCATATTGTAGTGATGTTGTAACTCTCCTAAATTGACCTATAGATTCAATTTAATTACTATCTAAATTCCAGTAAGTTATTTATTTACTATCAGAAACTGAGAAGTCAATTCTCAAGCTTATATGGAGATGTAAAGGGCCAAGAATAGCAAGACAATCTTGAAGAAGTTGAACAAAGTTGAAGAACTGTTGATTATGAAGACTTTTTTTTTTTTTAACACTATAGTAATTAACAGAGTGTAGTATTCACATATGGATAGGGGAATAACCATTTAAGTAGAATAGAAGTCCAGAAACAAACCTACATGTATACTGTCACTTGACTTATGATAAAGGTGATGCTCTGTGGAAGGGATGACTTATCAAGAAGTTTTATCCTTCCAGTTGAATCAATTAGAAAGTCATGTAGGAAGAAACAAATCTTGACCCCCTACTTTGTACCAAACTAAAAGACATAGCAATAAAACTTCTAAAAGAAATAGTGATATATCTTCATGACCTTTTGATACACACATATTTCTTAATATCAGAAAGCATTAACAAAGGAAAGATTGACAAATTAGATTTCAATAAAATTGTTGATTTCTAATTATAAGAAGACACTACTAAGAGAGTTAAATGATAAGCCACAGACTAAGAGAAGATACTTGCAATGAATATATTCAACAAAGAACATATCTGCAGATGTAACAAATGCATAGGAATCACTGAGGAAAAGAGAGTCATCCCAAAAGAAAAGTGGGCAAAAGACATGAGCAGGTACTTTACCAAAGAAAATATCCAGGCAGCCAAAACACATAAGAAAAGGTGCTCAGTCTCATTAGTCATCAGGCAAACTGAAGTTAAAATTACACTAATATGCATGAATTCGGGATAGAATCAAAAGGACTGGCAATTCTAAACATTAGAGAAGATGTAAAGCAACTGGAACTGTCATACATGTTGCTGTGATTATAAATTGGCACTGCTACTTGTGAAACTGTTAGGCAGTGTCCATGAAAGCTGAACATACATATACCCTATGATCCAAAAATTCTATTTCTATATTAAGCAAGAAAGCATACATATATGGACCAAGAACACGTGCAAAGATTTTCACAGCACTACTACTCATAATTTTCTCAAACAGAGAAACTAAATTGTCCGTTAATAGTAGAATAAATACAATGCAGCAATGAAAATCAACAAACTTGAGACAATGTATGTGAAACTCAAATAACACTGAGTGAAAGATAACAAATGCAAAACAATGCACACTGTATGGTTCCATTTACATAAAATTCAAAACCTGACAAAACTAACCTATGGTATTAGTCAAAACAATGGTAGTCTTGGAGAGGATAAATGTAGTTTTCAAGAAATGAAAGTTCTGGTAATGTTTTATTTCTGTATTTGAGGGGTACATAAATGTTTACGTTACCTTTGTGTAAATTCATAGAGCTGGATATTCATGATTTTACTCTTTACTACCTGTCTGTATAAAACTGTATATCAGTAACAACAAAACAGCTGCTTTGATAACTTATTCCTATATCCCTAACCAGAGTTAGCAATTGATCCACAATCTTTGTCTACCTCTCATCTGTATTATATTTATATGCCACCAAAATCTTATAGATATAAAAAAATCTTTATGGCTCCACTTTGTTCTGAGAGAGAATGACGAGCTGTGCGGGGTGAATGAAGCCAGTTCAGGATGCTGTAGTGTCCAGAGATGTGAGGGAAGTTTTTAATTTTCCTTTATTTGGAATTCCCAGCAGGGACCCCCCTACTCTTCATTTCTGTAGCTCTCGTGCCAACAACATAGACAAATCTCAATTGGCATTTGTTTAGATAAATCGGTGGCAGTTTGTGTATGCATGTATTTTATATCATTTTTTAACTTTTAAAAGTGTAAAATATGAAAAAATTGCATGCAACGTATATACCTGTAACCACCAGCAAAGTCAAGAAATAGAGCATTACCAGATTACAGAAGACCCTGTCTGCTCTGTGTTTCCTCCTTTATCTGTGTATGTTTCCACATATATATGTACATATATATATATATATATATATCTGCATCAATACAGTATTTTAATTTATAATTCATATTTCAATTTTTAAATTGACTTAATAATGTTTCTTATAATAAAGGACAGTATAATATAAAGTTCATATCATTTACTCCTTCAGCCCAGGATCCAATCTAGGATTAGAGATTACATTTAGTTCTCATGTCTCTTTAGCCTCTTTTAATCTGAAACATATCCACAGTTTTTCTTTGTCTTTTGACATTGATGTTTTTGAAGACTTTAGTTGTTCTTTCTGCTTTTAAAAGTAAAATTTCTCGCCTGTGTTTGTCTTCTGTTTCTTCTAATCATGGTTGGAATGGGATTATGTAGGTTTGGCTAGAGCACTGCACATATGACACCGTGTTCTTCTCAGGGTGTCACATCTGGAGACACATTATGTCCATATGTCCCTCAGTCGCCGTGTTAATTTTGATCACCCAGCCTATAGTTGCCCACTTCTCCACTGTATATTACTGTTTATTTTTCTGCTTTGCAACTAATAAGCAGTCTGTATGAAGATACAGAAATACACTATTTCTTCTCAATTTTCTTCTTGAATTAGTGTCCGTTGAGGATTTTTTTGTCTGATTCAATCTTTACCATAATGGCGGCAAAATGATGATTTTCCAACTCCAGCACTAGCGTATCAATTGAAAAGTGTAAAATACAAACAATTTTCTAGGAAGGCTGTGAGTCATTCATTTATTTATTCACTCAATTCATGAAAACAGAATTACTTAGCATTGATTGATTGATCTGATAACTAGAGCAGTTTAAGGTCCAAAGGGACCTTTTTTAGATAAAAAAGCAGTTCTGGTTTTGAAATATTCACAATCTGTCAAAAAGATATTGAAATACCAGTTGGCCCTCATTATTCTACTACAAAAGTTATTTACTTATTTAATATCTAACTATCTAAATAACCCCTTATTTATCTAATTACTATCCACGTGGGCTCATGGATTCCTTTTTGTTTCAATTGTTCATAATGTATTTCTGAGCTTAAGTTTCTTTGGTGCTGAAATTGTCTCTGGTTTGGCTAGTGAGAGCCCCTTCAAACTGGCTCCTGTTTCCTTGTTATATGCTCCCTCTTCCCATTTTCTGAGCACTTCCTTGGTTTCTGTTGTAACAAATCCAACCATTTATTTAAAGTCTAATATGTCATTTTTTTCTACGGCAACCTCCAACACTAACTTTGCCCCAAAGATGGTTTTATTTTTCTGTACATTTGCGTACAAATTATACTCAATTCTCTAATTCTTTCTTATACTTGAAATTGATTTCTAGTTGTTTTATATATTTTGTTTATCTCTTCAATAATTTGTATTGCAAAACCAAGGCCTGATTTTTATAATTTATTTATTTATTTATTTTAGTGTATATATAGTTTTTTCGTTATACTTTAAGTTCTAGGGTACATGTGCACAATGTGCAGGTTTGTTACATATGTATACATGTACCATGTTGGTGTGCTGCACCCATTAGAGTTTTATAATTTAAAAATCAGATTGCCCTTGGGACCTTGAACTGTAAAATAATGCTATTTTTATGAATAAATGGATGGATGAATGAAGCAAATTGTCTCCCTAGAAAATATTTTTAATTTACATTTTTCAATTTATATGTTTATTGGAAACTTACCTAAATGTTGGAGGATAATTAAACTAGGAAGAGAAAGCAGAGGAAATTGGGTGTCCCCATGCTAATAATATAGAAAAAAAAAAAAAAAACAAAAGGTCAATGACCTCCTAAATTACATTCAGTGAACTCAGTTACCCAACTGGCTGGCTGATACTCTTTTTGTTCATAACTTAAGGCTGTTTTATTGTGTTATATTTTAACAGGAGTTGGTGTCCATTTTTTGAGATGATGTAGTTGGTATTTATATTGGTAAGAGTTATCTTTGTTGTTAGCAAAATTCATGTCTTGGGTAGATTAAATGATTTAAAAAGTTACTGATTGTCTTGTTATAGGATTTTGTGATAAGGACCCAATTTATTGTCAGGAGATGAATTGTAGGGGCCTACATTCCTTGATGTTGTTGAGCTGATCCTGTTGTGTCTGCTTCTGTGGGTTGGTCGCTGAACCTACAGAGATGAGATGAGTGATGCCTGTGAGTGTGATTTCTTTGCTTCTTGCTCCACTTCGATAGGATGAATAGATTTATTCCAGTCATAAATTCAGCAAAACCTCCTAATCTGAGCTAGTATAGTGAGATCTAGTGAATACCAGAGAATATTTATGTAATATAATAAATTTTCCTCCTTCCTTCCTTCCTTCCTTCCTTCCTTCCTTCCTTCCTTCTTCTCTTTCTTTCTCTCTCTCTCTCCTTTTCTTTTTTCTTTTCTTTTCTTTTTTCTCGCTTTTGCTGTGTTGTCCAGGCTGGAGTATAGTGACATAATCATGGCTCACTTCTGCTTTAACCCCTCTGGCTCAAGCAATCCTCCTGCCTCAGCCTTCAGAATGGCTGGTACTACAGGTGTGCACCACACACCAGCTAATTTATTTATATTTTTTGTAGGGAGGGATCTCCCTATATTGCCTAGGCTGGTTTTGAACTCCTGGGCTCAAGCAATTTTCCCTCCTCGGCCTCCTGAAGTGCAGGGATTACAGGCATGGGCCTCCATGTTGGCCTTTAAGAGTAATATTGTAACTGCTTTTCAGGATATGTTTGTTGTGTTAAAAGCCCTTGGAGACTTGATTATCTAAAATAATTAGCCTATTAACCATTTGTTTTTAATTAGATGAGTTTTTTCAGACTCAGGTAAGGCTTGGGCTGTATGGAAATCATGGAGTCAGACCTGCTCACCTTACAGATGAGGAGATTCAGATGCAGAGAAGTCCATGAGAGCTAGCTAGTGGCAGAGTTAGTAAAAGAATCAACTCTTTGACTCTTCGTTGAATGTTCGGCACATTACACCTGAGAACATAGCTAATGGTTCGGCTTATTAAAATCACTCATCTCACCATTTGCTTAGTAAACCTTTATAATTGAGGAAGCATGGAAACTTCAGCCCACTGTGAGAATTACCCTTAATTCCAAATATCTGAAGTCTAATTTGTGTGTTTTTACTGTAGTTATTACTAAGCCATCAGAAGTTTCAGGCAGTCTTGCTGGGTACTAAATGAATTAACTAGATATAGATCCTGCACTATAGAAATGTCTGCATTCCATAAAAGGCATTCAGATTAATTCATAATCTGTTTAGCCGTATTGCTACATCACAATAAACATTGCTATTAGCAGCAGCAGCATCTCTGTGCTGAATGTCATGCCATGTTATCGTAATTACTGCTTCTGTGCTCAGCTATCCCACAGCAATTTCATTCATTCAACAAATATTTGAGATTTGTGCCAGACCCTGTGCTTACATCTGGGGATACAAGATAACTTGGAAGAATTAATTACACCCCTTTCTGAGCTTGGTAGACAATTGAAAATGAAAACCATTAAAGTGAGAAGTTATTATAGAGGAAGAATATGAAACCATGAGAACATATGAGAGGAGAACCTAACGGTTCTGGAAAGTGATGCTTAAGTTGAGACCTGAAAGATAACTAGGAGTTATCCAGATGAAGAGACAGGGAAAAACCACTCTAGGCACAGAGAACAGTGTGGGAAAATTGGAAGAAGAGAGCCAAGAAAGAACAGTAATGGCTGGAACATGGTCAGGAGAGATAAGGGAGATGACACTGAAGAACTGGCAGAGGGCCTCAATCCCAGATTCCAGAGGGCCTTGAAGGCCACATGAAGAAGTTCTGACTTCATCCTAAGTCTCTGCTAGACTGTAAACTCTTAAGGGAAAGGCTATTATTTTCCATCTTTGTGTACTGAGTGTCCAACAGCATGCCAGACACAGACCAAGTGTGTAGTGAATCATTGAAAGCAGAATGAGTGATACAGTTAATCATAAATCATTATCACCACCCTTCCTGGTTCCAGTCTCTGAAAGAAGGCAGGCTTACTTTACACACGTTGTTATATTAGATTTAAGTGATTTCTGTAGAGTAGGCCAGATAAATTTCTGAGATGTTCTAGAACTCTGTTCTTAGGATATCGTCTTCTTCAGTATATCCCTGAGGGAAAAGTACAAGAAGTTAAAGTTAACTCACAGGTCGTTGGGAACATATCTGCCACCTATGAGTGTATGAAGTCTTTGTTGTTTGATCCTCATAACAGTTAAATTTTAGTTCTAGCAAATAAACAGTCAGAAGTGCTTCTTGTGTAAAGCATTTGTTGGCAACAGCCCTGCAACCCTTAGGTCATTCTTTACAGGGAAATTGTGACATTCTGAAGACCATGGTTGTAGGGGACCCCATTGTTACAGCCCATTCTGACGCTTGCTAAGCAGTGTTCAAGGTGGCAAAATTCAGGCATAATGGTTTGGGGTCAGCCCGAAATCATTTGTTTTTTTTTTTTTTTTTTTTTTTTGTAGGTCCGTTGGGGTTCAAGATGAAATTACCATGCTATTTGGAGACTTTGTAAATTCTTCCTTTTGTTCTGTTTTTAATCAGGGTAAAAATCTACAATTTCAGAAAACAGTTTTTTTGACAGTGATGAGTGCAATTGTGGTTGGTTTTGATAATTATATTTTATTATTAAATGAAGTATTTTACTGATTTCTGACCCTTCTCTTTAGGATAGGTGGTAGCAGACCTCCATTCAGTATTTATTGCCATGGAAACCAAATCTAGGCTAACTCATCTGCTTCAAAATGTTTATTGGTGTGTGGGTTTCTTGGTGAGGCATTTTGCCAGTTACTGCAATCCCTTATGATCTCTTTCCATTAACACTTGTGTGTGTGTATGTTTTGTGTGCCTCTTCACTTGAATTAGTTGGTACTTTGATCTGAATCTATTTCTGAAAGTACTAAATGGATTAGTTCCAAGCAGGTCAGGCCCCTGTGGTCATGTTGCCTGCTGGAATTTGTGTGTATGTATAGCTACTGAAGAAATAATATGGGTGGAAACTGCTATTATTTCCTCCTGAGGTATAAAATTTCAGATTTGGGCATCTTTCCCTAGAAAGCCTGCTCTGTTTCTCCTATTGTTTATCCTGGCTCTGTGTACTTGTATGCACAAGTGCATGTGTATGTACATGCAGGGAAGTGTCTATAGATATTGGACTCTTTGTGTCCACTGATAATTCATGTGACTCAAGTTATATGAGTAATAAGTTCTTTGGTGAAGTGAACATTACAGTTCTTCTTATGTCTTCTTGATTTAACAGAAGAAATGCATTATGAATTCATTTACATTCCATAAGATACTAAGATGCAAATCATGCTTACAGTGTCCCAGCATTACTAAATTAGATGTTCCTATGAGCAAGTGAGAACTTATACTTCCAATGAAACTAGATATTATTGGAAAACACACAAAAAAACAAAGTGAGAAGCCATACTGCCTATAAATTTGTAGAAGCAACATCTAATATAATGTGGTGTAGAGGATTTCCAGCATTCTCCATATCAAACCTAATGTGTCCATCTAGCCCTGTGATCTGACTGGGGTGCTGCACATGGAGCCTGTTGCCAGTGACTCAATGTAGACTGACTACAGGATGATGGTTATTTCTACTGCAAGATGATGGCAACCAGGTATCATATGAGGTGTGCTGCAATGACAGGTGCCTCATAAATATAGTAGGAAGAAAATAGTGAAAGAATCTGATTCTGAACTTTGTTTTCTTCTTTGTTAGCAGTTTGTCCTTCTGAAAGAAGAGGGTGGATGTGACTTTCTAGAATCTTCCCTTTGTGAAGGTTAATTTTATATGTTAACTTGATTGGGCCATGGGATGCCCAGATACTTGGTTAAACATTGTTTCTGGGTGTGTCTGTAGGGGTGTTTATGGAAGAGATTAGCATTTAAATCTATAGACTGAGTCAAGCAGATTGCCCTCCCCAATGTGGGTGGGCATTATCCAATCCATTGAGGGCCTGAATAGAACAAAAAGGCAGAGGAAGGGAGAATTTGTTCTCTTTCTGCCTGATCACATAAGCTGGGATATTGGTCTTCTCTTGCCCTTGGCCTGGGACTTAGACCATTGACTTTTCTGGTTCTCAGGCCATCAGACTCAGAATGGGACTTAACGTCATTGATTTTTCCTGTATCTCTACCTTGCTGACTGAAGATTGTGGGACTTCTTGGTTTCCATAGTTACATGAACCAATTCCTTATACTCTCTCTCTCTCCTTCTATTTTTCCCTCTCTCCCTCTCTCCATGTATCTACACCTATCTCCATCCTATTGGTTCTGTTTCTCTGGAAAATCCTCACAAATACATATTTCAATCTCTTTTACTGCCTTCTTTCTCTGCTCTGGCCTATTTCTAGAGGGCCCTATCCAAGTCCTAAGTCAGAAAGTTAGCATTTCTTTCTCTTTAATTTTTCTTTCAGTAATAGGATCCATTCCCAAGGTTTCATCTCCCATCCCTCTCTAGCCTCCTTTTCTCTCCTAAGCTCTATCACCTCACTTTCAGCTTCTTGATGGATGTGGCCCCTAGATATTTCTTTCTTCATAAACCAGGTCTTTGTTCATAAACCAGGTCAACTCCCTGTTCCAACTCCCCAGGTTCTTTAGAGTTGAGGGAATTATCATTTTCTCAGTCAGTTGGATTTACACATTGGCCTCATTTGTGACTACTTTCCCTTTTTACTTTATCCAACCTACAGTTCATAAATTATTGATATCTTATTCCTTAATAATTCTTACATTCCATCCCCAATTATATAACCATAGTGTAGATCTTCATTATCTCTCATTCAGACTTTTGCCCTAGTTTAACAACCAAACTTCCCAATTATCAGGCTCTTTTTCACTCAGCCCATCCTGCAAGTTGCTGACAAATTATGTGTCTTGAACCTTATCTCTGATTAGGCCACCTCCTTATTCAAGAATGCTTAATGGCTTCCCACTGCTTCTTATTAATAGCCAAACATCCATAACACACCATTCTTAGATTCATTACATCTTCCAGCTTTGTTCCTCGGTACTACCCAAGGTGTTTACGCAACTAGAAAATTCTTGTATTTAAATATATTCTTGTGTCAAACTAGCAACTTCTCATTTGTTTGTTTCTGTATCTGTCTCATTGATTAGACCATAAGTACCAAGGATAGGCATTGTGTCTGCTTTTGATCATTACCATATCCTCCTACCTAATACAGTGTCTACCACATAGCATAGTAGATACATTTTAAATGAATGAATATATTATGTGATTTGCTGCCAGAGAACTTTGTGAATATACTTTTCACGCTTGAAATATCCATTACCATGACTGCTGATTGCAATACTATTTATCCTTCAATGGCTGTCCAAATATTATCCCTTCTATTAATTGTTACCTAAACTATTTCCCTTCTCATCTTATGTGTGTTTCTGTTCTCTGCTTTCCAAATTGAGTGTGTTCTTCTCCTCCTTCTGGTTGCTCTGAAGCTCCTTTATGTCATTTAACATATAATGACATCATATATTGGATATTATATGTGTGTATATATACATATACATATATATAGTATATAATATATTGGATATGAGTTTATGCTCCAACTAGCAATGGACATTTTGTACTGACTCTCTTTGGCCTCATTTTGTAAATGATTTAGACAAAGAAGTAGAAAGCATATTTATTACATTTATAGATGGCATGAAGCTAGAAGAGTAGCCAATGCTTTGATATTTAAGAATGCCTAGGGGCAGGAAAAGTGAACTGAGTCTAACAAGATGAAAATAAAGAAAAATGTGCCTTATGCACAAAGGCCTTAAAATCAGCTATAGAACTATAGTATGGGAAGCATGCATATTAGTAAAAACTTAGTCTTGGCTGATAATTGGTTAAGTATGGGCAGAGTGATGTGGCTGCCAATAAGCTGAAACACTCTTGATCTTGGATATATTGCTAGAAGTAGACTCCAGAATGAAGGAGGTAATAATTCTCCTTCACCTTAGGCTGAACTGTCCACGCTCTGAGAAACGCTGGGACATGTTCAGTGGAGAAGGACTAGCAATTCGAAGGATCTAGAAACCATTCATTCATGTCTATATAAGTAATTAGAGATATTCTGCATGTATGAGGGGGTCATGATAGCTGCCTCTCGGATGTTATACCTTGTTTATTAAAGAAACAGTAGAAATTACAGGAGGCCTTTGAAGGATCACAAAAAGAAAGAACATTCTGCTGTCCAGAAGTATCATAGGTAGAATTGATTTCCTCCAGAAAGTGAGTTTCCAGTCCCTGGAAAAGTCCAAGCCAAAGCTGAGTAATGCAGCTGAATAATTTCTAAAGTCCTTTATACCATATAGTCCCCAAATTCTGGATTTTCTTACATTTTCTTATTTGTTGTGAAATGAGGGGTAAATTGCTTCCATATTCTTTTATTCAAACATATATCAGAGATTTTAAATATCCTCAGTGCTGTATTGTTTCAGATACTGGGGATACAATGATGAAGTAATTTTGAGTGGTGGAGGAAATAAATATAAATTATTAATTATAACACAGTATGATAAGAGCTACAGTAGCACTAGTTATGAGATGCTATGGGAATATAAAAGAGGATCATACATACTTTCTTGGGTGAAATCTTCACAATGGATTGACATTTGAACAGGCCCTTCGATGAACTGGAACACCCTTGGAGCATGGAAGATTTAAAAATTCTGGACCATGTGGTAAATTATTGTCAGTAGACTTAGGTGAATATATACAAGGACAAATAAATGAATTGTCTTTTCTCATCTAGAGATTTTTTAATTAATAATTTCCTCTAATAAAAGAAATAAATGTTCATTTTAGAAAATGCAGTAAATCAAATGTATAAAGATGAAAAAAATCTGTAATTCTGCCCCTAAGGGATAACTTCCATTAATATTCTGGTGCTGCATCAGAAAGTAGGGAGGCCTGGTGGGTAAAGTCATAGCTTTAAGAGAGTGAGGCAATGAGAAACAAGCAGAAATCTTCAGAGTAAGGAGTGGTCAGACAATTGAAGAAGTAGGGGTTAAACAGCCCAGAGGGAGAGAACAGAAAGTGCAAACACATGAAGCAGGAAAACTTGTTGTTTAAGGCGTAGGCAGGACATGAGTGTGGTGGGAATGTATGAGCCAAGGGAGAATTGTAAGGAGTTAGCCTGGGGAGTAGGCAGGAGACCAAACATGCAGAGGCCTGCGGGCCCTATGCATCATATTTGCATTTCATTCCTAGTGTGTTGGGAAGCCACTGAAGGGTTTTAAGGCAGGAGCAGCATGATCTGGTTTGTGCTTCTGAAGGACTACTGTGGCTGCTGTGTGCAGAATGGACTGTGATGGTGTGTGGGGGCCGAGAGGAAGCAGTGACTGCTGACAAGGGCTATTACAGTAGTCCCTGCCAGAGCTGATGATAGATTGGACCAGAATAGTGGAGGATGGAGAAACAGTTTGGACTTTAATTTTTTTAAGAGGCAGGATTAATAAGGACTTTGTAATTCCATACAGTGTGTGGTGAAAAAGTGACATAAAGTATATGTGACTATTTTATATCAGAAAACATTGTATCTGTTGATTATTTTTATATTTAGTGTAGTTACCATAAAGTAAAATCCATGGAGTTCTCATTACAGAATGTGGATTCAGTCATTCTTAACAGTTTGTTGTCTTAATATTTTTTCAGACAATCTTTCCAGATATTGTTATAAGCATATACTTGGCCCAGATGGGCTCTATCTGACATTTGAAATCAATATTCTTTTGCTTTGGCTGGGCAAAATAGGTAACCTGTACCTTCCTCTGTAAAAGCTTATTTTAAAAATATTTTAATTCCTATTAAATAAGTAATTATTTCTTTTATTATAGAAAACTTAAAAAATAATGGTGGGCAGAAAGAATATTAAAAAGATAACTGGCAATCCTATTTTCTAGATGTATACCTGTTAAAATTTTGTGGTAGAGTCTTTCAGACAAAGACAGATTTATATGGAACTAATGAAGCTTGTCTATAGGTCCCTTTCCAGGCCCTGATTGGGACTTATGTAATTTTGTATTCATCATTTTGTATTTTTTCCTAAAATGGCTTCTCTTCTTATTTTTTAAACTTTAGATTGTACAAAACCTGGATCCACCCTTATTTTTAGGTTCTTTATTTGCAGGGAAATTTCATTTTGTGACAAATAGAATCATACATCTCAAAATATTACCAGTGTCTTTCCATGCTGTTGAATAGTCTATAATATGATTTTTATGGGATAGTATCTTTTGTCATATGCCTGCACCATAATGTATTTAATTAAGTGACCATTGTTGAGACATTCAGGCTAGAAAAATATTTTTTTCTATTGGAGTTTGATATTCATTAAATTCATGCTGTGGCTCTCTTCCTACAAAGTACAAATTACCCAGCATGCTCTGGTCAAGAGTTTTGGAGTATTCTTTTCTACATGATAATTTCTAGGAGTAGAAGTAAAATACTGGGTGAATAATTTGTTTCCTCAATATTGTCTCTTCCTGTAGAACTGTGGTTTGGGTGGAGTTTGAGTTGACTCATTTAGTCAGAATCAATTCAATTTTCTTTAATATGCTAAATAATTAAAATAATTCTATCTGGTATGTTTATTTAAAACTTTTTCAATTAATATTATCCTTATTAGAATTTTTAAATCAGTTTAAAATGTGATCCCTGGCTACTTCAGAAAGATAAAAATGCACTGAGCTTTTGCACACAGTATTTTGAAAATGCTTATTAGGTATTAACTTGGAACAGCATGAAATCTTTATGAAGAAGCTAATAGTCTAATGAAAAAAAAAACTCTATGGAGATAATTTGGGGAACCTAGAAAACAAAAGAAATGTGATTTTATCCCTAAGAGTGGACAATTATGCCCTGAATTTTTAACTAACAATGGAAATGCATTAGAAGGGTGAAGGAATTTGGTTTTCAGATAATAATGCAAACATGATCGGACATTATTGCCTGAAATAACTTAATACTAATAAATGTTAAGATAACAGTTTATGTGTGAATGTTAAAAATTATTGCTCACCATAGGGTTTTAGGTATTTTCTGGTTTGGGAGCTGTCTCTATGGTGCATCCTACTGTATTTTTACCATTGGTGTTGATGGTTATGTGTGTAGAGCAGGTGACTTCCAATCCATATGGTAGAATGAACTGATGTAGGAAGTGAGGATAGCACATTCCCAACTTGCGGAGTTGTTACAACGTAACAAAGTCAGAAATCCCACAGTCCGGGTCAAAAGCGAAAAAACAAAAAAAAAAAAAAAAAAAAGAAATTTTGAGGAGTTAGAAATAAAGAGGAAACAAAGTCAGAGTGTCAGAGTGGGTTAAATCTGAAAAGCCCACAGAGCTATTGAAATTTGCCACAGGCCTAAGCAGAGAGCAAAATAATGAATGAATTCCCATTCACAATTGTTACAAAGAGAATCAAATACCTAGGAATACAACTGACAAGGGATGTGAAGGACCTCTTCAAGGAGAACTACAAACCACTGCTCAAGGAAATCAGAGAGGACAAAAGCAAATGGAAAAACATTCTGTGCTCATAGAGAGGAAGAATCAATATTTTCAACATGGCCATCCTGCCCAAAGTAATTTATAGGTTCAGTGCTATTCCCACTAAACTACCATTAAAACACTCTTCACTGAATTAGGAAAAACTGTTTTAAAATTCATAGGAAACCAAAACAGAGCCCAAATAGCCAAGATGACGCTAAGCAAAAAGAACAAAGCTGGAGGCATCACACTAACTGACTTCAGACCATACTACAAGGATACAGAAACCAAAAAAGCATGATACTGGTACAAAAACAGACACATAGACCAAGGAACAGAATAGAGAACTCAGAAATAACACCACACACCTACAACCATCTGATCTTTGACAAACCTGAGAAAAACAAGCAACAGGGAACAAATTCCCTGTTTGACAAATGGTGCTGGGAAAACTGGCTAGCTATAGGCAGAAAATGGAAACTGGACCCCTTCCTTACACCTTATACAAAAATTAACTCAAGTTGGATTAAAGATTTAAATATAAAATCCCAAACTATAAAACCCCAGAAGAAAATCTAGGCAATATTATTCAAGATATAGGCATGGGCAAAGATTTCATGACAAAAATGCCAAAAGAAATTGCAACAAAAGCAAAAATTGACAAATGGGCTCTGAATAAAGAGCTTCTGCACAGCAAAACAATCATCAGTGTGAACAGACAACCTACAAAATGAGAGAAAAATTTTGCAATCTATCCATCTGACAAAGATCTAATATCCAGAGTCTAGAAGGAACTTAAACAAATTTACAAGAAGAAAACAAACAACTCTATTAAAAAGTAGAAAAAGGACATGAACAGACTTCTCAAAAGAAGATATTCCTGTGGCCAACAAACATGGAAAAAATCTCAACATCGCTGATGATTAGAGAAATACAAATGAAAACCACAATGAGATACCATCTTATACCAGTCAGAATGGCAATTATTAAACAGTCAAGAAACAAAAGATGCTGGTGAGGTTATGAGGAAAAAGAAACGCTTTTACAGTGTTGGAAGGAGGGAAATTAGTTCAACCATTGTGGAAGACGGTGTGGTGATTCCTCAAAGATCTAGAAGCAGAAACGCCATTTGACCCAGCAATCCCATTACGGAGTATATACCCAAAGGAATATAAATCATTCTACTATAAAGATACATACATGCATATGTTCATTGCAGCACTATTCACAATAGCAAAGACATGGAATCCACCCAAATGCCCATCAGTGATAGACTGGATAAAGAAAATGTGGTACATACACAACATGGAATGCTCTTCAGCCATAAAAAAGAACAAGATCATCTCCTTTGCAGGGACATAGATGGAGCTTGAAGTCATTATCCTCTGCAAACTAACACAGGAACAGAAAACCAAACATTGAATGTTCTCACTTGTAAGCAGGAGCTGAATGATGAGAACACATGGACACATGGAGGGGAACACACACTGGGGCCTGTCTGAGGGGGGCCGGGGGAGGGAGAGCATCAGGAAGAATAGCTAATGGATGCTGGGCTTAATACCTAGGTGATGGGATGATCTGTGCAGCAAACCACCATGGCGCACGTTTACCTATGTAACAAACATGCACATCCTGCACATGTAACCCAGAACTTAAAAGTTGAAGAAAAAAAAAAAAAGAAGAAACTTGCTATAGGCCTAAGAGGCTAGAATTTTACAAACAATGGGAGGGGTTGGTTGGAAGTCAAGGCCAAGGGTTCTGTGTGTCTGAAAGTGAGCCTCCTGCCTAAGCCAGAAGTTGGGAAAGGCTGTATTGCCTTTTAAACAGGTTCTAGAATTCTTTCCTTTGACCAAAAGACACAGCAGTCACAATGGGCATCCCGGGTAGAAAAAATCGTCTGTGAGAAATTGGAACCCTGTGGCTCCTCTGGAGTTACAAACCAAGAAATATTTTTCAGCAAATATTCACTTGTTGAGTAATTATGTTGCTGAGAATGGCTATTTACTATTTTTAGTTCCTTCACAAATACTAACCCACTTAATCCTGATAATGACTTTCTTAGAAAAATTGGTTTAGTGAAAAGAAACAAGAAACTGTCCCATGGGGTCTCCTCTCAGCCTACTTTCCATGGAATTCCCACAGGAAATAACTCTTGCTGAAGATGACCTGAGCTAAAAATTACAAAGCACATGTGAAAATAATGATAGAAAATCAGTAGACTCAGTAAATTGGGAAAACTCAAATTCGTTAAAGATAATAGACTGCTATGTGGAAATGATCCTACTTTCTAGGTGCTGATACTGAAGTTTCGATAGTTTAAGTGACCAACATCACACAGGCACTAAATGGAGAGCCAGGGTTAAAATCCAAACACCAGAGGCCACACTCTTGATCACTAGCCTTATTGTTTTTCCTATAAAATTAAATTCCTTACAAACACAATATAAGTTTGCCAAACTGAGTGTAGAGATATCTTTAAATATAGACAATGACAGACACATTTCTGTCAATAATAGTCACAGCTAAGAGTACTCGTTAGAAGAAACATAATAGTCCCCTGTCATCTGTGGTTTTTGCGTTCCATGGTATCAGTTATCTGTAGGTCAACTGCCATACAAAAATATTAAATGGAAAATTCCAGAAATGAACAATTCATAAGTTTTACATTACCCACCATTCTGAGTAGTGCAATGAAACCTCATCATCCAGCTCTGTCCAGTGGGATATGAATCACCCTTTGTACAGTGTATCCATATCGTGCATGTTACTCATCCATAAGTCACTCATATCGTCTGCTCCTGACATTCAGCCATCAACATTGCCATGGCTCCATGATCTAGGATCACTAGAAGCCGATGATCCTCCTCCTGATAAATTGTCAGAAAGTCCATCATAGCCTAACCTTACTTCACAATGCCTATGTCATTCACCTTACTTCATCTCATCACATAAGCATTTTGTCACCTCACATCATCACAAGAAGAAGGGTACAGTACAATAAGATAGCGAGGGATGACATTCACATAACTTTTATTAGAGTATATTGTTATATAATTGTTTTTTATTGTTGTTAATCTCATACTGATTCTAATTTATAAATTAAACTTTATCGTAGGTATGTATGTATAGGAAAAAACATAGGCTGGGAGCGGTGGCTCACACCTGTAATCCCAGCACTTTAGGAGGCTGAGGTGGGCAGCTCACTTGAGGTCAGGAGTTTGAGACAAGCCTGGCCAATATGGTGAAACCTTGTCTCTATTAAAAATACGAAAATTAGCCGGGTGTGGGGGTGCACGCCTGCAATCCCAGCTACTCAGGAGACTGAGGCGGGAGAATTGCTTGAACCCAGGAGGCAGAGGTTGCCGTGAGCCAAGATCACACCTCTGCACTCTAGCCTGGGCAACAGAGCGAGACTCTGTCTCAGAAAACAAACAAACAAGCAAACGAAGAAACAAGCAAAACATGGTACCTATAAGGTTCAGTATTACCTGCAGTTTTGGGGATCCACTGGAAGTCTTGAAATGTAGCCTCCACAGATAAGGGGGAGACTGTTGTATACAGCTAAGGCCAGGTAAGTTTGTTTTCTCAATGTAAGGTTCACTTCTCATTAATTTATTGCTCAAGTTTTCTCTTCTTCTAGTTTCAAACTTAGCTTGACTTACTCTTCCTAGAATAGAAGTTTCAAAAGTTGCTTGCTCTCCTCTCTTCAGATGTGGCATGCTCTTAATGAACTCTTTGAAAACTAGAAATGTATTTAAACATGTTTCAGATACATTCAAATCTAAATGTATCTGAATTTCTCACCAGAAAAAAAGCTTTGTTTTTTTCTTCTATATCTAGTAACTTACCCAAAGCTAGCTTCCATCAGTGGGTATCTGTGTTTTTCTCACAGTCTTCAGAGGAAAAATTCCAGCTGTCAATCTTCTCTCAGATCGAACTGAATCTGTGAAAGAAAATATGGTATCATGGTCTAAACTTGACTTCCCCAGATTTTCTCCAGTCAGGGTTGGCTTCCTTGGTTACTCCTGGCAGGCACAGTTTGCTCACTCATCCCACTCATGTTCCTCCTTTGATGATGCCTGTCTATGTCCGGCAAACGTTTCTCTTCAAATTTTGGTTTGTGAAATGCCCTGAACTGCATCCTTGTGTTGGTTAGGACAATTGCTAGTATGTAATGCCTAGTCACATCCCCTGCCACTTAGCTTATATTTCACTTTAGCGATATCCTTCTCCTTTTCCCCACCCTGTACTGATGCTAACTCTTTGGTTTACCTCATGTGGACCTGATAACTCTTTTCTGGTCAGGGAAATCTTTGAACCTGTAGTTCTCATTATCCTCATCTCAAGGAGAACTGCTCTCTGTTTCACTCAGGAGACATGTTTGCTCTTGATTGTCCCTGCTCCTCTCTCATCTTTAAGCTGTGCAAATGTTGCTCTGCTCCTAAACTGGAATTTTCTCCTTGTCTTTATTGTCAAACCATTTTTTTCTTCTGGAAAAACTTTATTTATGATTCACCCTAGGTTCCTCTGAAGCTCAATAGACTAGATAGGCTTTTCTCTGAACCTTACTACCTATCATCTTGGGGAGGAGAAGTAGAAAAGAAAAACATTTGAGAATGGGGGATAATCCTGAAAGACTGAGTAATTACTCAGAACATAGCTACTTGGATTGTCAAGATAAAGTTTTTTTTTTTCTTGCAATTTCTGCCCTCAGTGGAACTTGGGCTTAAGAGCAAAGGGAGAGCAGTAAAATAACACAGAGTTATTTAGGGTTTTTTTTTTAACTGTACAGATGAGGGTTAGTATATAATTTTGACTCATCTTTCATTGGTTCTTGGAAAAATTCAGTGACAACTTGTGAAGTGCCTTGCTCAGCATGTGAAACTCAAAGTTCAACAAAAGTTGATTTATTCTCATTTGTAAATTGATTAGGAAGTCCTGATACTAAAAGCCTTCTTCTGCTGATGAAAACTCAGAACATCTTGTCTGACAGCCAGGGAAAAGATTTTCTTGGAACAACCCAGGACTCAAAGAGGGGCAAAAATAGAAATGAGAAGAATGGAAATAGGCAACTTCCTTTTTGTCACCTCTTGCAGGAGCCTGAATAAATGAAATACGTGAGTGGATGTGGATGGATTGTGAGTGGCTGTTAAAGTCACTCCAGGTCACCACAGTTTGTCAGGTTTTATGGCTCATTGCACAGCTCTTCCTCACCACCACTTTGGTCTCAGTGCAGGGCTTTGGTGACACTCACTTTTCACTGCCAATTAGGAAAGGGACTTTCCCTCGATGGGTCATCCTGGTTCTATAAAATTCTCTGAAATAATCCTTTGAGTCTTGTAGGAACAGGCCTGTCACAATGTTGCCAATAGAGATACATAGCTTTTCTTCATAGGCTTTGCTCTCAAAAACACTGTTCAAAACGAAAGATAAAAGAAGATAATGCCTTCTCAGTACACTTTACTGTTCCTGGGTGTCTTGTGGGTTGCATAATTAGCATTTGAGGCTATTGGTGACTTAATCTCAATGTAGATAAGTCACAAAATAGAAGACCAAAATTAATTAGGTCAAGGGTCAGGTGGTCATTGGGGAATGAGGCTGTTAGATGAGCATTCCTTGTCACATGTTAGTGTTTCCTTCTAAGCTCTATGAAGTCTTGAGCTCTGGGGATGATGCCTGAATAAAACATTCTTCTAAATTCATGGGACTGAAAATTAAGTGGCAGCTCTTCCCAAGGGAGTGTATCTAAAATAGGCCACAGAGTTGCAATTACACTATTTCCAGTTGAGGATTTTTTTTCCATAAAGATGTGAATGTATCTGAAACATGCTTAAATATATTTCTATTTTTTGAAAGGGGTAAATGTTGGAGTTATTCTCCCTTTGATTCTGTAATTTTAGGTTTTTAGCAGTCTAGTGATTATATAATTCCCAATCTCAAATAAGAGCATTTGACAGGATATGTTTTTAGGGTCAAGTAGTAGCCTAAGAGATATCATTTAGGTGTCCAGTATTAGAGCTTTTCTCTTGACTTAAAAGATATATTTTGGGAATAACAGATGTAATAGTTGCAACCAGGATTTCTCCAAAATTTTGGACATTGCTGCTGTTGTCTTTCATCTCTATGAATATCAGTGTTCGAATTCACATAGCAATTTCTTGCTTCTGATGTCTACATTTGAAGATCAAATGCAATAATATTTGTAAACGTACTTTCAAATAAATAACATGGCAAGCAAACTGAAAGTTCAGAAAACTGAGTTGGTAGAAATAACTGGGGAGCTTAATAAGAAAGGGTGGCACAGATGGTGAAGGGAAGGGAACCACCATTTGTTGGTGCTAGAGGTATGCCAGGTATTTATCTCTCACAATCCCATTTCATCTTTAAACAATCCTTGCTGTCAATCCTAACTGCATAAATGTGCAAACTGGGACTCACTCAGTTTCAGAAACTGCAAACAGAACTGTTATTCCAAAGCCAATGCTTTTAGCGTAGGGTAACTGGTATAGTATAAGTGCATCAGAATGGTCAAGGCAGAACTTTCCCATTATTTGTTGGGTTAGAATTCTCCTGGTAGTGACTGGGCAAGCTTCCAGAAGCACAGTTTCTGAAAATCCTCAGTTCTATAAAATGCTTTGATATCTCAGTTCCATTGTTTTACTTTTTCTATATATTTTTTAAAATTAAAAAGTGTAAAATATTCACACATCAAAAAAGTGTATGAAAAAATAAAAGTGATAATAAAGATTACATGCCCACCTTTCTTTTAAGACACAGAATATTACCAACATTCGTTTCAGACATAGAGTTAGTTAAGACATAGAATAGTTCCAGTTTTTAAGGCCCTTGCGTTTCCTTCTGCAATCACAACGTCAGCATTTCTTCCAACAGGGATCCATTAACTTGAATTTTTAGTTACTGTTTTCTGTATGGCTTTATGTTTTCATGGATAACAATTCCTACACAATATAATTTCCAATTTTGAATATTTTTGAACATGAAGTCAATAGTACACTATGAATTCTTCTGTTCGTACTTGCTTCCGACTCACAGTATTGCTTTTAGGTTTCATCCATGTTGGTACATGTGGATGTAATTCTTCCTTTTTCACAGTTGTGTAAGATAACATTCTATGAATAAACCATTATTTATCCATTCCAACATCGATGTACAGTTGGGCTTTTTTTCTGTTTAGTCTATTATGAATAATGTTATGAACATTATTTACATGGTTCAAAGTCCATTTTTATATAGGAGCAGAAAACTGTAAAAGTAGAGTTTTATAGATTATGTAAATGTTAAAGTTTACTGAAAATTTCTAATTTATCCAAGTGGTTATTTCAGTATACATGCCTATAAGAATATAAGAATTCCTTTCTCCACATTCCCATCAGGTATGTATCAGACTGACTTGTCAATATCGTTATAGTTTAAATTTATATTCTGATTGCTAATGAGATAGAAAACCTTTTCATGTATATATTTTTTCATTCATATTTGTTTTGTTAAGTTCCTTGTATCTTTTGCCCATTCTTTTATTGCGTTTCCTTATTATTGAGAGTGTTGTTTTCAGAAGCCTATTTTTTGTTTTGTTTTTAATTGACATATAATTGTATGTGTTTATGGAGTACAGGGTGATGTTGTGATACATGTATACATCGTGTAATGAATAAATCAGTTAATTGGCATGTTCGTCATCTGGAACATTTTTTTTGGAATGAGAACATTCAAAACTTGTAACTATTTTGACATAAACAATACATTATCGTTAACTATATCACCCTGTGCAATATCACACCAGAACTAATTTCTTCAATCCAACTCTAACAGTACCCATTGACAAACCTCTTCCTTTCTCTCCTCCTCCCTGGCCTCTGATAGCCACTACTCTACCCTCTACTTTAATGAGATGAACTTTTTCAGATTCTACAAATCAGTGATGTTATGTGGTATTTGTCCTTATGTGCTTGGCTTATTTCGTTAAACGTAATGTATACCAGGTTCAACTATGTTGTCTCAAATAACAGAATTTTATTCTTTTTATCGTTGAATAGTATTCCATGGTGGATACATATTACATTTTAAAATTTCTTCTGTTGATGAAGTTTTCATATCTTCAGGTTGATTTCATATCTTGACTATTGGGAGCAATGTTGCAATTAAACATGGAAGTTTACTGCATGGAAGTTTATTCTTCAACATACTGATTTCATTTCCTTTGAATATATACTTAGCAGCAAGATTCCTGGATCATATGGAAGTTCTATTTTTAATTTGAGAAGGAACCTCCATACTGTTTATAATAATGGCTGTACTAATTACATCTGTACCAACACTATATAAGAGTTCCTCTTTCTCCACATCTGTACCAGCATTTATTATTTTAAATCTTCTTTTCATTTGTACAAATTAATGGGGTACACATGCAATTTTGTTATATGTATTGATTGTAGGGGCCAAGTCAGGGCTTTTAGGGTATTCATCACCTGAATAACATACATTGTACCCATTAACCAGTATCTTCTTGATAATAGCCATTCTAACTGGGGTGAGGTGATATCTCCCTGTGGTTCTTATTTGCATTTTTTTCTTTTTTTTTTTTTTTTTCGAGTTGGAGTCTCACTCTGTCACCCAGACTGGAGTGCAGTGGCACGATCTTGGCTCATTGCAGCCTCCGCCTCCCGGGATCAAGTGATTCCCTTGCTTCAGCTTCCTGAGTAGCTGGGATTATAGGCACCTGCCACCATACCCAGCTAATTTTGTATTTTTTTTTTTAGTAGAGATGGGATTTCACCATGTTGGTCAGCCTGGTCTTGAACTCCTGACCTCAGGTGATCCACCTGCCTTGGCCTCCCAAAATGCTGGGATTACAGGCATAAGCCACTGTGCCTGGCCTGCATTTTTCTATTAATTAGATATGTTCAACATTTTTCTCATACACCTGTGGTCATTTGTATGTCTTCTTTTGATAAATGTCTATGCAGTTCTTTTGCTCATGTTTTAAATCGGGTTGTTATTGAGTTGTTTGAGTTCTCTATATATTGTGGATATTAACCCCTTGTTAGGTGCATAGTTTGCAAATATTTCCTCCCATGCTGTAGGTGGTTTCTTTGCTCTGATGATTGTTGCCTTGCTGTGCGGAAGCTTTTGAGTTTGATGTCATCCTATTTTTCTATTTTTGGTTTTGTTGCTGCGCTTTTAAGGTATTATCCAAAAAATTCTTGACTAGACCAATGTTGTGAAGAATTTCCTGTATGTTTTCTTCTAGTAGTTTAGTAGTTTTACCTCTTACATTTAAGTCTTTAATCCATCTTGACTTGGTTTTTGTTTATGGTGAGAGATAGGAGTCTAGTTTCATTACTGTGTATGTGATTATACAGTTTTCCCAGCACCATTTATTGAAAAGACTATCCTTTTCCTAATGTGTTTTCTTGGTGCCTTTGTCAAAAATCAGTTGACTGTAGATGTGTGGATTTATTTCTGGGTTTTCTATTATGTTCCATTGGTTTATGTGTCTGTTTTTATCACAGTACCATGCCATTTTAGTTACTATACCTTTATAGTATATTTTGAAGTCAGGTAGTGTGATGCCTCCTGCTGTGTTCTTTTTGCTCAGTATTGCATTGGCTATTCATGTTCTTTTGTGGTTTTGTACAAATTTTAGTTTCTATTTCTGTGAAGAATAGCGTTGGTATTTTGATAGGGATTGTATTGAATCTGTAGATTTCTTTGGGTAGTATCGATATTTTAACAATATTAATTCTCCCAATCCATGAACTTGGAATATCCTGGACACTAATCTTTCATTGGTCATACGTGTACAAATATCTTCCCCCAATCTAAGGTTTGCTTTATACTCTCTTTAATATATCATTTGATCAATAAAAGTTTATGATTTTAATGTAGACAAACTTAATCATTTTATTTTTGTATGATACATTTTTGTGTCTTGTTGAAGAAATCTTTATGGATACAAAGTCTAAAAAATTGTATGTTTTTTCCTAAAAGTTTTACTTTAAGTCTTTAATTCATATTGAATTTACTTAATTTTTGTCTATTATAAATAACTAATCTGGATTTATTATTTTCATATGAATATTTCATTTTCCAACCAATTCTTAAACAGTCTGTTCTTGGCCCACTGACCTGCAATACAGCCTCTCTCATGTACCAAGTTTGTGTATTCAGTCAACATTCAAGGTATATTTATTGAGTGCCTGATATATGCCAGACATTGTTCTAGATGCAGAAACCTATATACGTGTAGGTTATAGGTTTTCTGTTTTATTCATCAACTTTTCTATCCCTTTCTTAATATCAACTGTCTTAGTTACTGTAGTTTGGTCTCCCCCTCCCCAACTCCTGCCACAATTAAATGATAATTCGACTGGGTATGGGATTCTAGATTGTAAATAAGTGTTTTTTTTTTTGCAGACTTTTGAAGCCATCATTCTATTGCTTTTTAGTGTCTCGTATGGCTGTTGACAATGGTAAAGGCATTTGATCTTTGATCCTGTGTGTGAACAATATATTCTCCACTTATAGAAGGCTTTAGGATCATCTTTTTGTTTTCAGTTTTCTGATATGTCATGATAATATGTCTTGATTTGGGTTAATTTTTAACTCATATTTTTGAACATTTAAGGGGCACTTTTGATGGGGGTATCATGTTCACTATTTTTAGAATTTTTTTCTTGTATTCTTCTGTGATTCTTTTTTTGAAGCACCTGTTAATAAGATGTAAGGCCTGGCCAGGCGCGGTGGCTCAAGCCTGTAATCCCAGCACTTCAGGAGGCCGAGGCGGGCAGATCACAAGGTCAGGAGATCGAGACCATTCTGGCTAACACGGTGAAACCCCATCTCTCCCCTACTAAAAATACAAAAAATTAGCCGGGCGTGGTGGCGGGCGCCTGTAGTCCCAGCTACTCGGGAGGCTGAGGCAGGAGAACGGCGTGAACCTGGGAGGCAGAGCTTGCAATGAGCTGAGATCGTGCCACTGCACTCCAGCCTGGGCGACAGAGTGAGACTCTGTCTCAAAAAAAAAAAAAAAAAAAAAAAAGATGTAAGACCTGCTGGACTTGTCCTCTAATTTTCTTATACCATTTCTCTTATCTTCAATTTCTTTTTATGGTCCAGCTGCTGGAAGATTTGCTAAAACTTTATCTTTCAACTTCTCTATTAAGTTTTTAATTTATGTGATTATAATTTTAATAGCCAATGCTGTTTTCCTGTTATTGATGTTTTTCTTTTTTATTGTATCCTATTCTTATTTCATGGATGCCACATTTTCTCATTGTTGTGAGCAGTTCATGATAGCATTATTTTTTAAAAACATTTCTTTTCACAACACAATCTCTGTTTTATTTAAATTATATATTTTCTCTGTGTTTGCTTTGGCCTCTGAAGGTGACCAGAAACTCTGACTGTGTGTGTGTGTGTGTGTGTGTGTGTGTGTGTGTGTGTGTGTATGTGTTGTGTGTGTGTGTGCAGCAGTGTTGTTAACAATTAGTTTAATTGAAAGAGTGGGATTTTACTGTCATTACAGGGAACTTATTAATTGATTTGGAGAGAAACGACATATTTGCAATTTTAAGTTTTTCAGATTAATAAATAAGATTTATTTCTTATTTTATTTTTCTTTTAAGATATAACTCAATATTAGGTTTCAGAATTTTCCTTAAAGAGATATTTCACATTCTTTAAAAATGTATTTCTATATAACAGATATTTTTTATCCTCATAATTAGTATATTAAAATTTTTATTTTCTAAATTTTTGTTGCTGGAACATAGAAATAGAATTGATTTTGTATATTGACTTCGCATTCAGCAAACTTGCTAAGCTGTCTTACTTTAATAGCTTATTTATGGATTTATTTAGGTTTTCTACATACACGATCATATCTTTTGAAATGTTATCTTTCTTCCTTTCTAATCCTTATTTCTTTTATTTCTTTTTTATTACCATGTTGCTGAGAACTCCCTGTGCAATATTGAATAGAACATTCTTGTCTAGTTTCTAATCTCAAAGGAAAGTTCTCAAGGTTTTACCTTTTATGATGCCTGTTGCACATTTGTTGCACATAAACATTATTAGATTGGAGACTTTTTTCATATTTGCTAAGAATTTCTATAAGAAATGAATACTTTTTTTGGAAGTTTTTTTTTTCTCTTTGCATTTACTGAGATGAGCATCTAATTTATTCCTTTTATTTGCTAATATGGTGACTTGAGTTGATTAATTTCTAAGATTCCTTTGGTAAATCCAACTTAATCATGATATGTTATCACATATGTATCTTTTGGGATTTAGTTTCTTAATATTTCATTTAGGATTTTTACCAAGATGCACGAACAAATTCTCAAGCATTCTCTTATCCTTCTTTCGTCCTTTTATTCATTCTTTTCCTCTATTTCCTTCTTCCCTTTCTTCCATTCTCCTTCTCTTCCCCTCTTCTTCCTCACTTCTTCTTTAGTCATCTGGGGGTCTCAACTTAAATTGGGAAGGTCTCTTTTAAGATTGCTTACCTCTGGATGACCTGCCCTTGGCTCTGTCACCTTTCTTGAGCTAGGTTCCACCTGAAGCCTGGTTTTTTGGGATTGGCACATGTCCTCGGGATGAAAGCAGTTTAGGTACTCCTTGGATATTCATCTTTCCTCTCAGGGTTCCACCTTTCTTCCCATCAGGAAATAGGGCCTGGCAGTCTTCACTATCTTCTAGCAGTTCAACACTTTCCTTTTGGGGAAATATAAAAAAGCTGTACATGTTTAATGTATGCAACATGATGAATTT
Organism: Homo sapiens; assembly: GCF_000001405.40. Lineage (NCBI taxonomy): Eukaryota > Metazoa > Chordata > Mammalia > Primates > Hominidae > Homo > Homo sapiens. The sequence continues at coordinate 109,257,348 of NC_000011.10, forward strand.
GGATGGAACTATAAAGCTGTAAAACCATCACCAGAATCTATGCCATAAACCTACTCATCACCTCCAAAAGTTTCCTTTTGCTCTCTTACTTCTTATTATTGTTATTATTTTGTGATAAGAACACAACATAAAGTCTACATTTTTAGGACATTTTTAAGTATATAATACAGTATTGTTAACTAAGGCACTATGTTGTACACTAGATCTCTGGGACTTATTCACCTTGTATGACTGAAACTTGTACCCTTTGACTAATATCTCCCCATTTCCCATTTCTCCCAGACCCTGGCAATCACCGTTGTCTTATTTTGTTCTAGGAGTTTAACTATTTTAGATTCATCATATAAGTGGTATCATGTAATACTTGACCTTCTGTGTCTGACTTATTTTACTTAGCATAACAACTTTCAGGTTCATCCATGTTGTTGCTAAAGGTAGGATTTCCTTCTTTTTAACTCTAAATAATATTCTACTTTATGTATGTATAATACTTTCTTTATTGATTCATTCATCCATCAATCAACATTTAGGTTGCTTCCATAACTTGGCTGCTGTGAATAATGCTTTAGTCAACATGGGGACACAGATATCTTTTTGAGACCCTGATTTCATTTTTTTTGAAAATATACCTAGAAGTGAGTTTGCTTTGTCATTTAGTAGTTTTATTTTTAATTTTTTGAGGAACCTCCATACTGTTTTCCATAATGGCTGTACCAACCAACAATGTACAAGGGTTCCAATTTCTCCATATTCTCTCCAACACTTACCTTGTGACTTTTTGAGAATAGCCATCCTAACAGATGAGAGATTGTCAGGCCATTCTTGTATTGCTATAAAGAAATACCTAAGACTGGGTAATTTATAAAGAAAAGAGGTTTAATTGGCTCATGGCTCTGCAGGCTTTATAGGATGCATGGTGCTGGCATATGCTTGGCTTCTGGTGAAGTCTCAGGGAGTTTATATATATTTATAATATAAATATATATATTATATATAAACTATATAAATATATTACGTGTGTGTGTGTATATATATACACACACACACACACACACACACTTTTATTTATTTATTTTTTTGAGATGGAGTCTCGCTCTGTCACTCAGGCTGGAGTGCAGTGGCATGATTCCAGCTCACTACAACCTTTGCCTCATGGGTTCAAGCAATTCTCTGTCTCAGCCTCCTGGGTAGCTGGGACTACAGGCTTGTGCCATCACGCCCAGCTAATTTTTGTATTTTTGGTAGAGACGGGGGTTTCCCAAGGTTGGCCAGGCTGGTCTTGAACTCCTGACCTCAAGTGATCCGCCCACCTCAGCCTCCCAAAGTGCTGGGATTACATGTATGAGCCACCACATCCAGCCCATTGGGGATTATATTTCAACACGAGAAGTGGGCGGGGACAAATATCTGAATTATATTAGAGGGGATACCTCATTACGGTTTTGATTTGCATTTCCCTAATAGTTAGTGATTCTGAGCACTTTTTCACGTATTTGTTGGCTATTTGTATGCCTTTGAAGAAATTAGTTCCTTTGCCTATTTTTAAACTGTGCTATTTGATTATTTTTGCTCTTGAGTTGTGGGAGTTTCTTATATATTTGGGATATTAACTCTTTATCAGATAATGCTATGCAAATATTTTCTCCCATTCCATGAGTTTCTTTTTTGTTCTGTTATTTCTTTTGTTATGTAGATGATTTTTAGTTTGATGTAATCTCACCTGTCTGTTTTTGTTTTTGTTGCCTATGCTTTTGGTGTCATGTCCAAAAATTTATTACAAAACCTAATATCTAGAAGCTTTTTTCTTATGTTTTATCCTATGGTTTCAGGTGTTATGTTTAAGTCATTAATCTATTTTGAGCTGGTTTTTGTGTATGGTGTAAATTAAGGATGCAATTACATTTTTTTGCTTGTAGATATCTAGTTTTCCAAACACCATTTATTGAAGAGACGCTCTTCTCTCCATTTTTTATTTTTGGCACCCTTACTGAACATCATTTAACTGTGTATATATGCATTTATTTCTGGGCTTTCTATTATGTTCCATTGCTCTATATATCTGTTTTTATGCCAGTACCATACTATTTTGATTGCTGTAGCTTTGTAATGTATTTTAAAATCAGGTACAATGTTGATTCCAGCTTTGTTCTTACTCAAAATCACTTTGGCTTTTTGGCATCTCCTATGGTTCCATATAAATTTTAGAATTTTTGCCTATTTCTGTTAAATGTGCCATTGGGATTTTGAAAGGGATTCCACTAAGTGCATCGATTGCTTTGGGTGGTGTGGACATATTAATAATACTAATTTTTCCAAAGCATGAACATGAGATGTATTTTCATCTATTTGTGTCTGCTTTAATTTCTTCCATCAGTATTTTATAGTTTTCAGTGTACAAGTCTTTCACCTCCTTTGTTAAATTTATGCGTAAGTATTTTATTCTTTTTAGTGCTATTCTAAATGAGATTTCCTTAATTTCTTTTTTGGATAATTCATTGTTAATGTATAGAAAGAAACACTACTGATTTTTGCATGTTGATTTCGTGGGAATACCAGCCTTATTTCTAATCTTAGAGAGAAAGTTTTTGGTTTTTCATGGTTTAGTATGCTATTAGTTATGGGATTTTCATATAGGGCCTTTATTCTTTTGAAGTAAATTTATTCTATGCTTTATTGAGAATTTTAAATATAAAACAGTGTTGACTATCATCAGATATTTTTTTCTGCATCTGTTGACATGATCATGTGATTTTGTAATTCTTTATTATGTTAATGTGGAATATAACATTGATTGATTTGTGTATACTGAACCATCCTTGCAGCCCAAAGAGAAATCCCGCTTGGTCATGGTGTATGATTCCTTTAATGTGCTTTTACATTTGGTTTGCTAATTTTTTTTTGAGGATTTTTGCATCCATGTTCATTAGGAATATGATCCTTCAGGTTTTTTTTTTTTTCTCTTATTGTGCCTTTGGCTTTGGTATCAGGGTGATGATGGCCTCATAAAATGAGTTTGGAAGTATTCTTTTTATCTCAATTTTTTGGAAGAATTTGAGAAGAATTGATATCAGATTTTCTTTAAATATTTGGAAGGAGTCACCAGTGAAGCCATGGGTTTTTCTTTGTTGGAAGGTTTATATTACTGACTCAATTTTCTTATTTGTTATTGGTCTTACAAGTATTTATTTTATTTTATTTTAATTTAACTTTATTTTATTTTTGAGACGGAGTCTCGCTCTGTCATGCAGGCTGGAGTGCAGTGGTGCGATCTCAGCTCACTGCAAGCTCCACCTCCTGGGTTCACGCCATTCTCCTGCCTCAGCCTCCCGAGTAGCTGGGACTACAGGCGCCCGCCACAATGCCCGGCTAACTTTTGGTATTTTTAGTAGAGACGGGGTTTCACAGTGTTAGACAGGATGGTCTCCATCTCCTGACCTAGGGATCCGCCCACCTCGTCCTCCCAAAGTGCTGAGATTACAGGCGTGAGCCACTGTGCCTGGCCAAGCTTTTTATTTCTTTTTGTTCCAGTCTTGGAAGGTTGTATGTTTCTAGGAGTCTATCCATATCTTCCAGGTTACCCAGTGTGTCAATGTAATAGTCCGTTGTGATTAATGATTAATAATTGTTCATAATATTCCTTTATGATTTTTAAAATTTCTGTTGTATCAGTTGTAATACCTCCTTTTTCATTTCTGGTATATCTGAGGCTTCTTTCCTTTTTTCTTAGCCTAGCTAAGGATTTTGCATTTTTAAAATCTTTTCAAAGACTGACTCAGTTTCTTTTATTTTTTTTTCTGTTGTCTTTCTGTTCTCCATTTCATTGATTTCTGCTCTAATCTTTATTAATTTCTTTCTTTTGCTAACTTTGGGCATAGTTTGTTTTGCTTCTTCTAGTTTCTTGAGGTATAATGTTAGGTTGTTGGATATTTTTCTTTTTTAATAGCTATAAACTTTATCACTATAAACTTCCCTTTCAGTACTGCTTTTATGGTATCCCATAAGTTCTGGTATGTTGTGCTTTTGTTTTTAATTATTTCAGAAATTTTCTAATGTTTTTGTTTCTTTTTTAAACCCAATGATTGTTCAAGAATGTTTGTTTAATTGCCAAGTATTTGTGAATTTTTCTATTCATTTTGTTATTGATTTTTAGTTTCATTCCCTTCTAGTCAGAAAAGATACTTTCTTCTTAAATTTGCTAAGACTTCTTTTTTTGTTGTTATCTAGCATGTGATTTATTCAGGAGAATATCTGTGTGTGCTTGGGAAGAATGTGTATTCTCCTGCAGTTGAGTGGAATGCCCTGTATATGTCTGTTAGTTCCATTTTAAGTACAGTATTTTTAAGTCTGATGTTTCTTGTTAATTTTGTGTCTGGGTGTTACATGTATTATTGCAAGTGTAATATTGAGATCTATTATTTTATTGTTGTTTTTTTCCTCTCTTTAAATCTGTCAATGTTTGCTTTATTTTATTTAGATGCTTCGATGTTGGATGCATACATATTTATACTTGCAATAACTTCCCGTGGAATTGACCTTTTTATTATTAGGTGATGACATTATTTGTTTCTTGTGACAGTTTTTAACTTAAAGTCTATTTTTTTTCTAATATAAGTATCAGCATCTCTGATCTCTTTTGGTCACCATCTGCAAGAAATATTTTTTTTTGTTCCTTCACTTTCAGCTAATTGTGTGGCCCTAAATCTAAAGTGGGCCTCTTATAGATAGCATATATTTGGATCCTCTTTTAAAAATTTATGTGTCCTGTCTTTTGATTGGTGAGTTTAATTCATTTACATTTAAAATAGTTATTGACAGGTAAGGACTTACTATTGCCATTTTGTTAATTGTTTTCTGTCTGATTTGTAGTTCTTAAATTCCACTCTTTCTCTCTTGCTAGCTTCTTTGCAATTTAACTTTTTTGTAGTGATACATTTTGATTTTTTAAAATGTTTTTTGAATTGGCTATAGTTTATTTGTGGTTACCATGAAGCTTGCATACAACTTCCTATTCTTGTTAATAGTCTATTTTGAATTGATAGCAACTTCAATTGTATAGAAAAGCTGTACACTTTATTCCCCCGTCAATACTTTGTTATTGATGTCAGAATTTTATCCTTTTATATTGTGTATCAATTAATCAATTTTGTGGTTATAGTTATAATACCATGTCTTTATTATTTATTTATTTTTTTTTGAGATGGAGTCTTGTTCTGTCACCCAGGCTGGAATGCAGTGGCGTGATCTTGGCTCACTGCAACCACTGCTTCCAGGGTTCAAGCAGTTCTCCTGTCACAGCCTCCCAAGTACTTGGGAGTACAGATGCGTGCCAGCACGCATGGCTAATTTTTGTATTTTCAGTAGAGACAAGGTTTCACCATATTGATCAGGCTTGTCTCGAACTCCTGACACCAGTGATCCAGCTTCCTCAGCCTCCCAAAGTACTGGGATTACAGGCATGAGCCACTGCACTCAGCCACCATTGTCTTTTAACTTTTATACTGGGGTAAAAGTGACTTATTCATCATCATTACAGTATTACAGTATTTGCTTATATATTTGCCTTTATCAGTGAGATTTATACTGTTATATTTGTTCATGTTACCTTTTAGCATTCTTTTGTTTTTGAACTCTATTTACTCCCTTTGGAATTTCTTGTCAGGATGGTCTAGTGGTGACAAACTGTCAGTTTTGTTTATCTAGGAAAGTCTTTATCTTTCCTTCATTTTAAAAGGACTGTTTTGTCAGGTATAGTATTCTCGGTTGGCAGGTTTTTTGTTTTTTTCTTCTTTCCTTTCTGTACTTTGAATCTTGCAGGCCTGCAAGATTTCTGCTAAGAAATCTGCTGATAGACTTACGGAGATTTTCTTGCATGTGATCAGCTTTTCTCTTGCTGCTTTCAAAATTGTGTCTTTGCCTTTGCCTTTTGAAAATTTAATTTTAACATTTCTCAGTGCAGCCCTCTTTAGGTGTCACTTATTTGAGATCCTTTTGGTTCCATGAATTTAGATATCCAGTTCCCTCCTGAGATTTTGGAAGTTTTACCCATTCCTTCTTTATTCTATCTCTTTGTCCTCCTCCTCCTCCTCTTACTCCTTCTCCTCTTCTCCTTACTCTTTCTCTTCTTATTCTTATTCATATTCTTTTCTCTCACACTCAGATCTCCAAGGTTGGCTGGCTTCCCCAAGTCTGCAGTGTTACCAATATATCATTATACATGCATTATTTCTTTAAATAAGCTTTCTACCCCTTTCTCTCCCTTCTCTTCCCAGAGCTTCCCTTAATGCATATATTATTTTGCTAAGTGGTGGCTAATAAGTACTATAAGGTTTTCTTTATTCTTAAAAAGAATTTTTTTGGTTCCTTGAAATGGGTAATTACTTGTCTTTGAGCTAGCTGACTCCTTCTTCGGCTGATCGTGTCTAATGTAGAAGCTCTCTATTAAGTTTTTCAGCTGAGCCATTGTGTTCTTCAGCTCTAGAATTTCTGTTGGGTTTTTTTTTTTATGGCTTGTGTCTCTGCTGAGCATCTCTTTTTTCCCCAATGTATTGTTACCTGTGTTTGTTTAGTTGTTTATAATTGTTCTCTTTTAGCTCATGGTGCGCTCTTGAGATAATTACTTTGAATAATTTGTCAGGCAATTCATGGATCTCTATTTGTTTAAAGTTGGTAACTGGAGCTTCATTTTGATCTCTATTTGTTTAAAGTTGGTAACTGGAGCTTCATTTTGATCCTTTGGTAGTATCTTATTTCCCTGATTCTTTGTAAATCTTGTAGCCTTGCTTTGGTATCTGTGCATTTGAAGAAGTAGTCACTTCTTTTAGTTTTACACACTGGCTTCATCAAGCAAAGCACTTTGTTGGTCAGTCCAGCCAGCATTTCTGAGTGGACTGGCTGTAATGGTCTCTGAGTAGGCATTTCTGCTAGAGTCTGTAGGTGGGTGGACCATTGTCAGGGTACCTAGGTGGATTGGCTTGGTGCCAGGGTCCATAGAGGTAGACCTGGTACTTGAGTTGGCAGAGGCATGCCTGATGCCAGAGGCCTGTGGGTTAGGCTTGTTGCCAGTGTCTGTAATGAAGAACCTAATGCCAGGTTCCACGGAGGCATCAGAAACTCACTTCTTTCTTCCTTTTCCTCATGAGAGAACTCACAGGCTAATACTGATTACTATCAGCACTGCACTGTACATTCTTAAGGGAGGAGTGACATGGGTAAAGTGAAACATTTTTTTTATCCCCTTTAATATGTCTTTTCTCATTTACATGCTCTACATGAGTGCTATAACCTCTTTCTTAGATTATGGATCTTGTGTAAAGGTATTTTTTTTAATGGATGGTTGTTAAAATGGTGTTTTTGTAGGGAGCTGAGAACTTGAGCCTCTTATTACACTATCTAGTGGTTGCCACCAATTCAACACTTTTAAGATGACGTATATACGTAAATAATATATATAAGCATTGTTTTCAGTAGAAGTGTTAATATCCGTAACTTAACTTGGTATTACTAGAACAAAATGCATTTAAAATGTGCTTTTAATGTTTTAACTAACATTTTTGTTGTTTTGTAGCAGGAAATTTTATTTTTAAATTCTCTTCTGTATTGCCAAAACAGAAAGTATCCACTTTTTAAAAACCCTTTTACTGAATAGAGAGCTCTACAAATATTTTCTACAAATACTATTGTTTAAAAGCACAAGTGACCACCTTGGGACAGTCTGAAGAGCTGTATCTGATTGTCAATTCACTCTTTAGTGTTTTTTTTAGCAAAATGTTTGGGGACCTTAAAATTTCCTTTCATGTTTTTGACCCTTAGGCCACACTGGGTTACATACTTCTGGATAATACGATTGAGGTCATTTTTGTACTACATAAAATATATTTGCCAAGTGTAACTCATAAAAGGAATTAGAATGAAAATGAGCCCAGTTAGACATGGTTTCAAGTGAATATTAATAGGAAGGCAGTCAAGGAACTTTCTCAGTTATAGGCTGAGCCTGTCCTTTCATGGCATTTTATCTGTGCTTTGCTTTTGCTCAGCCGTGGGGTTTCAGGCAGTCTGTTCTTGACTTAGGTCTGTGGCACTTGGAATACAATGATTCTGGCTTATTTTAGGGTTTTAAACTTTCTGCCCAGTGTTCACATTTTATATTTACACACTTATGTGTCTATTAAGTAATTATAAATATTTGCTTTGTTTTGAAGGATGATGCTCTTTGAAGTGAAGTTGACCTATGGATACTATTTTTAATGAAGAAATAAATTTATACCGAGTAGTAATTCCAGTATTACACATACAAAGATACTTCTTAGGTTTGTTTCTGAAATCTCTCTTGATAAAATCTCTTACTTTGATTCTGCCTCTTGACCAAAAGTATAAAAAAATTTTCAGTTACTTGAGCCTAATTTTTGTGTTTGTTTCTATCCGCTTACTTTCCAGGGACAAGAGAATGTTTTTGTGAGTAGACACACTTAAATTTGAAAACACTTTAAAATCAGACAATATTGTGCAGACAATAAGTTTTGGAAAGCTCTGTCGGTTCATACCTCTGGGTCTTTGGCCATGCTTCTCTCTCTCCTCCTGTCTGGCCAATTTTTTCTTATCCTTCACAACTTCTCTAGAAGGGCTTCCTTGACTTTCTAATCTGGATAAGCTTGTGCAACTCTATTTATCCTTTTCAGCTGTCACTTGTTCTACCATGATGTAGCTAACTGGCATGAAACTCAGGCTGTAGAACCACACTACTTGGGCTCAAATCTAAGATCCACTAGTGGCAAGCTGTGTGACTCTGGACAAATTCTTTAATGTCATCATGTCTCAGTGTCCTCGTCTATAAGACAGGTTAGTAATTTCCTCAAAAGATTGGGTGAAGATTCTATTAGATGCTAATGGTATACACAGAAAACCTAATACAGTTTGGACATAATAGGAACTCAGTAGATGTATACTATTATTTTTGAAGCTGTTAGCACATTGGGTTAAGATCATTGGCTAATTTCTATGAGAGCCTCATATCCCCTGCTTGCAGATTGAGATATCATTGAAATCAGAGATGGTCCTTCATCTCTGTCTGCTCAGCACCTGTCATGGTACCTGAAACATGGCAGGCTCTCAGGAAGAGTGAGACTAAAGAGTGAATCAATCTATGGATTCCAGAGCTTTCAGGAGAGTTGTTAGACGATTATAAGAGCTGACATTTCAGTATAATATCTAAGTGACCTTACATTTCTGCCACAATGTCTCTTCCAGAGAGTTCTTCCAGAGTGGAGTGTTGTACGGACCTTTATTATTATTTGTGGCCAAAGCAGTTTTAAATATCAATGTTTGAAGCTTGTGGGTATATATCTGTTTTGTGTGTGCACTTGTGTGTGTGTATGAGAGGTAGATAGATAGGTAGATAGAATATGTTCCCTGTGATAGTGAAAAATGCCTGAAGCAATTCGCTAAAACATCATGTTATCCAATAATGGCCAAAAGTTCTTAGAGGAATGTTCACTAACCCTCTCCATTTCAATCCCATGAAGACGTAGGTGAAAGTCAAAAGCAGACATCTTGCCCTCACTCTTATCCCCTTCTGTTCCTATCTATGACAGAGGATCATGTAGTCCTTCTGTGAAGACCTAGACTCACAGGGGTCAGAGTGCAAAGCCAGAGAAGACTCTCCCAAAGATGGATCCATGAGGAAGGGCCCTGCTGGTATAGGAAGTGCTCTGGTTCTTCTGCAAGAATGAGCTATCTCTGCACCCACAGCCTGAGGGTGTGTAAACTCTGAATAAGTGTGCACAATGCATTGGAGTCCACTCATGTTCATTTACAATCTCTATTACTGTCTTCATTGAACAGGGTGACTGCTGCCTGCTGAGCATTCGGAGACCAAATAGAGAATCAGGGAGGAAGAATGGAGAGTAGAAACACTCACTGATCATTATTTAAGCTGACAATGTGGCTGACTTCTACTAAAGTAAGCATTGTTAATGTCTTATTGACCACCTGACTGCCTAGTGGTTGCTATCACCATTTCTTCACCTTTCACCTTGCTTAGGTTTTCTTGTAGACTGCTGAATGTTTAAAAAATCTTGGCTCAGATAATGCTGTGTCACTGAGGGCAACCCTGTTACCCGTGAAATGTTTGTGTTCTTCATGTTTATTTCGCCATTTGTACTTGTCATTGCCTAACTCCAGCAGCACCCTCAAGGAGTGGCAGCATCTTGTGGTTGAAAAAGGGCTGGGCTTAGAGTCAGAGGCCTGTTTCATCCTGGCCCTCCACAATTTGTCACTCAGGTGTGACCCTGGGCAAACCACTTAACCCTATTGCTTCTGTATCTGCAAAGAGAATGGGGTCTAACACTGTCTGTAGACTTTCCTCACAGGATGTGGGAGGATCAGCCAGATTTTAGTAAAGTACTTTTATGACTGTTATAAGACCTCTTACTCCTTGGCTCCATTAACATATGAACTTGCTTTAATATATTTTGCCTTTCTTAGGGAAAAGCCCTTGCTGAAGATGTAGCAGCAAAAGCAGAACTTCTCAGTGGAAAGGTCAAATTATGGGTTTTTAAAACAAGTAAGAACCTCCAAACATTCCAAATATTCACTGCCTTTGAATCCCTTTTCTGCCTGAAAGACTTTCTTGGTTAACCAGAAGGAATTAAAGAAAAAACAACACCCTACCCTTTATTTTCATGTCTGTGCCTTTAAACTTCTGTTCAGAAAAGGAAGGTGGTTTTAGATTATTTCAGGTGTTCTATTCAGATACAATTCCTAGGACCTTTTTCAGCAAAATAATTCAGAAATCCCAAAAGCAAGCATTTTGCAAATTAGAAGAATCTTGTACTTTCCTGATATAATTAATTCTTTACAAATATGGGTTCTCTTAAACTACTGGCCCCTTTAGGAAGAAGATCAAGCTCTATTGATCTTTGAACCATTTCATAATAGCAGATTAGTAGTGGCTTAAGAAATTAATAAATACCTTCACAAAAACATTACTGGAATGGTAGATTTGTCTGTTAAACCTTGTAACACTCTTTAAATTCCCAAACACTTGGAAAATATTCCTCAATCTCCTATAGTGGGATATAGTCTAATGGCAAAGAAAACTCTGCTCCTATTCTGAGAAAGCTTAATGACTGGGGAAAATGTGGTTCATATTTAAGCAAGGCTGAGCCACATCATGGGACTGCAGAGGAGAAAGCACCCAATTCTTCCTGGAAGGGTGTGCAAAGGCTCAGGAAGCAGATAATTTAGCCAAGTGTTGATGCATGCACTATGAGATTGCCAGAAAGATGAGGAGGCTCATGAGGCATTCCAGAAAGAGGGAATAGCTTGGCTAGATCAGAAATCTGGAGACATCCCCAGCCATTCTTGCTGGGGTAGATTCTGCAATGGTGCCTTTAGGGTGGCCCTGACATTGTATATAAATGCACAGGGAGACGTGTCTGACTAGGGTGCCTGAAGCAACAGCATATCATTGCATTGAGAAAACAGAGTTTATCTCTCTTTTTTTTTTAATGGGATATGATGAAAATAATACAGGTTATTGATGTAAAACTAGGAAAAAATTAAACTGCATATGAAGACAATAAAATAATCACCCACAATACCTTCATTCAGGGGTAATCATTGGTAACATTTTATATTTTCCTTCTTCTATGCATATTATTTTACCCAGCTGTGATAAGACTAATATTGTTTTAATGTATCTGCCCTTCAACATTTTGTTCAGAAAAGACTAATAATATGCATAAAATATGCAATATATACATTGGAAAGGAAATCCTATTTTTTATTTTTTAACTTTTCTGGGTACATAGCAGTTGTATGTATTTACGGGGTACATGAGATATTTTGAAACAAGCATGCAATGTGTAATAATCACATCACGTAAAATGAAGTATCCATCCCCTCAAGCATTTATCCTTTGTGTTACAAACAATCCGTTTATACTTTTTTAGTTATTTTAAAATATACAATTAAATTATGATAGACTAGAGTCACCATGTTGTGCTAGCAAATACTAGGTCATATTCATTCTATTTTTTTATACCCCTTAGCCATTTCCCTTACCACTGCCATTCTCAGCTTTTGGTAATCATTCTGTCCATCTCCATGAATGTAATTGTTCAGATTTTTAGATCCTACAAGTAAGTGAGAATATGTGAAGTTTGTCTTTCTGTGCCCGACTAATTTTACTTAACCTAATGATCTCCGGTTCCATACATGTTGCGAGTGACAGGATCTCATTGTTTTTTATGGCTGAATAGAACTCCGTTTTATATATATATATATATATATATATATATATATATATATATATATATGCCATTTTTTCATATTTAGTGTTTATTACAAATATTTTATGATTTTAGTAATATATAAGATTTAATACCACCTTAATTGTGAATGTGCATAGTTCACCATTAAAACATAGGAGACTCTTAAACTATCTTCTTGGTATAAATTGACATCTTACAACTTTTTGAAGAAATGTATATTTATACTTCTAACAGTTCAAATCCAGTAAATTTTTATAACTTTACAGCATATGTATTTAATTTTTTTAAATTTCAAAATGTTTTTGGGGAACAGGTGGTGTTTGGTTACATGGATAGGTACTTTGGTGGTGATTTCTGAGATTTTGTGGCATCTATCCCCTGAGCAGTGTATACTCTACCAAATGTGTAGTCTTTTGTTCCTCACCTCCCTCCCACCAATTTTCCCAAGTCCCCAAAGTACATTTCATCATTTTTATGCCTTCGCATCCTAATAGCTTAGCTTCCACTTATAAGTAAGAACATACGATGTTTGGTTTTCCATTCCTGAGTTATTTCACTTAGAATAATGGTCAGGAATTCCATCCACGTTGCTGTGAATGACATTATTTTGTTTTTTTATGGCATGGCTGAGTAGTATTCCATGGTGTATATATCTATGCCACATTTTCTTTATCCACTTGTTGATTGACGTGCATTTGGGCTGGTTCCATATTTTTGCAATTGCAAATTGTGCTTTTATAAACATGTGTGCAAGTATATTTTTTGTATAATGACTTCTTTTCAATAGTGATGTTGAGCATTTTTTTTTGTATGTCTGTTGGCCATGCATATATCTTCTTTTGAGAATTGTCAATTCATGTCCTTAGCTCACTTTGTGATGGGATTGTTTGTTTTTTTCTTGCTGATTTGTTTGAGTTCCTTATAGATTCTGGATATTAGTTCCTTGTTGGAAGATTTTCTGCCACTTTGTGGGTTTTCTGTTTACTCTGCTGATTGTTTCTTTTGCTGTGCAGAAGCTTTTTAGTTTAATTAGGTCTCATTTATTTATTTTTGTTTTTATTGCATTTGCTTTTTGGGGTTTAGAAATTAATTCTTTGCCTAAGCCAATGTCCAGAAAAGCTTTTCTAATTGTTATCTTCTGGGAGTTTTATGGTTTCAGGTCTTAGATTTAAGTCTTTTATCCATCTTGAGTTGATTTTTGTATAAGGCAAGAAATGAGAATCCAGTTTCATTTTCTACATGTGGCTTGCCAGTTTTCCCAGCACCATTTATTGAATAAGGTGCTTTTTCCCCAAATTTATGTTTTTGTATGCTTTGTCAAAGATGAGTTGGCTGTACGTATTTTACTTTATTTGGACTCAATTCTGTTCCATTGGTTTATGTGCCTATTTTTATACCACTACCATGCTGTTTTTGTGACTATAGCCTTATTGTATAGTTTGAAGTAAGGTGATGTGATGCCCTTTTTTTTTTTTTTTTTTGCTTTGCCTTGCTTTGGCTATGCAGGCTCTTTTTTGATTCATATGAATTTTAGAATTGCTTTTTCTGGTTCTGTGAAGAATGATGATATTTTGATAGGAATTGCATTGAATTTCTAGATTGCTTTTGGAAGTATGGACATTTTGACAACATGGATTCTATCCGTGAGCATGGGATGTGTTTCCATATGTTTGTGTCATCTATGATTTTTTTTCAGCAGTGTTTTGTAGTTTTCCTTGTAGAGGCTTTTATGTTCCTGGTTAGGTTTATTTCTTGGTATTTTTTTTTTGGCAGCTCTTGTAAAGGGGATTGAGTTCTTGATTTTACTCTCAGCTTCATGCTGTTGATGTACAGCAGTGCTATCGATTTGTGTACATTGATTTTGTACCCTGAAATTTTACTGAATTCATTTATCAGTTCTAGGAGCTTTTTGGATGAGTCTTCATGGTTTTCTGTTTATATCATTATACCACCAGCAAACGTCAAAAGTTTGACTTCCTCTTTACTGATTTGGATGCCCTTTATTTCTTTCTCTTGTCTGATTGCCCTGGTTAGGACTTCCAGTACTATGTTGAATAGAAGTGGTGAAAGTGGGCATCCTTACCTTGTTCCATTTCTCAGGGGGAATGCTTGCAGGTTTTCCCTGTCCAGTATAATGTTGGTTGTGGGTTTGTCCTTGATGGCTTTTATTACATTGAGGTATGTCTCTTTTATGCCAATTTTGCTGAGGGTTTTAATAATAAAGGGATGCTGGATTTTGTCAAATGCTTTTTCTGTGTCTATCGAGATTTTCATGTAATTTTTTTTTATAATTTTGTTTATGTGGTATATCACATTTATTGACTTACATATGTTAAACCATCCTTGCATCCCTGGTATGAAACCCACTCAATCATGGCATATGATCTTTTTGATATGCTGTTGGATTTGGTTAGCTTGTGTTTTGTTGAGAATTTTTGCATCTGTATTCATCAGGGGTATTGGTCTGTAGTTTTCTTTTTTTGTTATTTCCTTTCCTTGTTTTGATATTAGGGTGGTAACTGGCTTCAAAGAATGATTTAGGGAGGATTCCCTCTTTCTCTGTATTTTGGAATAGTGGTAATAAGATTGGTATCAATTTGTCTTTGAAAGTCTGGTAGAATTCGGCTATGAATCCATCTGGTCCTGCACTTTTTGTTGTTGGAAAATTTTAAAATTACCATTTCCATCTCAATGCTTATTATTGGTCTGCTCAGAATTTCTATTTCTTCCTGATGTAATTTAGGAGGATTGTATATTTTTAGGAATTTATCCATCTCCTCTAGGTTTTCTAGTTTGTGCATGTGCAGGTGTTCATAGTAGCCTTGTATAATCTTTTGTATTTCTATGGTATCAGTTGTAATATCTCCTGTTTCATTTTTAATTGATGTTGTTTGGATCTTCTTTCTTATATTCTTGGTTAATCTCACTAATGGCCCATCAATTTTGTTTATCTTTTCAGAGAACCAGCTCTTTGTTTCATTTTTTTTTGGCATGTATGTGTGTTTCAATTTCATTTACTTCCACTCTGATCTTTGTTATTCTTTTCTTCTGCTGGGTTTGGGTTTGTTTTGTTCTTGTTTCTCTAGTTCCTTGAGGTGTGATCTTAAATTGTTTATTTGCGCTTTTTCAGACTTTATGATGTAAGCATTTAATGGTATGAACTTTCCTCTTAGCACTGCTTTTGCTATATTCCAGAGGTTTTGATAGGTTGTGTCGCTATTATCATTCAGTTCAAAGAATTTTTAAATTTTCATATTGATTTCATTGTTGAACCAATGATTATTCAGGAGCAGGTTACTTAATTTTCATGTATTTGCGTGGTTTTGAGAGTTCATTTTGGAGTTGATTTCCCATTCTATTCCATTGTGATCTGAGAGAGTACTTGATATAATTTTGATTTTCTTAAATCTATTGAGACTTGTTTTGTAGTTTGTCAGATGGTCTGTCTCGGAGAATGTTCCATGTGCTGGTAAATAGAATGTACATTCTGCAGTTGTTGGGCAGAATGTTCTGTACATATCTGTTAAGTCCATTTGTTCTAGGGCATAGTTTATATCCATTGTTTCTTTATTGGCATTCTGTCCTGCTGACCTATCTAGTGCTGTCAGTGGAGTACTGAAATCCTCCACTATTATTGTTTTGCCACTAATCTTGTTTCTTAGGTCTAGTAGTAACTGTTGTATAAATTTGGGAGCTCCAGTGTTAGGTGCATATATATTTAGGATTATAATATTTTCCTGTTGGACTAGTCCTTTTATCATTATATAATGTCCCCCTTTGTCTTTTTTAAATGTTGTTGCTTTAAAGTCTGTTTTGTCTAATATAAGAAAAGCTACTCCTGCTTGCTTTTGGTGTCCATTTGCATGGAATATCTTTTTCAATCCCTTTACCTTAAGTTTCTGTGAGTCCTTATGTTTTAGATGAGTCTCTCAAAGGCAGCAGATACTTGGTTGGTGGATACTTATCCATTCTGCCACTTTGTATCTTTTAAGTGGAGCATTTAGGCCATTTACTTTCAATGTTAGTCTTGAGATGTGAGATACTATCATTATGCTAGTTTTTGCCAGAATACCTTGTTTTTCTTTTCATTGTGTTATTGTTCTATAGGTCCTGTGAGATTTATTATTTAAGCAGGTTTTATTTTGGTAGATTTGTTTCAAGATTTCAATGATTTGTTTCAATATTAGAGCTCCCTTTAGTAGTTCTTTTAGCACTGGCTTGGTAGTGGCAAATTCTCTCAGCCTTTGTTTGGAAAAGAATGTATCTTTCCTTCACTTATGAAGCTTAGGTTTACTGGATACAAAATTATTGGCCAATAATTGTTTTGTTTAAGGAGACTAAAGATAAGACCTAGATACCTTCTAGTTTGTAGGGTTTCTGCTGAGAAATCTGCCGGAATATTTTTTTTTTTTTTTGAGATTGAGTCTTGCTCTGTTGCTCAGACTGGAGTGCAGTGGCACAATCTCAGCTCACTGCAACCTCCCCCTCCTGGGTTCAAGCAATTCTCCTGCCTCAGCTTCCCAACTAGCTGGGACTATAGGCACTTGCCACCACGCCTGGCTAATTTTTTGTATTTTTAGTAGAGACGGGGTTTCACCATGTTAGCCAGGATGGTCTCGATCTCCTGACCTCGTGATCCACCTGCCTCTGCCTCCCAAAGTGCTGGGATTACAGGCGTGAGCCACCATGCCTGGCTGAGAAATCTGCTCTTAATCTGATAGGCTTCCCTTTATAGCATAACTGATGTTTTTGCTTCACAGCTATTAAGATTTTTTCTTTCATCTTATAACCTGACGACTCTGGGCCTAAGCAATGATCTTTTGTGATGGAATTTCCTGGGTGTTCTTTGAGCTTTTTGTATTTGGATGTCTAGATCTCTAGCAAGGCCAGGCATGTTTTTTCACAATTACTCCCTCAAATATGTTTTCCAGACTTTTAGATTTGTCTTCTTCCTCAGGAACACCAATTATTCTTAGGTTTGTTCATTTAACATAATTCCAAAGTTCTTGGAGGCTTTGTTCATTTTTTTTCTTTTTTTGTTTGTTTTTGTCAGATAGGGTTAATTCAAAAACCTCATCTTTGAGCTCTGAAGTTCTTTTGTCTACCTGCTTGATTCTACTGTTGAGACTTTTCAGGGCATTTTGCATTTCTCGAAGTGTGTGCTTGATATTCAGAAGTTGTGACTGTTTTTTATTAATGCAGTCTATTTCACTGGAGATTTTTCCATCCATATCTTGTATCATTTTAAAAATTTTCTTTAAGTTTGTATTTACCTTTTTCTGGTGTCTCTTTGAGTAGCTTAATAATCAACCTTCTGAATTTATTTTCTGGAAATTCAGAGATTTCTTCTTGGTTTGGATCCATTTTTGGTGAGCTAGTGTGATCTTTTGGGGGTGTTAATGAACTTTGTTTTGTCATATTGCCAGATTTGTTTGTGTGTTTCTTTCTCATTTGGGTAGACTATGTCAGTGGGAAGATCTGGGGCTCAAGGGATGCTGTTAAGATTCTTATGTCTCATGGGGTGCTCCCTTGATGTGGTGCTCTCCTCCTTCCCTTAGGGATGGGGCTTACTTGCAGTGATTGTTATTTCTCTTCTGGGTCTAGCCACCCAGCGGAGCTACTGGGCTCCAGGCTGGTACTGGGGAATGTCTTCAAGGAGTCCTTTGATGTGACTTGGCTTCAGGTCTCTCAGTTGTGGATACCACCACCTGCTTCAGTGGAAGTAGCAGGAGAGTGAAGTGGACTCTGTGATGGCCCTTGGTTGTACTTTTGTTTAGTATACTGGTTTTATGTTGGTTGGCCTCCAGCCAGGAGGTGGGGCTTTCAAGAAAGCATCAACTGTGGTAGTATAGGGAGGACACAAGCTTGCCCTCAGGTCACCTGGATGAGTATTCCGGTTTCTCAGGCAGTGGTCATGGTCCCGTAGCTCCCAAGAGATTATGATCTTCGTCTTTGGCTACCAGGGTGAGTAGAGAAAGACCATTAGGCGGGGACAGGTTTAGGTGTGTCTGAGCTCAGTCTCTCCTTGGGTTGGCTTGCTGTGGTCACTGTCAGGGATGGGAGTGTGGTTCTCAGACCAATGGAGTTATGTTCCCTGGGAGGTTATGGCTGCCTCTGCTGTGCTGTACAGGTCACCAGGGAAGTGGGGGAAAGCTGGCAGTGACAGGCCTCACCCAGCTTCTACTCAGCCAAATAGGCCAGTCTCACTTCCAACATGTCCCCCAACAACACCAAGATTATTTCCAGGCAGCTGGTGAGCAGGGCTCAGAATTTTCCACAGGTTACAAGCCTTTCCCCAAAGAAAGCAAGCAGCGTTCTCAGATTTCACACCTCACTGCCTGCCTTGGCTTTTGTGTTTATATCTGCACTCCCTTTTTGCCCCCTCACCCAGATTCTATCCAGGACACTGTGTTTGGTCGAAATTGTTACAAAGTTTAGCTGGAAGTTTCCTTCTGCCTGTGGTATTTTCTCAGTTCCACTTGCAGCCCTCCCCAAGGACCCCTGCAAGACACAGCCATAGATCACAGATGGCTTCCCTGGGGACTGAGATTGCCCACAGGGCTTTTCCCACTGCTTCCTCTACCCCTATAATTCCCTTGGCCCTCTAAACTGATCTCAGCTCCAGTTAAGGTTAAATCTTTCTCCTGTGACCTAAACCTTCAGGTTCCCCAGTTAGGATGTGTGTTCTCGGGCAGATTTTTCCCCTTACACACTTTGGGCGCTCACAGTTTTTCAGCTGTATCACAGAGCCTGCAGTGGCAAGCTGCTTCCTTCAAAGGGTCTTTGGATTATCTCGGCTTTCCTGGTGTGTTCCTGGGTAGTTCTTGGAGCAAAAGTTCATGATGTGAGTATCCACATGCTGCTCTGTCTGAGTGGGAGCTTCAAGTTAATCTTGCCTCCTATCTGCCATTTTTTCCTCTAACCCATATTTTCTTGATCCAGTCACCTGTTTTTGGACAGTTAGGGTGCTTCCAAATCTTGGCTATTGTGCACAGTACTGCAACAAACATGGGAGTGCAAATATCACTTTGATATACTAATTTCCTTTCTTTTGGGTATGTACCCAGCAGTGGGATTGATGGATTATATAGTAGCTATATTTGTAGGTTTTTGAAGAACCTCCATACTGTTCTCTATAGCGGCTGTAGTAATTTGCATTCCCACCAACAGCATACAAGATTTCCCTTTCTCCACATCCTTACCAGCATTTGCTATTGCCTTTCTTTTAGATACAAGCCATTTTAACTAGAGTGAGATGGTATCTCATTGTAGTTTTGATTTGCATTTCTCGGATCATCAATAATGATGTTGAGCACCTTTTCATATGCCTGTTTGCCATTTGTATATTTTCTTTTGAAAAATGTCTATTTAAATATTTTGTCCATTTTTTAATAGGATTATTGCATTTTTTTCTATGAAGTTGTTTGAGCTACTTAGATAATCTAGTTATTAGTACCTTGTCAGATAGGTAGTTTGCAAATATTTTCTCCCATTCTGTGGGTTGTCACTCCACTTTGTTGATTGTTTCCTTTTCTGTGCAGAAGCTTTTTAACTCAATGAGATCCAGTTTGTTCATTTTTGTTTTGGTTGCCGGTGTTTGTGGGGTATAACTCACAACATTTTTGCCCAGACCAATGTCTTGGAAGAGTTTTCTCAATGCCTTCTTATAGTAGTTTCATAGTTTGCATTCTTAGATTTAAGTCTTTAATCTATTTTGATTTTATGTTTGTGTATGGTAAGAGATAGAGGATCTAGTTGCATTCTTCTACATATGGATATCCAATTTTCCAGTACCACTTATTGAAGAAACTGTCTTTTCCCCAGTGTATGTTCTTGATACCTTTGTCAAAAATGAGTTCACTGTAGGTGTGTGGATTTATTTCTCGGTTCTCCATTCTGTTTCTTTGGTCTATGTGTCTTTTTTAATGCCAGTACCATGGTGTCTTGATCATTATAGTTCTATAGTATAAAGTCTGGTAATGTGATTCCTCTACTTTTATTATTTTTGCTTAGGATAGTTTTAACTATTCTAGATCTTTTGTGGTTCTATACATATTTTAGGGTTTTTTTTTTCTATCTTTGAAAAATGTCATTGGTATTTTGATAGGGATTGCATTGAATCTATTGGTTGCTTTGGGTAATATGGACATTTTGGACAATATTCTTTGGATTCATAAACATGGAATCTCTTCATTTTTTGGTGTCTTCTTCAAATTTTTTCATCAGTGTTTCATAGTTTTTATTATAGAGGTCTTTCACTTCTTTGGTTAAGTTAATCCTTAGGTATTTAACTTTATTTGTGGCTGTTGTAAATGGGATTACTTTTTAGATTTATTTTCAGATACTTTGGTGTTGGCATATAGAAACACTCCTGATCTGTACGCTGATTTTGTATCCTGTAGCTTTACTGAATTTCCTTGTCAGTTCTAATAGTTTTTTGGAGGAGTCTTGAGGTGTTTCCAAATATAAGATTATATCATCTGCAAATAAGGATAATTTGACTTCTTCTTTTCCAATTTGGATGCCCTTTATTTCTTTCTCTTGGCTGATTGCTCTAGCTAGGACATCCACTACTATATTGAATAACAGTGCTTTTTTCTGCGTCTATTGAGATGATCACATGATTTTTGTTTTTAATTCTGTTTATGTGGTGTATAACATTTATTGACTTGCATATGTTAAACCATTCCTGGCATGAAACCCACTTGATCATGGTTGATTATCTTTTTGACATGTTGTTGGATTCAGTTAGCTAGTATTTTGTTAAGAGTTTTAGCATCTATGTTCATCAGGGATATCGGTCTGTAGTTTTCTTTTTGGTTATGTCCTTTCCTGGTTTTGGTGTTAGGGCAATGCTGGCTTCATAGAATGAATTAGGGAGGGTTCCTTCTTTCTTTGTCTTGTGGAATAATGTCCAAAGGATTTGTACCAATTCTTCTTTGAATGTCTGTTAGAATTCTGCTGTGAATCCCTCTGGTCCTGGACTTTTTTTTGTTTGTAATTTTTAAATTACCATTTCAATCTCGCTGCTTGTTATTGGTCTGTTCAGGGTATCTAATTCTTCCTGATTTAAGCTAGGAGAGCTGTATATTTCCAGGAATTTATCCATCTCTTCCAGGTTTTCTAGTTTATGTGCATAAAGATGTTCATAGTAGCCTGGAATGATCTTTTGTATTTCAGTGATGTCAGTTGTAATATTTCCTGTTTCATTTCTTAGCGAGGTTATTTGGATTTTCTCTCTTCTTTTCTCAGTTAATCTTGCTGTTGGTTTATCAATTTCATTTATCTTTTCAAAGAACCAGCTTTCTGTTTCATTTATCTTTTGTGTTGTTTTCTGTTGTTTCAATTTCATTTAGTTCTGCTCTGATCTTGGTTATTTCCTTTCTTCTGCTGGGTTTGTTCTTGTTTATCTGGTTCCTTGAGGTGTGACCCTAGAATGTCAGTTTGTGCTCGTTCAGTCTTTTTGATGTAGGCGTTTAGGCTATGTGTTTTTCCCTTAGCACTGCCTTTGCTGTAACCCAGAGGTTTTGATATGTTGTGTCATTATTGTCATTCAGTTTGGATAATTTTTTTAATTTCCATCTTGGTTTCATTTTTGACCCAGTGCTCATTCAGGAGCAGGTTATTTAATTTCCATGTATTTGCGTGGTTTTGAAGGTTCCTTTTGAAATTGATTTACAGTTTTATTCCATCGTGGTCTGAGAGAGTGATTGATATAATTTCAATTTTCTCAAATTTATTGAGGCTTGTTTTATGGCCTATCATATGGTCTATCTTGGAGAAAGTTCTATACGCTGTTAAATAGATTGTGTATTCTGTGGTTGTTGGATGGAATGTTCTGTATATATCTGCTAAGTCCATTTGTTCCAAGGTATAGTTTAAGTCCATTGTTTCTTTGTTGACTTTCTGTCTTCATGACCTGTCTAGTACTGTCAGTGGAGTATTGAATTCCCCCACTGTTACTGTGTGCTATCTTGTTTCTTAAGTCTGTTAGTAATTGTTTTATAAATTTGGGAGCTCCAGTGTTAGGTGCATATGTGTTTAGGATTGTGACATTTTGCTGTTGGACAAGGCCTTTTACCATTATGTAATGTCCCTCTTGGTCTCTTTTAACTGCTTTTGCTTTAAAGTTTGTTTTCTCTGATGTAAGAATAGCTACCCCTGCTCGCTTTTGATGTCCATTTGTGTGGAATGCCTTTTTCTACCCCTTTACTTTAAGTTTATTTGAGTACTTACGTGTTAGGTGAGTCTCAGAAGGTAGCAAATGGTTGGTGAGTTCTTATACATTCTGTAGGTCTGTATCTTTTAAGTGGAGCATTTAGGCCATTTACATTTAATGTTAGTATTGAGAAGTCAGGTACCATTGCGTTCACTGTTTTTTTTTTTTTTTTTTTTTTTTTTTTGCTTTTTAACTTGTATTTTTGTCTTATATGTCCTGTGTGATTTATGCTTTAAAGGGGTTCTGTTTTGATGTGTTGCCAGGATTTGTTTCAAGAATTAGACCTTGTTTTAGCATTTCTTATAGTGGTGGCTTGGTAATGGTGCATTTTCTCAGCATTTGTTTTTCTGAAAAAGACTGTATTTCCTTCATATATGATGCTTAGTTTTGCTGGATACAAAATTATTGGCTGATAATTGTTTTCTTTGAGGAGGCTGAAGATAGGGCCCCAATCCCTTCTAGCTTGTAGGGTTTCTGCTGAGAAATCTGCTGTTAATTTGATAGGTTTTCCATTACCTGGTGCTTCTGTCTCACAGCTCTTAAGATTCTTTCCTCCATCTGAAATTTGGATAAACTGATGACAGTTGCCTAGGTGATTAGTTTTTTGTGATTAATTTCCCGGGTTTTCTTTGTGCTTCTTGTATTTGGATGTCTAGGTCTCTAGCAAGGCTGGGGAAGTTTTCCTTGATTATTTCCCAGATACGTTTTTCAAACTCTCAGATTTCTCTTCTTCCTCAGGGCACCGATTATTTTTAGGTTTGGTTGTTTAACATAATCCCAGACTTCTTGGAGTCTTTGTTCATATTTTCTTATTCTTTTTTCTTTGTCTTTGTTGGATTGGGTTAATTCTAAGACCTGTCTTCTAGCTCTGAATTTCTTTCTTCTACTTTCAATTCCATTGCTGAGACTTTCCAGAGCATTTTGCATTTCTGTAAGTGTGTCCAATGTTACCTGAAGTTTTGATTATTTTTTCTTTATGCTATCTAGTTCCTTGAATATCTCTCCCTTGTTGTATTGCTTTTTTGGATTTCCTTGCATTGGGCCTAGCCTTTCTCTGGTGCCTCTCTGATTAGCTTAATAACTAATTCTTTTTCAGGTAAATCAGGGATTTCTTCTTGGTTTAGATCCATTGCTGATGAACTAGTGTTATTTCTGGGAGGTGTTAAAGAGCCTTGTTTTGTTATATTGCCAGAGTTCGTTTTTCAGTTTCTTATCATTTGGGTTGGCACTGTCAGGGAGAAGGTCTCGGGCTGAAGGCTGTTGTTCAGATTCTTTTGTTCCACAGGGCATTCCCTTTATGTAGTACTCTCAACATTTTCCTATGGATGTGACTTCCTGTGAGCTGAACTGCAGTGATTCTTGTCTCTCTTCTGGGTCTAGCCACCCAGCAAGTCTACTTAGCTCTGGGATGGTACTGGGGGTTGTCTGCACAGAGTCCTGTGATGTGAACCATTTATGAGTCTCTCAGCCGTGAATACCATTTTGGTGGGGGTGGCAGGGGGGTGTAATGGACTCCATGAGGCTTCTTAGCCTTGGTGGTTTAAAGCTCTATTTTTGTGCTGGTTGGCCTCCTGCTGGGAGGTGGCACTTTCCAGAGAGCATCAGCTCTGGTAGTATGGAGAGGAACCAGCAGTGGGCAGGGCCCTAGAATTCCCAAGATTATATGCCCTTTGTCTTCAGCTACAAGCATAGGAGAGAAGGACCATCAGGTGGGAGCAGGGCTAGGCATGTCTGATCTCAGACTCTCCTTGGGCATATCTTGCTGCAGCTGCTGTGGGGAATGGGGGTGAGGTTCCCAGGTCAATGGAGTTGTATACCTAGAAGGATCATGGCTGCCTCTGCTGAGTCATGCAGGTTGTCAGGGAAGCGAGGGAAAGCCGGCAGTCGCATGTGTCACTCAGCTCCCAAGTAAACTGAAAGGCTGGTCTCACTCCCACTGTGCCCCCCTTAACAACCCTGAGTCTGTTTCCAGGTGGTGGGCAAGCTGAGCTTGATAACTTGCTTCAGGCTACCTGCCTCCAAGCTGGGAACAAAAAGGGCTCGGTTCTTCTCCCACCTGTGGAGTCTACAAACCAGATTTGTGCCCTCCCCCGAGTTCTGGCCAGGAGGCTTCTCATCCCGTTCAAATTGTTGCAAAGTTCAACTGGAGATATCCTTTTTTTCTGTGGTGTGTCCTCCCTCGCTCCTCTGGCCACCCTCCTGATGGATCCCTGTGGTGCCATGTAGTAATGGCCTGCTAGGGGACCCAGTGGGCTCCCAGGGCCCTTCTGTTGCTTCCTCTGTCCTTGTATTTTGCTTGATTCTCTAAATTGACTCAGCTGTAGGTAAGGTCAGAAACTTTTCCTGCAAACAGACCTTCAGTTTCTCCAGTGGGGGTGTGTGTTTGGGAGTGAAGGATCTTCCTTTCCCACTTCCATGGTTGGGGCACTCATGGCATTTGGGGTGTCTACCAGGTCCTGCAGGAGCAGTCCGCTTCCTTCAAAGGGTCTGTGGGTCCTCTCAGGAATGCTGGTCTTAAATGACTTTTAAATATTTATTGGCATTTTGTGACTTGTATGTTTATGTCTTTTATCCTTTTTCTATTGGAAGGTAAGGGGAAGACGGGGCAATATGACTATTTTCTTATAAAATTATATGGGTTTTAGAGATATCACCACTTGGTTATATTTAATGTAAACATTTATATATAGTTTTTTGATTACCTTTCAAGTAGATTTATCTAACCTACAGACATTTAGATTACAGTGCTCAAATCTTCAAAACAAGAGTCTGGACCTTTAAAAAATTACCATAATAGAACACATGATAAAAGCCACTTATATTTGTATTGAATTTATAAAGCGCAGTTGTTTAGATTTAGTAGCTTACTTGGAGGCAGACTACCATAAATGCAGACAAAAGGAAAGACCAAACACACAAGGGAAAAATCTTCATAAGGATAGAAGTAAATCTATCTTAGGAATTTTTAGACTCTCTTTTCTATGGATTCACTTAAAATTTCTTCCTGTACAACTATTCCTAAATATCGCACTATATTTGATATTATGTATCCTGTGTGCCTTTCCCAACAGATGTAAACTTCTTATTCACTTTGGAATCTTCTGTCAACTAAATATCTGTCACAAATGTGCCACTGGGTAAAGGTCTAACAAATTAATTAATACACTAGTCCTCTTTTATCTATAGTTTTACCTTCTGTGGTTTCAGTTACCTGTGATCAACCATGGTCCAAATACATTAAATGAAAAATTCCAGAAATAATTTATAAGTTTTAAATTATACACCATTCTGAGTAAAATGATGAAATATCACTCTGTTCCACTGCATTCCTTCTTCATCACAAGAGTGAGCACAGTACAATATTTTGAGAGAGAATGAGAGACCATGTTCACATAAGTTTTATTACAGTATATCGTTTTAATTGTTCTACTTATTATTATGTGCTATTGTTAATCTTTTGCTGTGCCTAATTTATAAGTTAAACTTTATCATAGGTTATTATATATAAGAAAAAAACATAGTATATGTAGGATTTGTACTGTCTGTGGCTTCAGGTATCCATGGGGGGTGGTCTCAGAATATATCTTTTGTGTATAAAGAGGAAATGCTATAAATAAATATATCACTAAGTAACCAAAAAATAAAATTAAATACAGACATTTAATATTTTTATGGTGTTAAATCTGCCAATATTTTAAAATTTTTTGGATTTCTTTTATACCTAGAATGTCTTCGCTACTTAAAGAACAAACAAATGTTCAACTACATTTCCTTCTGTTTTCTATTGTTTCATTTTAGCATCTAATTTCTTAACCCATCTTGAATTTATTTGGATAAAATGACACAAAAATTGAACAGATTATTTCTCAAATAGCTAAAAAATGGTCTTAACAATGTTTATTGAGTGTTTCTACCTTTTCTCCCTGATTTGTGATTATATATTAAAAATCTGTATGCAATAGTTCCTGTGTCCTGGTCATATACATCATTTTATTGATTTTTCCATTGATTTTCATATCAGTTTCATACTGATTAGCTTTATACTGTTTTACTATCTAGTGAGGTTATTACTCTTCTTTTTTCATTTTCTTAAGCTATTTCAGATGAACTTTGGAATCAGTTTTCAAGATATTTTAAAACACAGTTGGGATTTTGATTGGAACACATTAAGTCTGACAATTAACTTGGAAAGAAATGACACTCCTTAGTAGTCTTTTCATTCAGCAACCTGGCTTGTCTACTTATTTAAGTTTCTTGTATATCTGTCAATAGTTTGGTAGATTTTCCCCCACGTCAATATAACCCTGACTTTATCTTATATCTTCCTTTTCCTTAGAAGTCTAAATATATTCTGTCTCAGATTCCAATTCTACAATTTATGAAATGTTGAGGCCTTCTCTCAAATACTTTTCTTTGGCACCATATGTGTTTTTATAGTCATCTCTGGCTCTGGATCATTTTACCATCTTACTCTGTCTACTCCTATTCTATTTCACATTGACCTGGCTATGGACTTTGGTCTTATTTCCCATTTGCACATACATATACATACACACACAAATTCATGCACTTACTCACACAAACCTGCTCCCAAAAGGCATCTTAAATTCAAGAGACTTGGCTAAAAGATTGAAGGGATATGAAATTGAATCTTAAACATCTAGGTTGTTAAAAAAAAACACACATGCACACTTTGGCTATCCTTCCTTGTTTATCAGACATTTCCAATCCCCAAGTGTCTATTTATTATGCAGAACTATCAAAGTAACTTCCCTTACCCTCATGGTTTTTCTTTTCTCTGAAGTGGCTCATGGAGATATTTTCTTGAATAAAGATGTTCTGTCCCTAATCTGAGGCCAGATATAGAAATGACATCCCCAGCAATATAGGTTTTCACATTTCTTTTTGGGCTTATCTCCATATATTTTATCTCTTTATTTGTTGTTAAGAATGAACATTTTTGTCTTCTTTTAACAAACTGCTGATATGCATGAAACTGTAAAATTGTATGTTTATTTTATATCCTGACATTTGTAATTAATATAATTTCCTGTTTCATAATAACTGGATACCTCCTATTTTTGTTTTGTGTCATATTCTAAAATATGGGTTTTGTGTGTGTGTGTGTGTGTGTATGTGTGTGTGACCATGCTTCTCTTGTATCAAAGATTCTCTAACATTTGTCCTATTGAGGGAAAAGTTGGTGGTTACAGATTGTAGGGAATGGCTATAAAATTAAGTCCTGTAAGTACTCTCCTGTAGTCTCAAGGTATTACTTAAAATGTTTGTTTTTAAAGCCTCTTTCTGGTGAAAAGACTTCACTAATGGGGGTTTCATAGTAACAGTAATAAGCTTTTATTTTTTTTTTTTCTGCTGGGTTTCAAGCACCTGTAAGCTGTCAATCCGTCTTCCAAAGAAACAACCTTAAGCATTTATTCCTTCTGTTCAGAGCACTGTTTCTCTAGAGACAGCACCATCATTTCTCACCATACATCCGTAGCATGGGAGTTCCAACACATGCCTCTTACATGTTCCCTGACCTTGTGATAATTACCTGTCTTAACAATGGTTAAATTTTATGGATAGTAATTTTAAGTGTTATTGTATTTTCTTGTTTCTCACTACAGTCTAGCATTAATAGTTAAAATGTAAAGCTTAAAAACTAGTTTAAGAGCCCATGTTTTTTAAGGTCTACTTAAAGTAATGAGTAAACTAACAAGGCAGTGAGGAATTACTGTGCCAAGAACTGGAAAATGTCAAATCTATTTGAAGCTATTTTTTCCCCTAGAGGCATCTACTAATTCCTGAGGTGCTTGCTAATAGGCTGAAAAGCTGGTCAGAAGTTTTGGAAGCCTTGTGAGGCTAGAGGCTCAGACATTGGAGTGCACAGACTGCCAATGTATAAAGGCCTAGTGAACACGTCTTGTTTGGGATTAAACGTGGAAAGGCTAACATCTATACATAAGGGTGAATAGACTAGAAGTAAATAGGTTTTCAGAAGTAAATAGGTGCTCAGATTTTAATTATCTCAATGCATGAAACTGCTAGAAACAAATAAAAATCTTTGAGAAAAGAAAACATCCTAGACCTTAATTATTTCTACTTTTTTTAAAAAAAGATATAGTGTGCAGTACATAACTAAAAATAACTAGGAGTGTGAGATAAAGCAAGGTGAACAAAACTCAGGAGAAACCATAGGCAAAAGAAACCATACAGAGATTCCAGATGTTTGAATTAACATATAGTCAAACATTAAGATAAACATGCTTACTATATTCAAAGAAATAGAAGACAAAATTAAAAATCCTGGCAAATATATAGAAAGTATAAAAAGAAATAGCAGATTTGAAAAAGAAAGCTAAATAGAAATTCTACAGCTGAAAAATACATAAGTTGAAATTAAGAACACAATGGATAGATTTAACAGTCTGTTGGACACATCTGAAAAAGATAATAGAATGTAAGATAGATTAGTATTAATATCCAGAATGACTCATTGAGAGGCAAAAGCATGGAAAACACAGAAGAGATGCTAAGCAACAGCAGATCCAGCCAGAAATTCTAACACATAATTGGAATCTCAGAAAGACAGGAGAGGTAGAATGGAGAAGAAGCAATATTTTAAAAGATATTAAATTTTTTTTTCAAAACTGATAAACAGCATCAACTTGCAAATGGATGAAGCACCATAAAAATTGAGAGGTAACATTTAAAGAACTCTACCTCTAGCACAAATGAGAAGATTAGTGAACATCAAAGACAAAGACAAAAATGTAATGACATTCAGAGAAAAATGAACCATTTGCTTCACTTGAGTAACAGATTGACAGCTGGCATTCAACAATAAAGAAGAAACCAGAAGACAATTGAAATATATATTTAGTGTTCTGAAAAATAATTACTGACAACCAAGATATCTCTACTAATAAAAAAGGCATCTATACTCAGCAAAATTATTGTTCAAGAATGAAGGTGAAAAAAATTGAAGGCAAAGAAAAACTACATGAATTCATTACTTCCAGTCTCCCATTAAAGGAAATAATAAAAGAATTCTTTATAATTTTAGGTTGAAGAGATGTAAGAAGTATTGAGGATAACAAAAAGCGTGAGGATGAGATAAATAATAATGAATAATGTTTAGCACAATAATAACAGTATCATGTAATTTAAATAAGCAGAGTTAAAGTACCAAAACTATAGTATGTAAGTTGGAAGGCTGCAAAACTTTTCTAAGGTCACTGCATTATCCAGGAAGAGAGTAAAAATGACAGTTAACATTAAATATGAAGCCCTGATAATTTGACATATTTTAATATTTAAAATAATTACTAAAATAGAAAACTACTCCAAAAATAAAGGATTAAATGATTAAAATAACCCAATCATTAGAAACCCCAATAACTAAAAAACCCCATGTCAAGAAGTTAAAAAAAAACAGCAAACTAAACTCAAAAGAAGTAGAAATAATAAAGATAATGCCAGTAAAAATCCTAGTAGAATTTTGGGTGATAATTGAAAAGCTGATTCTGACACTTATACGGAATTTTAAATAAGCACAGTGTCTTGAAGAGGGAGACAAGATAATTTTCTTTATCAGAACTGGAAGTGGCACCACTCACCATCACTCCTAGTGACCCACTATCAAATTAGTTGCTTCCTGTTCCTGTGACATTAAAACATTACGTTCTGCTGGCCTAGAGGTCTTAGTTTCAGAGGGAGGAATGCTGCCATTCAGAGACAACAATGATTGCATTACACTGGAAGTTAACATTAACACCTGGACACTTTGGGCTCTTCCTACATCTAAGTCAACAGGCTAAGAAGGGAGTTAAAGTGTTGGCTGGGATGATTTAACCCAGACTATTAAGATGAAATCAGTCTACTACTCCACAATGGAGGTAAGGAAGAGTATGCCTGGAATACAGGAGATCCCTTAGGGCATCTCTTGGTATTACCATGTGATTAAGGTCAATGGGGAACTACAACAACCCAATTCAGGCAGGACTACAAATGGCTCAAACCCTTCAGGGATGAAAATTTGTATCACTCCACCAGGTAAAAAAACTATGACCTGCTGAAGTGCTTGCTGAAGGCAAAGGGAATACAGAATGGATAGTAGAAGAAGGTAGTCATCAATACCAGCTATGACCAGTTGCAGAAATGACGACTGTAATTGTCATGAGTATTTCCTCCTTATTTTGTTAAGAATAAGTTTGTGCATGTGTACACTTATACAAGAAAATATCTTTTCCTTTCTTCCTTTATCTTGTGACATAAGATTTATTGACTTTATATCAGCATTTAAGTGTTGTTAACTTTATGTAATAGCATTTAGGTTGAAGATTAGTGCACTTCTGGTTGTATGAAGGATAGCTGTATTATGTTAGGTGTAATTATGACCTTATTTTTATCTTTGAAGATTATGTATAATTCCAGGAGATGTGTATGGGTTCCAGTTGACAAGGGGTGGACTTGTGATGGTTAATATCAAGTGTCAACTTGATTGAATTGAAGGATGCGAAGTATTTTTCCTGGGTGCATCCGTAAGGATGTTGCCAAAGGAGATTAATATTTAAGTCAGTGTGCTGGTTGGACAACATTTAATCAGTTGCCAGCAGGGCTAGCATAAAGCAGGCAGAAGAAATTGGAAGGACTAGACTTGCTGAGTCTTCCAGCCTTCATCTTTTTTCTTTCTTCCATGCTGGATGCTTCCTGCCCAAACATCAGACTCCAAGTTCTTCAGCTTTTGGACTCAAACTTACACCAGTGATTTGCAAGGAGCTCTCAGGCCTCTGGCCACAGACTGAAGGCTGCACTCTCATTTTCCCTACTTTTGAGGTTTTGGGACTTGGACTGGTTTCCTTGCTCCTCAGCTTGCAGACAGCCTATTGTGGGACTTCACCTTGTGATCACATGTGTCGATTCTCCTTAATAAACTCCTTTGTATATATACATATATCCTATTTTATATATATATATCCCTCTAGAGAACACTTACTAATACACCCTGAATGATGGTTAGGCCAATTAAGAAGGAAATAAAGAAAATTCGTGAAACAAATGAAAATGGAAATACAACATAACAAAACCTATGGGACACAACACAAACAGTGCTAAGAGGGAATTTTATAGCAATAAACACCTACATCAAAAAAGTATAAAAATTCAAATGAACTAATCATGAATTCAAGGAACTAGAAAAACAAGACGAAGCCAAACCCCAAATAGGTAGAAGAAAAGAAATAATAAAGATCAGAGCAGAACTAAACCAAACAGAAACTAAAAAAAAAAAAACAAAAACAAATGAACAATGAAATGAAAAGTTAGATTTTTGGAAAAGATGAAAAAAGCTGATAACCCCCTAGCTGGGCTAACAAAGGAAAGAAGAGAAAAGACCAAAATAAATGAAAATAGAACCTAAAAAGTAGACATTACAACTGATGTCTCAGAAATAAAAAATATTATCAGAGACTATTATGATCAACTACATGCTAACAAACTGGAAAACCCAGAGGAAATGGATAAATTCCTGGATACAGACTACCTACCAAAATTGAATCAGGAAAACATAGAAAACCTAAACTGACCAATAATGTGAAAAAAAATTAATAACAAAAAATCTCCCCCCAAAAAGCCAAGGACTGGATGACTTTACTACTGAATTCAACAAACTAATAAAGAACTGACACCAAGTATCCTTAAACTGTTCCAAAAAAATAAAGAGGAAGGAATTCTTTTTAACTCATTCTATAAGGCCCCATTACCTTGATTCCAAAAGTAGACAAGAACACAACAACAACAACAACAAAAACTACAGGCCAATATCGCTGATGCACATTGTATTAGTCCATTCTCACACTGCTATAAAGTACTACCTGAGACTGAGTAATTTATAAAGAACAGAGGTTTAATTGACTCACAGCTCCACATAGCTGGGGATGCCTCAACAAACTTACAATCATGGCAGAAGGTGAAGGGGAAGCAAAGCACATCTTCACATGGCCAGAGCAGGAGAAAGAGAGCAGACAGTAAATTGCTACACACTTTTAAACAGCCAGATCTTGTGAGAACAGTGTCACAAGAACAGCAAGAGGAAAGTCTGCCCCCATGATTCATTCGCCCCCTATCAGGCTTCTCATTCCACATGTGGGAGTTACAATTTTTACTTGAGATTTGGGTGGGGACGCAGAGTCAATCCATATCATTCTGCCCCTGGCCCCTCCCAAATCTCATCTTTTCCTCACATTTCTAAAACCAGCCATGCCTTCCCAACAGTCCCCCAAAGTCTTAACTCATTCCAGTATTAACTCAAAAGTCCAAGTCCAAAGACTCATTTGAGACAAGGCAAGTTCTTTCTGCCTATGAGCCTGTAAAATCAATGACAAGCTAGTTACTTCCAAGATACAATGGGGGCACAGACATTAGGTAAAATGCTTCAGTTCCAAAAGGAAGAAATCAGCCAACACAAAGGGGCTACAGGCCCCATGCAAGTCAGAAACCCAGCAGGGCAGTCATTAAATCTTAAAGCTCCAAAATAAGTTCCTTTGACTTCATGTCTCACATCCAGGGCATGCTGATGCAAGGGGTGGGTTTTCATAAACTTGGGCAGCTCCACCTCTGTGGCTCTGCAGGGTAAATCCCCTGCAACTGCTTTCACAGGCTGGCATTGAGTGCCTGTTGCCTTCAAAGGTGCACAGTGCAAGCTGTTGGTGGATCTACCATTCTGGGGTCTGGAGGATGGTGGTGCTCTTCTCACAGCTCCACTAGGCAGTGCTCCAGTGGGGACACTGTGTGGGGACTCCAATCTCACATTTCCTCTCTGCACTGCCCTAATAGAGGTTCTCCATGAGGGTTCCACCTGTGCAGCAGACTTCTACCTGGACAACCAGGCATTGTCGTACATCATCTGAAATCTAGGCCGAGGTTTTCAAGACCCAACTCTTGTTTTCTGCACACCTGAAGCCCTAGTACCACATGGAAGCTGCCAAGGCTTGGGGCTTGCACCCTCTGAAGCAACAGCCCAAGCTGAACCTTGGCCCTTTTTAGCCACAGCTGGAGCTGGAGTAGCTGGGATGCAGGCCACCAGGTCTCAAGGCTGCACAGAGCAGTAGGGCCCTGGCCCTGGCCCAGGAAACCATTTTTCTCTCCTAGGCTTCCAGGCTTGTGATGGGAGGGTCTGCCTGGAAGGTCTTTGAAATGTCCTGGAGGCATTTTCCCTATTGTCTTGGATATTAACATTCAGCTCCTCTTTATTTATGCAAATTTCTGCAGCGGATTTGAATTTCTCCCCAGAAAATGGGGTTTTCTTTTCTACCACATGATCAGGCTGCAAATTTTCCAAAGTTTTCTGTTTTGCTTTCCTTTTAAATATGTTATCTTTGTTTGTGCAAAAGAGTGTAGGCTTTTAGAAGCAGCCAGACCACATCTTGAACACTTGGCTTCCTAGAAATTTCATCTATCTGATGCCTTAAATAATCTCCCTGAAGTTCAAAGTTCCACAGATTCCTAGAGCTGGAACACAGTGCCACCAGTATCTTTGCTAAAGCACAGCAAGAGTGACTTTTGTTTCAGTTTTCAGTAAATTTCTCATTTCCCTCTGAGACCACTGCAGCTTGGACTTCGTTGTCCATATTACTATCAGCATTTTGGTCAAAATCTTTCAAGTCTCTAGGAAGTTCCAAACTTTCCCTCATCTTCCTGTCTTCTTTTGAGCCCTCCAAACTGTTCTAACCTCTGCCTGTTACCCAGTTCCAAAGTTGCTTCCACATTTTCAGGTATATTTATCGCAATGCCCCACTTCTCTAGTACCAACTTGCTGTGTTAGTCCATTCTCACACTGCTATAAATAAATGTCTTGTATTAGTTCATTCTCACACTGCTATAAATTACCTGAGACTGAGTAATTCATAAAGAACAGAGGCTTAATTGACTCACAGTTCCACATGGCTGAGAAGGCCTCAGGAAACTTACAGTTATGATGGAAGGTAAAGGGGAAGCAAGGCATATTTTCACATGTCCAGAGTGGGAGAAAGAGAACAAATGGTGACGTGCTACACACTTTTAAGCAACCAGATCTCATGAGAACTCCATCATGAGAATAGAAAAAGGGAAGTTTGACCCCATGATCAAATCACGCCCCCCCACCAGGCTCCTCATTCCATACATAGGGATTACAATTTTACATGATACTTGAGTGGGAACACAGAGCCAAAGCATATCAAACATAGAAGCAAAAATCCTCAACAAAGTACCAGCAATCTGAAACTAACAATACATCATAATTGATATGGTTTGGCAGTGTCCCCAACCAAATCTCATCTTGAATTGTAGTTCTCTAATCCCCATATATCGTGAGAGGGACTCGGTGGGAGGTAATTGAATCATGGGGATGGTTACCCTCATGCTGTTCTCGTGACAGTGAGTTGTCACAAGATCTGATGATTTTATAAGGAGCTTTCCCCACCTCTTGCTAACACTTCTCCACCCTGCTGCCATGAGGAAGGACATGTATGCTTCCCCTTCTGCCATGATTGTATGTTTCCTGAGGCATTCCCAGACGTGCTGAACTGTGAGTATATTAAACCTCTTTCCTTTATAAATTACCCAGTCTCGAGTATGTCTTTATTAGCAGCATGAAAATGGACTAACACCATAATGCTAATACATCATGGTCAAGTTGGATTTACTTCAGGGATACAAGGATGTTTCGACATATACAAATTAATACATGTGATACATCACATAGAATGAAGGACAAAAACCATATGAAAAAGCATTTGATAAAATCCAACATCCTTTTCTGATAAAATTCTAAACAAACTAGGTATAGGAGACATACCTCAACATAATAAAGACCATATATGACAAACCCACAGCTAACATTATACTGAATGTGGAAAATCTGAAAGGCTTTTCTCTAAAAACTGCAAGTAGACAAGGATACACACTTTCACCAATCCTATTCAACATAGTACTGAAAATCCTAGCCAGAACATCAGGCACTGGAATTAAATAAAAGGCCACCAAATAGGAAAAGAGGAAGTTAAAATGTCCTTCTTTTCAGATGACACAATCTTATGTTTGGAAGAACCTTATGACTCAACCCAAACTCTTAGATCTAATAAACAGATTTAGTATGGTTTCATGATGCAAAATCAAAGTACAAAATTCAGTAGCATTTTATACACTAAAAATGAACTAGCTTAAAAAGAAATCAAGAAAAAATTCCATTCATAGTAGCCCCAAAATAAAATCACTAGAATTAAATTTTACCAGAGATAAATAATTTCTACAAGAAAAACCACAAAACGCTGATGAAATAAATGGAAGACACAAACAAATGAAAATGTATTCTATGCTCATTGATTGGAAGCATTAACAAAGTTAAAATTAACATACCACCCAAAGCAATCTACAAATTTAATAGAATACCTATGAAAATACCAACAACATTTTTAACAGATTTAGAAAAATCAATTCTAAAATGTGTATGGAACAAAAAATGTGTCCAGATAACCAAAGTGATCCTGAGCAAAACAAATAAAGCTACAGGCATCACATTCTCTGACTTCAAAATATGTTATAAGGCGCTAGCCAAAATGGCATGGTATTGATATAAAAACAGACACACAGACCAATGGAGCAGATAGAGGACACAGAAATAAATCCATGTATATACAGCCAACTGATTTTTGACAAAGGCCCCAAGAACATGCACTGTGAAAGGACACCCTCTTCAATAAATGGTGTTGAGAAAACTGGATATTTCATATGCAGAAAAAATCCATGTGTAGGAGAATGA